>NC_000007.14:68870415-69173445 GCF_000001405.40 Homo sapiens
GGATGGATAGATGGATTGATAAAAGGATGCATTATAACAATGGGACCAACAAAAGTGAAAGAAAGAAAACCCACCACTGATACACAGGATGATGTGTAGGATGTCCAGAAAGTGTCATGGAGGAAGTGCTGCCTGAGTTGAGCCTTTAAGGAAAGGTGAAACCTCAGCAGGTAGAAAAGGAGCAGAAACAGGAGACGTGGATGAGGAAAGATGCAATGAGAGGAATGCAGAGCAGCTAGGAGTCCTCAGCAGCCAGAGAATATCACACAGGAGAGATCACAGAGGGGATTAGTCGGGAAATGTAGGTGCCAGGAACTTATCACACTGGGGCCTGAATGCCCTGTTAAGGAAGTTGGAATTTATCACACACAAACCAATAGGAGACACCTAAGGAAAAACCTTGCTTCTTCGCATAGATACATGTACAAAGCATTGTGTTTTCAGGGTTAAGACGTTAAGTCTTCTCTTAAAACGCATGTGTGGCCAGGCACAGTGGCTCATGCCTGTAATCCTGGCAACTTGGGAGGCTGAGGCAAGAAGATCATTTGAGCCCAGGAGTTTGAGATCAGCCTGGGCAACATAGCAAGATCCCATCTCTACAAAGGAATATAAAAATAAAAGAATTAGCCAGGTATGGTGGTATGTGTTTGTAGTCGCAGCCACTTGGAAGGCTGAGGCGGGAGAATCACCTGAATCCAGCAGTCTGAGGCTGCTGTGAGCTATGATCATGCTGCTGCACTCCAGCCTGGATGACACTGCAAGACCCTGTCTCTAAAAAACAGAAATAAAAAATGAATAAATACAAAAATGAATAGCACACATATTAGAAGCACCACAGCTATGGCTAGTCCATTATCAGCTCCGGCACCAGCAATTTACCAAACCTGCTGTGCCACCAGGGAGAAGATGAAAGCAAAGCTTATAAGCTCCCAAGGTAGAGATGAGAAAGTGAAGCCTGAATCATGGAGGGCTGCTTGCTGGCTGTGAGTAATGTGGGGGGGATATAAGGACGGGAAAAGGCCACTCAGGGCTCGAGGGGCAGCATGAGGGCCTTGGACGGTGGGTGGAGTCCAGCTTCGTAATCATTTGGGAGGCTGGTGTTTAAAGGAGGTTGCATAAAGAGGATGGAAGACAGGGTAGCCCAGGTGAGCCTCACAAGAGCTTCACTGGGGTGGCAGCTTGTCAAGCTCTGACCTAAAGGCTTTTCCAAACCATAGCCCAAGCATATGACCCTGGAAAAGTCAGGTGCAGAATGCAAGGTAAGTCGTGCCATTTGGATCACAAAGTATCAACCCAGCCTGGCCAATGGGAACCATCTCAGGCAATCTCGGCCATGTTCTCCGTACCTATGAATGCTACAGCCATCATCCATCATCCGTCTATCTATCCATCCATCCCTCATCCATCCCAACTTCTTCCCTCCCTTCCAACCATCCCTCCATCCATCTATCTACTCACTCATCGATCAACCTACCATCTATCCATTTATCCCTCCCTCCCCTCTCCTCCACTTCTTCCCCCTTCCACTCATCCATCCATCTACCCACCCACCCATTCATCAACACACCATCTATCCACTCATAGGTTGTGTAACTAGCATCGATTTTCTGAAACATTCTCCCATTCCCTCTGGGCTGTGCTGGCATTTGAAATCTTGCTCTTTATCACTCACCCCACCCCCTCCCTGACCCTCAGCTGTCTATCCTCATTTCAGTGTCAATTTCATGTTTAGATTCGGTGTCTACCTTGGGGGACAGCTCCTTGTCTGCTCCTGTTCTGGGTAAGAAAACCCAAAGTGAGGTCCCTTTCCAGAATGGAGAAACCCAAAGCTCCACCTACACACCTCCTCCTGCATGTGGGGCCCCCTACAACCCCCAAATCCCCCCACCGCTGGCGCTGCTCCGTGCACTGCTTGGCTCTGTGCTCCCTTCTCTCAGAGACTGTGCCACTTCACCAAGGGAAGAGATCTAGGGCTATTTGTCACTCTGTTTAGACGACAAACAAGGGAGCAAAATGACACTCCCAGGGGACAGCATGGCAGAGACCCCTGAGCACTGGGCACAGTTCTCTACTGTTATGATTTGCTTCTTGCCTTTCCTCCAATTCCATCCTTCTCTCTCACTCTGTCCTTGCAAAAGCTGTGTCCTCCCCTCTTCATGCATCCACAAGACGAGGGGTACTGACAGACAGCTTTATCTGGTGCTCTGACAGTCCCCGTCTGCCACCCCGCCACCTCCATGGTGCCCACAAAAGAAAATAAGGAGGCAGCATTATTGCAGCAGTTTTAATTACCATATGCTAATTGGGCCACCTTCAGGCTTGCAGGACAGTGCCATTTCCCTGAGATGAAATGACAGAAGCCCTCGCTTGCTGTGCTCTACTTCCTCCTTCATTGCTCTCAGAACATTCAGTACCAGGCATTAGCCTGCACAGATACCCCAGGCAGAGAGGAACCACAACAATGCCTGATGCTGGATGATGAGTTCCACATTCCATCAGATCCAGAATGAAGTTCCTGACCTGTGTCCCTGGACCTGGGACTTTAAGGGTCCCTGAATGCTTCTCTGCTCCCCAGAGTATGCAAATTTCCTTATGTGGACATATAGACATTTGTCTGGGATGATAGCTTTCCTTGGCTTTTCAAATAAGCATCTTTCTTTTTTTTTCTTTGAGACAGGGTCTCACTGTGTCACCTAGGCTGCAGTGCAGTGGCATGATCATGGCTCACTGAAGCCTCAAACTCCTGGGCTCAAGTGATCCTCCCACCTCAGCCTCCCAAGTAGCTGGGACTACAGGTGCACACCACCATGCCTGACCAATTTTTAATTTATATTTTTATAGAGATGGGATGTTGCTATGTTGCCCAAGCTTGTCTCAAACTCCTGGTTTCAAGCAATCCTCCTGTCTTGGTCTCCTAAAGTTTTGCGATTACAGCCATGAGCCACTGAGCCAAGCTGATCTTTTTTCTCAAATAATCAAGCTACCGGCCTAAAGGGAAAAACATCTAATTTATCAAGAGTTTCTTTTATTCCCTGAGAGCCCTTGGGAAAGGCAACCTAACAGCCAAAAAAAAAGAAAAGTGAAAGAGAGAATGTAGATTGAGATTGAGGTTGGAACAGAGTCAATAATCCAGGAGTTATAAACAAGATGCCAAGCCCTCTCTAGCTGGCCAGAGCAGAAATGATTTGCAGCTAGGTTATAAGAGTTAATTTAGTTCAATCCATTTGTCTCTTGCCAGGCTTGTTAACCTTTTGGTTCAAATTCCAACCTTTTTTTTTTTTTAAACATAAACTAAGCCTTTAATTTCTTGCCCGGGTTACCGCAATGCCTTCCTAACTGGTCTACCTGTATCCACCTTTTAAAAAAATGTTCTGTAATGTTTAAACATACAAACAAAGTGAAAGAATTTCAAGCTAGCCATGGACCCACAATCTGGACTGGACAGTGAACCTTGTCCTCCCACATCTCTGCCCGTCACGTACACTGTTGTTGCTGTTGTTGTTTGGGGGACCTGTTTCTCTCTTGCTTCCTTCCAATTTGTTCCCCACATGAAAGCTAGTGATCTTTCGGAAACACAGATCTGATCATACTCCCCAGCCTGCATCTCTGATGCGTCCTTAGGTGTGACCAGAAAAGCCTTCAGTGAGCTCAAGCTGGGATGACTCCTGATACAATGATATTGATGAAGATTGAATTAGATTGTGTGTACAAGTTACAGAGAAAAGTGTCTGTGAAGTGGATTGGTTATGCTACATTAAATTGAAGCACGTAAAATTGGTTTTTAAAAAAGTTAAATACACAATACACACTAATATGACATAAGCCACAGATAAAGAGTCTTTTCAATTAAACCTTCTACTGATTAAAAGTTAATGTTTTGGCTTTAATCAGAGTTCTCACGTTGCTTTAACATGAAAATCTTTGCATGGCGGCTAGAATTCCAGATGTTTCAGATTTGACGAGGGAAAAAAAACCTGTTTCTTCAACCGTTGTTTTAAATATAAATTGAGTTTGGCTCATTCATCCAGCCAAAGACACTCTGCATAATGGCGAAATAAATGTGTGACTCCAATGCCATTATCAAATTTAGACCAGAATAGGCATCAGCCCAGAGGCTTCAATATGAGGGTCAGGAATTCACATCTTACAGAAAATGCTTTGTTATTCATATGCCAACATTCAGAACGTGATGTGATACATGTTTCGATTAGAGATATATTAATAGATAAGAGTATCTCGCAGGACTTAGCTTGCATATCATTTTATTACTATTATTATTGAAGGAACATGAAAAAAAAAAATCTCTCCCAAGGATGCCTCTGTGCACTGCCGCAAACCGAGTCCTATCTTTGTTCCCTAACTTCTCTGACTGGTGACTGCATGTCTGGCCAGTCTGATGTGGCTCCCATCAATACCACAGATGTATGTCTGCAGAGAAGAGGTAGATTGTGCCCAGTAGTGATGGAGGGTCGGGCATGGTGGCTCATGCCTGTAATCCCAGCACTTTGGGAGGCCGAGGCAGGCAGATCACTTGAGGTCAGGAGTTCGAGACCAGCCTGGCCAACTTGGTGAAACCCCGTCTCTACTAAAAATATTAAAAATTAGCTGGGTGTGGTGGCAGGCACCCGTAATCCCAGTTACTGGGGAGGCTGAGGCAGGGGAATGGTTTGAACCCAGGAGGCGGAAGTTGCAGTAAGTTGAGATCACACCATTGCACTCCAGCCTGGGTGACAGAGTGAGACTCCATCTCAAAAAAAATAATAATAATAAAATTAGTGAATCAGGTTGTGACAGGATGATTAGGCAATTGAAAAGTCAGCATCCCTTTCTTTGCTCTCAACAAACCCAGGGGATGTCCAATCCTGAGGTCCCTGACCCCACAGGATGACGATTTCACTATTTCATCCTGGTAGACACTCACTTTATCAGACTCCACTGGAGGTCTTTTAGCTAATAAAACAAAGAAAAATCTGCATGAGGGGCGTGAATTAGTTTTCTAGGGCTGCGGTAACAAAGTACCACAACCTAGGCAGCTTAAACAACAGAAAAATGTATGATCTCACCATTCTGGAGGCTACAAGTTCAACATCAAGGTGTTGACAGAGTCGATTCCTTCTGAGGTCTGTGAAGAAAGACCTCAGACCTCTCTTCCAGACCTCTCTCCTTTGCTTATCGATGACTGTCTTCCTCCTGTACATCTTGAAATCATCTTCTCTCTATGTATGTCTGTCTCTGTGTCCAAATTTCTCCCCTTTTTATAAGAACATCAGTCAAAGTGGATTAGGGCCAACCCAAATGATGCTGTTTTGACTTGTTCATCTCCGTAAATGCCCTATCTCTAAGTAAGGTGACATTCTGAGTACTAGAGTTTAGGATTACAACATATTTTGTGGCAGAGACACAATTCAAACACTTTATTTTGTCTCGTGTCATTATTTTCTCATAGGTGTGGCTCATTGGTGCAATAATATACCATAGGAAGCTAAGGCAGCCATCTTGCAACCAAAAATCATAGAGAAACTAAGAGGGCGACTTAGAAGACTTTGGAACTGCCTACCTTCAAACATTTTGTGAAGTAAACAATAGGATTTACTTGGGTTAAGTAAACAATAGGATTTACTTGGGTTAAGTAAACAATAGGATTTACTTGGATTAAGTAAACAATAGGGTTTACTTGGGTTAAAACATCTTGTTAAGTAAACAATATTCTTACAGTTTAAGCCACAATTAGATGAAGTTTTTGTTATTTGCAGCCAAGTCCACGTGAGTTCAGCATATGAACTCATGTAAAAATTAAGATCAGGCTGGGTGAAGTGGCTTATGCCTGTATTCCCAACACATTGGGAGGTCAAGGCAGGAGAATTTCTTGAGGCCAGAAGTTTGAGACTAGTCTGGGAAGACCCCATCTCTACCAAAAGTAAAATAAAATTTTTAAAAAAATTATCCAGGTGCATTGGCACTTGCCTGTTGTCCCTGCTACTCAGGAGGCTGATGTGGGAGGATTGCTTGATTTCAAGAGTTCAAGCCTGCAATGAGCTATTATGGCACCACTGCACTCCAGCCTGGAAGACAGAGCAAGATCCTGTCCCTAGAAAAAATAAATGAAGCCTAAAATAGAGTCAGCTCTGCCTCCAGCTTTATAGATAATAAGAGATAAATCTTTACTACAAAACATGGTTTCAATATTTGGTAAACAAAACTGATGCTACTGGCCCTTTCTGGAGTTATAATGTAGAGAGTGAGAATCAAATGGGATAATGTTTGGTCTTTTTGAAAATTTGAAAACCCAGTAAAATATTCATTTGTTTATTCATTAAATGGTTAAATACTGAGCACCTCCTATTTGTCAGCACTGGGTTAACTCTAGAGATGGTGTTCAAAAATAGACATGGTCCTTGACCTCCTAGAGCCTCTGGTCCAGTAGGAGAGATTAACATTAATCAAATCAGCACACAAAGAATTGCCAAATTGGAAAGTAAAAAGTCAAATTCAATACAGTTGTTTAAACACATGAGAAGTTGGTGAAAGACACTAAATGCTGTCTGTGGATTTCCCATTGATTTCCATCAATACAATGTAAATCTTCATCCCAAGGTTTCCTCTTTTAAAGAAGAGACTATGTTCTCATTATAATTGTGTTCATATAATTATCCACAATTTAAGACATTTTTGAGAGCTAAAAGGGGCAGTATTAATAATTGTTCCAGGAAAAAGGGTATAAAGCAGAAATAACCCAAGATTTCAGGACATTCATATGCCCTAGTTATGACGGTGATTTGCACAAGTCCAAAAATGACGTTATTAGGAACATGCAGATAAGGAGTCAGAAGTCAAAATTTTAATGCTACATAGGCTGGGCACAGTGGCTCACGCTTGGAATCCTAGCACTTTGGGAGACCAAGGTGGGTAGAACACTGGAGGTCAGGAGTTCAAGACGAGCCTGGCCAACATAGTGAAACCCTGTCTCTATTAAAAATACAAAAACTAGCCAGGCATGGTGGTGCACGCCTGTAATCCCACCTACTCAGGAAGCTGAGGCAGGAGAATCACTTGAACCAGGGAGGTGGAGGTTGCAGTGAGCGGAGATCGTGGCACTGCACTCCAGCCTGGGTGACAGAGCGAGACTCTGTCTCAAAACCAAAACAAAACAAAACAGAAAAAAGTTTAATGCCACGGAATATCTCATTTTGGGGGAATAAGATAAAATGGGAAGTGATTTTTTTTTGGATGTGGTTGAGATGTAGAATTTCACACTGAAACAGAATTTATTTTTTGTTTTCCTGCAACTTAAAATATCAATCAAACACCTACATTTTTGGTATGCTAGAAAGTTTACGGCAAGAAGAAGAAATACGTGCCTCGGCCAGTTTGATATGCAATAAGACAGCACCATGAGACAGATTGATTTGCGTTGTGTTAAGCTGGGAGGAAATGCCCATCCCTGCTGTGGCTTATAAAGGAAATTTAAAAGCTGCTTGACTATATTAAATGAGGCTAAAACCTTTGATCAATAATTTTTCTTCACAGAAAAGCAAAAAGGATGAAAATGATCAGAGATTGATTCTAAATGCTTAATGCCCACTACAGCTGACAGAAATACTTTGCAAGCGATATTTTGAAATTTGCCAGTGAACTGGTCCAAATTGTGAGAGGAATTAAAACATGAGTTCCATGATATTCTCTACACGTTTCCAAAACTGACACCAGTCAGGGATGTCTGTAAGATAACATGCAAAGAAAGATGGCTTAGCAGCTCTGGTTTTGCAAAATGGGCTTGAGACATTTTGATTAAATCGCAGAATTTTTTTTTCTTTTGCATTGAGCATCACTTTATTGAGATATAATTTATATACATTATAATTCACCTATTTAAAGTGATTCAATGATTTTTAGTATATTCACAGATGTGTGCATCCATTACCATAGTCAATTTTAGATTATTTTCATCAAAATAAACCTCAAAAGAAACCCCATACTCTTTAGCTCTCAGCCTCTTACCCCCAACATCATCACTTCAGTCATAAGTTTGCTTTCTGTCTCTATAGATTTCCCTGTTCTGGACTTTCATATGAATGAATTCATGTACTATGTGATTTTTTAAATATACTTTAAGTTCTAGAGTACATGTGCACAACTTGCAGGTGTGTTACATAGGTATACATGTGCCATGTTGGCTTGTTGCACCCATCAACTCGTCATTTACATTAGATAAATATTTGAAAGATACACTGCATCTGCCAGGTGCATGGCTCACGCCTGTAATCCCAGCACTTTGGGAGGCCGAGGCAGGCAGATCATGAGGTCAGGAGATCGAGACCATCCTGGCTAACATGGTGAAACCCCGTCTCTAATAAAAATACAAAAAAAAATAAAAATTAGCCAGGCGTGGTGGCGGGTGCCTGTAGTCCCAGCTACTCGGGAGGCTGAGGCAGGAGAATGGCGTGAACCCGGGAGGCGGAGCTTGCAGTGAGCCGAGATGGCGCCATTGCACTCCAGCCTGGGCGACAGAGGGAGATTCCATCTCAAAAAAAAGAAAGAAAGAAAGAAAGAAAGATACACTGCATCAAACTTACCTAAATATTCCTTCACCTAAATATTTAATTAAATCTAATACATCAGCATCCATATGTGTGATTAAGGGGCCACAAAACCACTTTTCACACCTAAAAAATCGCTCCCTTCTCCCTTCTTCCCTTTTCTTTCTTTCTTTCTTTCTTTTTTTTTTTTTTTTTTTTTGAGACCCCCACTCTGTCACCCACGCTGGAGTGCAATGGCACGATTGCAACCTCTGTCTCCCAGGTTCAAGCGATTCTCCTGCCTCAGCCTTCCAAGTAGCTGAGATTATGGGCTAATTTTTGTATTTTTTGTATTTTCAGTAGAGACAGGGTTTTACCATGTTAGTCAGGCTGATCTCCAACTCCTGACCTTAGGTGATCCACCCGCCTCGGCCTCCCAAAGTGCTGTGATTACAGGTGTGAACCACCATGCCTGGCCCCTTTTTCCCTTTTCAAAACAGCTGCAGTTCCTAAAAATCTCACTTCTACTTTGGGTTAAAGCCTGGGCACACCCTGGGACTGGTTTTTACTGTGGGCATAATCTAGGCAAGTTATTTAATTTCTCTAGATCCCAATTTCCACATGTAAAGTGGGAGTTATAACAGCTACCTTGATTAAATTATAAAATGGCATGAAATAGAATAAATACAGACCTGGCACTCAATAATCTTCAATAAATATAATGTCATTATTCTTAGTCCCCTGCCTCTCTCTCCACTTTCAAAAATTCAATTGACATCTGGGAGAGGTAAAACCCAGGCTTCATTTTTTTGTTTAATAAATGTCTTATTGCCAGATAAGTGCACACATAGCTCATTTTAATGGATGATCATTTAGAAAGGAAATGCACCATGCGACCATCAAGCATATCAAGAAAGAAACAGCCCTAGGCCCCCCAGAAACCTCTCATACAGGCTGCATCCTCAAAGGTAGCCCATATACTGGCTTTTATCACATAAAGTCTGTCTTGCCCATTTTTGAACCTCATACAATGTCTACACTTCTGTGTCTGGCTTCTTCTCCTCAACATTAGATGTGTGAGATTAATCCATTTGATCATATGTGGCAATAATTCATTCTCATTGGCTGGAATATTTTATTACATCAATATGTCACGACTAATTTGTGATTGGGTCACTCCAACAAGAAAAACACTACGACCTGCTGAGGTGCCTGCTAAAGGCAAAAGGAATGCAGAATGGGTAGTAGAAGAAGGTAGTCATCAATATCAGCTACAACCATGTGATCAGCCCTTTGTCAACTATGGGTATTACAAAAATCTTCTCCCACCCTATGCCTTGCCTTTTCACAGACTCAATGATATCTCTTGATAAAGAGGAGTTCATAATTTTATATAATTCTTGTATCCATTTACCCATTACACTTGGTATATTTTTTGGCTTAAAAAAAAAATCTTTACCTATATCTAGGTAAGAGAGTCTGGCTATACCTTTACTTTAATCTATACCTTTACTGTTTTAATAAATGAACAGGATATACCCCTCAGAATACCATGAAGATATTCTCCTCTGTGTTCTCCTAAAAGCTTTTCTGTTTGCCTTTACCATTTAGTTGAAATTCTGTTTGAAGGTTTTTAGTATGATGTGAGGTGGTATCAAGATTACTTTTGTTTTTCCATATGAAGAGTTGACTCAGTCCCAAGAGATAAAAAGACCTTGTTTTCTCCATATTAATTACTGCAGAGTCACCTTTTTCACGGATCAGATGTCTACGTACGTACAAGCTTTGTTTCTGGTTTCTTTTCCCTTTCCTTTCTTCTATTTTGCCTTGGGCCAAAACCATATTGTGTTTATTATAGGAGCTTTGTAATAGGCATTAGTACTTAGTACTGTTGTCTTTCTAACTTGCTCTTTAACATCGGTTTGGCTATTCTTGGCCCTATGCATCTTATATAACTGTTATAGAAAGTTTCTCAAATTCCATATGATAGGCCTTTTGAGATTTTGATTGAAATACTATTGAAATGTAGATAAATTCTAGGAGAATCTTGACCATGCACAGTGGCTCACACCTGTAATCCCAGCACTTTGGGAGGCCAAAGCAGGCAGATCACTTGAGGTCAAGAGTTTGAGATGAGTCTGGCCAACATGATGAAATCCCATCTCTACAAAAAATACAAACATTAGCTGGGCTTGGTGGTGCCCGCTTACAATCCCAGCTATTCAGGAGGCTGATGCACGAGAATCACTTGAATCCAGGGGCCTGAGGTTGCAGTGAGCCGAGATCATGCCACTGCATTACAGTATGGCCAACAGAGCCAGATCATGTCTCAAAAAAAAAAAAATTTTAGGAGAATCTATACCTTTACTGTTTCAATAAATAAACATGATATATCCCTCAGTTTACTTAAGTCTTCTTTAATTTCCTTCAGTGATATTTAGTATTTTTCTACATAGCAGTCCTGCATTACTTTTTGTCAGATTTTTTCTCCAGTCGTTTTATATTTTTTATGCTATCATGATCATTATTTTAAATTTTATTTTCTTGTTGTTTGTTGTTAGTACAAAAAAATGCTTTTGACATAGTGTTCTTATATCTAGTGACCTTACTAAATTCATTTACTAATTTTATTTATCTGTATAGGCTTTTGAATTTAAAACCAATTAGGTTGTCCACAAATAATGTCATTTCATTTTTTCTTTCTGGTCTTTATATGTTTATTTATTTTTCTTGCTGTATTGTAATGGCTAGGAACCACAGTACAACACTGAATAAAAATAGTGATAATACATAGTCTTACCTCCTTCCTGATCTCAGAAGGAACATTTTTTTTTTTTTTTTTTTGTGACAGAGTCTCGCTCTGTCTCCCAGCCTGGAGTGCAGTGGCATGATCTCAGCTCACTGCAAGCTTCACCTCCTGGGTTCATGCCATTCTCCTGCCTCAGCCTCCCCAGTAGCTGGGACTACAGGTGCCCACCCCCACACCTGGCTAATTTTTTGTATTTTTAGTAGAGACAGGGTTTCACCATGGTCTAGATCTCCTGACCTCGAGATCCACCCACCTCGGCCTCCCAAAGTGCTGGGATTACAGGCGTGAGCCATGGTGCCTGGCCAGAAGGAACATTTTTAATAGTTCTGATACAGGAGACAGAAAGAAATTATTTAGGCAGATAGTAAGGGCAACGGAGTCCTTGGCAGAATTTCCCTTTTAACAAAAAGCAGAATTTCCCTTTTAACAAAAATCATTTCCTTTCTAACAAAGAGCAGCCTGAAAAATAAAGCTGCAGACATGGATAAGCAAGCTGAAAACTTGAACAGGTGAAAGCCGGCAGCTGTGCCAATAGAAAAGGGCTACCTGGAAGCCAGGTATGTTCAACATGGAGGCTCCATCTTTCCTTTTCTTTGTCACCATGTGTGCAGTAAAGGAACAGGCAACATGGCACCAGCTAGACAGAGAACCCATCTGCATAATAAAAGATTAGGATGTGGCAGCCAGCTTTTTCACAAATGACACACCTAGTCCTAACCAGTTTTTCATGCCTTATGCAAATGGCACACGTGGTTCAACCAATCTTTTGTCCCTTATCTAAATCAGACACCACCTCCTCAAGCTCATCTATAAAACCCTTTGCATTTCACTGTGGAGCCGGCAACCCATTTCTCCAGGACCCCTCACTCTGTAGCAGAAAGTGCTCTTCTCTTTTTTTGCCTATTAAACTCCTGCTCTGAACCTCAATCTTTGTGTGTCAGCATCCTAGTTTTCCATGGCCATGAGACAACGAATTTGGGTATTTACCCCAGACAAAAATGCTGCTTCAGATCCATGTCAAGTATTGCATTTATTATAGCTTCTTTGTCATGTTCTTTTTCAGAATACACTTATATTTCTTATTTGTTAAGAAATTCTAACTTCCATTTCTAATGTCTTATTTCTACTTCTTATTTATAAGGATTTTTTTCTTTTCATGGCATGTGCTAAATTTTATCAGTCACTAAATTACATCAAATGCTTTTTCTATGTCCATTGAAATAATCAGATTTTCCTCATTTACTCTGTTATTGTGGTGAATTGATCAATTTTCCGATGTTAAACTAATCTTGCATTCCTGCAAATAATCCCAATTTGGCCTGTTGTACTATCTTTTTTAATAGATTGCTATATTTGGTTTCCTGATTTTTTTAAAGCTTTTAAATTTTATGTTCAGTAAAATGACTATACACTATTTTTTTCTTTTAATATTACTAAAGTGACTGAACACTGGTTTTCCTTTGTTTCATTACAAGATACTGCTGACCTCATAATAAATTAGGATGTGTTCTCAGTTTTTCTATTTCCTGAAAAAGTTAGTTTAATAATGGCATTGTTTCTTTCTCAAATACTTGGAAGACTTCACTGGTGATGTCATATAAACCTGGAATTTTCTTTGTGGGGATATTTTTATTTGAAAATATTACTCATTTATTAGATCTGGGTATCTTCACATTTCTATTTGGTTTTAGCTTTTGTAAGTTGCTTTAAAAAAACTGTCCCTTCCATCAAAGTTGTCAAATTTATTGGCAAATGGTCCAGTATATTTTCTCACTAATGTTTAATGTCTAAAAGATTTTTCATTCCTAATGTTAATAATTTTTGTCATCTGTCTTTGATTCATGAACAATAGGAGATTTACTAAGTGGGGGTCTACCCATTTTATCTGTCTTTTACAAAAATACACTTCTGGATATGTTTATTTTCTCTATATTTTTAATTGACTTTTGTTTTTTGTCTTTATTATTTCCATTCTTCTACTTCTGTGGCTTTAATTTGCTACTTTTCTAGATGTATATAAGAATAACTGATTTTCAATATTTCTTGTTTTCTAACATATGCAAGCAAAGCTTTAATTTCCCTCTAAGCATGATTTTAGCTACATCTCACAATTTTGTGATATTTCACATTCAGTATTTTTTCATCCATAATATATATATTTTTTGAGACAGGGTCTCACTCTGTCACTCAGGCTGGAGTGCAATGGTGTGGTCTTGGCTCACTGTAGCCTCAACCTCCCCAGTTCAAGCAATCTTCCCACCTCAGCCTCTGGAATAGCTGGGACCCAAAGTGATGTCACATGTCAAAGGGATATGGAAGCCAACACATCTCAATAAATAATAGGAATAATAGATTGTAACACAATGAATAAAAAGGACTTCATGAATCTATACTGAGACTAAAAATATAAATAGAGGAATGAATGAATACATGAATGCATAACTGAATGAATAAAAGGAAGAAATAAAAAGCTCAAAAACAGCATACTGACTAATGTAAACACCATCAATGCCTGGTTAATTTTGTTTATTGAGGCTGGTCTCAAACTCCTGGGCTCAAGGGATCTTCCTGCCTCAGCCTCCCAAAATGCTGGTATTATCGGCATGAGCCACCACACCAAGCCCAAAATTCTTCTCTAACCAAGTAGGTATAACACAGAATGGAAATAGTCTCTATGAAGTTATATGATATAATTTGCAGTAGATATTGGCAAGCTACAAAAGCAAAATGTAAAAGAGAACATACAGTGATACTTTTGATATGAGAAAGAAGAGCATAGATAAACCTAGTTATAGATGTATATCTTATTTTTACAAAAGAAACAACTCAGGGCAAACAGAAGCTAACAAAATTTCTTATGTACAGAAGATGGATTGATATGCTGTGAATGTGATAGAGGAGGAAGTAAGACTTCTTTAAGTGTACATGTTTTTAATAGATTTTGCTTTTGGAAAAGTGGTAATGTTTAACATATTTAAAAATAACATTAATCCAACAAGAGTGAAAAAGTAAACATCCTTCAACAGAACTATTTGTTAAGCATACTGAAGGGGAAAAAGGAGTAATGCTATATTAGTCTACTGGAGCTTCCCTAACAAAATACCCACAGACTAGGTGTCTTAAACAACAGAAATGTATGGCTTACAGCTCTGGAGGCTGGAAAGTCCAAGATCAGTATACTAGCTTTGTCTATTTCATTCTCAGGCCTCTTTTCTTGGCTTGCAGGCCATTGCCTTCTCACTGTGTGCTCACAGGATCTCTACTTTGTGCACACTTACAGTGAGCTCTATGGCATCTCTTCTTATAGGCACACTAACCTTATTGTATCAGGGCCCCACTTTTATGACTTCATTTAACCCTAATTATACCCTAAAGGCCCTATCTTCAAGTACAGTCATGCTGGGGATTAGGGATTCAACATATGGATTTTGGGAGGATACAGTTTAGTTCATAGCAAATATAAAAACTTTTGAAAACAGTACAGAACTTTATACCAGCAGGCTAATGAAAACAAGAACTACAAAAAAATCAGGATCTCTGCTTAGCAGGTTTATTGTTGGGTTGGGTTTCAATGCCACATTCTGAAATTATTTTTTATGCATTTTAAAATTGAGCCTTTGCATAAACATACCGATGCTGTTGGGAGCTGGGGTTTTTCACTGATAGAGAAGAAAGATACAAACATGGAATGCAGAAAGGCAATCCTTTGGGTAGGTTAGAATGAAAGGTATCAGTGTGAAATTATCACAGGGCCCAGGATCTATAATATTGCAGTAGCAATAAGCTCACATGGCATCCGGATTTTGGTTTCTAAATGCCTTTCCCCAAAAGAAGAAACCAGGGATTTCTGAAAAAAACTGGGTGATTCTAGGGCTGGAACCATGCAAAGTCCAAGATGTGCCTGGAATTTGTGTTATGCCTGTGTACCAGAAAATAATTAAATGCCCTCCCAAAGTGAAGTCACATGTCAAAGGGATACAGAGGCCAACACACCTCAATAAATAGTGGAAATAATAGATGATAACATAATGAATTAAAAGGAATTCATGAATCTATACTGTGACTAACAATATAAATGGAGGAATGAATGAATAAATAAATGCATAATTGGATGAATAAAAGGAAAGAATAAAAAGCTTAACTATAGTATACCAACTAATAAATGTAAAAGGGATAATAGAAAAATCACTGTTTTGCAACTGTCATTGTAATAACAGATTCAGGCAAAATCATCATCAATGGATTCAGAATTATCAATGGATTCACATTGGGTAAAAGTATGTGAAGGAACAAGGCATTTATTTACATAGTCTCAAATTATCTTCTAGCAGATTACTTAACTCCAAAAGAAAAAGGAGTATTTTTACAGTGGAGAAATCTGGCAGATGCCACCTTAACAACGTGATAAAAGTTATATCACCAATAAGGCACAAGCTGACATCACATGCCTCCTGATGTGACATTGAAAATAAGATCAATGGTGTGGTATTCCTGTCAAGAACTCATGGGGAAACACTTAGATTAAACTTAAATTGAGAAAGACTCTGCAAGCAACTGGCCTGTATGCTTCAAAATGATAATGTCAAAAAGACAAGGAAAAATAGAAAAATTGTTCCAGACTAAAGGAAATTAAAGGAACTGACAACTAAATGGAGTACATGATCTCAGATTGATCCTTGCTTGAGAAAAAAGAAAACTGCTATAAAAGACAACATTGGCACAATTGGTAAATTCACATATGGACTATATGTTACAAAATAATGTTGAATCAATGATAAATTTTCTAGATTTTATCACAGTTATTCAAAATAATGACCTTATTCTTAAGGGATGGATCCTGGATTATTTAGAGATGACAGGTCATGATACCTTCAATTTATCCCTAAATGTTTCTGCAAAAATAAGAATTGTAATAGAAAAATAAAAGAAATGTAATGCATTACTCATACAATGTGAACAGAGAAACAGAACCAATAGGATGTGTGCATGTGTAAATACATATACGCAGAGATATACATGTACATGCATAGAGAGAGAGAGAGATTTATTACAAGGAATTGGTTCATGCAATTATGGAGGCTGACAAGTCCAAAGTCTGCAGTATGGGTTGGCAGGATATTATTACATATGGAGAGCCAATTATTATACATGAAGTTCAGTCAGGCTGCTGGAAAACACCCTCTTGCATGAAGAGGTTAGACTTTTTGTTCTATTCAGGCCTTCAACTAATTGGTTAGGCTCATCCATATTATGGAGAGCAATCTGCTTTACTAAATTGACTTGTTTGAATGTTAATCTCATCCAAAAACACTCGCCAAGTGGACCTATAAAATTGACCATCACGAGTAGCAAAATCTTTACAATTGGTGAATGTAGGTGAAGGGTTTGTGAGAGTCCATTGCACCACTCTCGCAATTTTTCTCTAGGTTTGATTCTTTCTTCAAAATTAAAAATTACCTTCTATTTTTCATTGTATGATATGGTTTGGCTGTGTCCCCACCCAAATCTCATCTTTACTTGCAGCTCCCACAATTCTCACATGTTGTGGGAGGGACCCAGTGAGAGGTAATTGAATCATAAGGGCAAGTCTTTCCCATGCAGTCTCATGATAGTGAGTAAGTCTCACAAGATCTGATGGTTTTATAAATGGGAGTTCCCCTGCACAAACTCTCTTGCCTGCTGCCATGTTAAGATGTGACTTTGCTCCTCATTTGCCTTCTGCCATGATTGTGAGGCTTCCCCAGCCATGTGGAACTGTGAGTCCATTAAATCTCTTTCCTTTATAAATTATGCAGTCTCAGGTATGTCTTTATTAGCAGCACAAGGAGGAACTAATACATTGTATGTATGCTTTGATTCATGGGTTATTTAGAGACTGTATTGCTAATTTTCCAAACATGACTCTTATCTTGCTCTCTTTTTGTTATTAATTTCCAGCCACTCACAAATTGGAAAATTCCTCAAAGATAGAAACAGCAGGAAATGACTGGCTTGTTTAGTTGTGTTTGATTTTTTTCCCCTCTTTGGGGTCTTGACCCTTTGAATCATGGCTTTTTCTTGGTTTACTCCAATGCCTTCAAACACCTTTTGGGGCTTTTGTTTGTTTGGGGATATTTTATCCAACTGTTATAGTTATTTTTGGCAGGAGAAATGGCCTGATATAAGCTTCTTCATTCTAACAGAACATGAAAGTTGGGCCAGGCCACATTTTAACACTAGATGTTCCACTGAGATGAACCAGCAGAAAGCAACTGCCATGGGAAAAGGAATTAGTTATCCAGAATGTATCCTTGAGGTCCTGTTGAACTAAAAAGACTCTTCTTATCTCTCTACATCCCCAGGGGCTACCATAGTATGGGCTCTCAATAAATGTTTGCTAAATTTATTGGTGAAGGAAAGAGTAATGTCAGCTTGACATGCCATTCCAAGAGGGCAGATATGGCTTGTTGCACACTAGTAAGTCTTTCCAATCTGGGAAAACACTAGCAGTCTACAGTCAGCTAACATGTGGGCAGGAGGTCACCTGCTATCAGGAATGATAGATTTTATAATGGTGACCCAACATCGGATAGAAATGTGGCCTCATCAGACTGACTTCAATGTGTAAGTTCTTTCCAATAAAGAACAAATCTCTCCTGACAAAGTGTTGCTACCAGGAGTCTACAGTTCAGTTTGGGAGGAAAACACCCAGATGTTCTTATATTCTGCAGCAGAATTTGAAACTCTGGAAACAAACTAAATACCCTTCAACAGAGGACCAGGCAGGCAAATCAGATAACAACCATACAATAAATTATTATTCCCTTACTTTACATAACAATCAGGAATAATATCTAAGGATATGAAAAGTTATCCATGTATACTCTTAAGTGAAATAAGCCATTTCCAAAAAGTAAAGTGTGACTGTATTTTTAAATGCTATGTAGGTACAGAAAAAGGTCTGAATTGATATCAAAATATAAATGTGGTTATCTTCGGATCATGAGATTACAGCTAATGAAAGTTTTCTTCTTTGGTTTATCTGCAATGTACACTTTTTTAATAAAAATATTTCTGTTTATGAATAGTAATTTTTAGAAGTTGTCTTTTAAAGGTGCTACTCTGGGCTTTTCATTGGAAAGGAAATGTTCATTGTTGAACATTTCAAGGAAAATGTCCACTGTCACAGCTCTCCAAGGACAAATTCCTCTGCCTGTGCTTTTAGAATTGGGCAGGGAACGTAGAGTGGCCTAGAGTTGAAGGTTTTACAAGTGCTGATTAATGATGGATGATGCCACCCTTTGCTGGCCACATTTCAACAAAACGGATATAAAGTGCAAGAAACAAGGAGGAGAAGCCCAGCCTGAGTAGCCTGCCCTGCTGAGCCCAGCCTGGAGGAAGAAACAGGGCTCTCTGCTCCCTGAGAAGAGAAAAGACGAGCTTCTCTGTTGTGTCTCAAGCTAATTACCTGTGATGCCATTAGCAATTACCCGAGCCATCAGCAGGGCAGGAAACAGGGCTCAGCTTGTGGACTGAAGCAGTTTGCTCCCTGTCATAATTGCTTAATAGGCTGCCCTGTGGAATTGGCTTTCCCTGGCTCTCTGCAGACATATTGCATTATTATTATTGTAACCATAGAGCTGTGAGGCATTGCACAAACTGTTCCATTCTGCACAAGCTCTCTTCCGAGGAGATGTGCTCTAAAACAACTGAGGGATGAACATCTTGAGAGACTGTAGGGCAGCTTCAAAAGTCCTCTATTAGGGAACCTGGAGTGCCCCGCTTTTGCCAGCACCCACCATCTCCAGCCAGCCCCGCCAAAGACCTGCCTTCATCAAGTTCCCAACATTGCCTGAGCAGCCTGCCTTAGGTCCACATGGACCAGGTTGAATTCTGTTTCTGCTTCATGCAAGCTGTGTGATCTTGGAGAAGTCAACTAACTTCTCTGAGCTATGCCGTGGCCATCTGTAAAATATTAATAGTAATAGCTAACACAGTAAATTTTTTTCTTTTTTTTTGAGACGGAGTCTTGCTCTGTTGCCCAGGCTGGAGTGCAGTGGTGCGATCTTGGCTCACTGCAAGCTCCACCTCCCAGGTTCACACCATTCTCCTGCCTCAGCCTCCCAAGTAGCTGAGACTACAGGGGCCCGCCACCACACCCGGCTAGCTAACACAGGAAATATTAACATGCATTCATTTGTTTAATCCTCACCCAGCCCCATGAGGTGGTTGGCATAGAGTTTGTTCCACATATTATAATAAAAAAACTGAAACACTGATGGTTACGAAATGTCTCCTATCCATACCTATTCATTGACACATGGTGTGCCCAGTGGACAGTCTTATACTAAGCTTAACACTATGCTAAACTACCTCTCTTTATTTGTTTATTTATTTATTTATTTATGAGACAGGGTCTCACTCTGTTGCCCAGGTTGGAGTGCAATGGTGTGATTACAGCTCACTGCAGCCTCCAACTACTGGGCTCAGCCTTCCTTCCACCTTAGCCTCCTGAGTATCTGGGACTATAGGCATGCACCACCACATTCAGCTTATTTTTAAAACTTTTTGTAGAGATGGGATCATGCTATGTTGCCCAGGCTTGTCTCAAACTCCTGGCTTCAAGCCATCCTCTCTCCTTGGCCTTCCAAAGTGCTGGGATTATGGGCGTGAGCAACCACATCTGGTCTAAACTAACTTTCTTTATAAAAATAACGCTCACCTTGCACTATTATGGCAAAGATTAAGTAACATTTGAGGAAGTATCTGACAGAGCTTTGCAGAATATAATTGCTCCATAAATGTTTGCTAATGCACTTGTTAGTTAATTCAAATGTAGTCATCTATGCAATAGGAGGGAAAACCCTAGAACCATCCAGACACTAACTTCTAATGACACTGTCAAGGCAAGGTGTCACTACATGGCGGCGTCTTTGGAATTGCCTCCACCCCTAGGGACTCCTTGTCATGGCACTGATTCTTAGACCAGCAGTTCTCGACATGCCACCTGAAGTCTCAACAAGCAATTGTTTAAATTACGTTATTAGTTGTGGTTGGGAAAGAAACAAAATAAACTATTAAAATTATTTTTGGAGTCTGGATACATTGGCTTACATCTGTAATCCCAGTACTTTGGAAGGCTGAGGTGGCAGGATCCCTTGAGGCCAGGAGTTCAAGACCAGCCTGGGCAACATAGTAAGACCTTACCTCTACAAAAAATTTTTAAGTTAGCTGGATGTGATGGTGCATGCCTGTAGTCCCAGCTACTGAGGAGGCTGAGTTGGGAGGATCACTTAAGCCCAGGAGTTAGACGTTGCAGTGAGCTATAGTCATGCCACTGCACTCCAGCCTGGGTGACAGAGCAAGATCCTATATCTAAATAAATCAATCAATTAAATTAAATTAATTTGTGTAGCCTACATATAAGGTCTAAGAACCAGGACAGCTCAAAACTCCCAAGGATGAATCTGCTGGTTGGTGTTTGTCTTGCCAGGACTCCAGGTTTCTCCAAGTGAGCTTTATGATGGAGCCACAGTCTTTCCTCCTTCCCAATCATCCTCTTGCACCAAGCTGGGGAGAAGCAGACATGGGGAGGGCCAGAAATGCAACAACGGGTCCCTGGCAGGTAGGGCGTGCAGGAAAGACCATATCTAAAACTGTTACTGTCTAGAATGGGTCACCTGGAGAAATACTCATTGTTTTAGGTTTTGTACTTGCTGCCAATAGATCACAGCAGAATAATCTAGAAAGAAGCATCAATAGGAGTCAGCACATCACATTTACAATAAATGTCTTAGTCCATTTTGTGTTCCTATAAAGGAATACCTGAGACTGGGTAATTTATAAAGAAAAGAGGGTTATTTGGCTCACAGTTCTGTAGGCTGTACAAGAAGCATAGCACCAGGATCTGTTGCTGGCAAGGACCTATGGAAGTTTTAACCCATGGCAGAAGGTGAAGGGGGAGAAAACATCACATGAAAAGAGAGGGGACAAGAGTGAGAGAGGGGTGCCAGGACCTTTTAAGCAACTTTTCTGCCAGATGTGGTGGCTCACACACCTGTAACCACAGCACCTTTGGAAGGCCAAGGTAGGAGGATCACTTGAGGCTGGGAGTTCAAGATCATCCTGGGCAACATAGTGAGATGCTTGTCTCTGTGAAATATTTTTTTAAAATTAGCCAGGCATGGTGGCACACACCTGTAGTCTCAGGTACTCAGGAGGCTGAGGTGGGAGGATGGTTGAGCCCAGGAGGTTGAGGCTGCCGTGAGCTATGATTGCACCACTGCACTCCAGCCTGGGTGTCAGAGCAAGACTCTGTCTCAAAAAAAAAATTAAAAATTAAACAACCAGCTGTGTTGTGAACTAATAGAGCAAGACCTCACTCACTGCCATGAGGATGGCACCAAGGCACCAAGCCATTTATGAAAGGTCCAATCCTCATGACTCAAACACCTCCCACCAAGCCCCACCTCCAGTGGGGATCACATTTCAACATGAGATTTGGGAGGGACACACATCCAAACTTAATTATGTGGGAAGTGAGAAAGCCAATGCTTTGTAACTGTGACAAAACCTTATCTTGAGACTAAATAGTTCTTCGTCCCACCAAGGATACTCAATCCCACACATACCCCACTGGTTAAGAGCTGCTGCCTGTGCTGTGCTTCTGGACAGTGGCTCATCAAGGTAATCAAAGTTGCAAGTGAGTGAGTCATAGCCATTTTCAGTTCCACCCAGTTGACTGTGCCTTAGGATCCCTTTGAAATAGCACATTACCCTTCATGCGTGTGTCTGATCTTTGTCCTCCTCTCAGTGAAGGCTCTAAAGGGAGAAGATCGGCCTTTTTTTTTTTTCACAGCCCTCTCCTGTCCCACAGTGATGACTTCTCATCAACAATGACAAATTGGAAGCCCAGCTCTTTTGACTCGTCTCCTTCCATAAGAGCTAAGTCAACCTCAGAAGTACCCCATGGTTCAAACTAACTCCATGTTCCATGAGAAAAACAGATGGCATCAGGCTGGTTGATTATCTAGAGCAGTGGGAAGCATGACAAAGATAAGAACAGGGGCAGGAGCCTGTCCAAAACCCAAAAGAAAACAGGCAACATTCAAAACAGGCTAATTATAAAACCTACCCCTTGTTTAATATTCTTTTTTTTTTTTTTTTTTTTTTTTGAGATGGAGTTTCACTCTTGTTGCCCAGGCTGGAGTGCAGTGGTACAATCTCAGCTCACTGCAACTTCCGCCTCCCAGATTCAAGCAATTCTTCTGCCTCAGCCTCCCGAGTAGCTGCGATTACAGGTGTGAGCCACCACACTAGCTAATTTTTGTATTTTTAGTAGAGATGGGATTTCGCCATGTTGACCAGGCTGGTCTTGAACTCATGACCTCAGGTGATCCGCACACCTTGGCTTCCCAGAGTGCTGGGATTAGAGGCATGAGCCACCGCACTCCACCCCTTGTTTAATATTCTGTATCAGGTACTCGACATTAAATTTTACAATCATCTCTACAAGGTAGTTATGATCACCCCGTTTTACAGATGAGTAAACTGAGACCCAGGGGGCTTAAATAACTTGAGCAATCCCACAGACCTAAAAGTGCAGTGTTGGAATTTAAATTTCACCTAACACCGTGCCTAGTGTGTTCATTGTTAAATTATTGTTCAGTGAATCTGTGCTACTTCAAATTCATGCTTGTTCTGTGATACCATGTGACCACTTAGTGATCTTTCCTCCACTACCTTGTCCCAGGATTGAGGGCAAGGAGGCTGAAGGCAAGAGATAAAGCAAGAGTTTGGGAAACAGAAGACTGCAGGAAGAAGTTAGAAAGCTAGACGAAAGGGGAACTGACACCAGCTTCAGACCTTCAGTCATAAGCAGTGCTGAAATGGCTTAAACAGATGCTGTCCTTGGCAGTGACCACAGGTTGTGAATGAACAAGCAGAAGTGCAAAATGCAGGCTTGGGAAGGATCACGCTGCCCGAGAGACAATTACATTCCAATTGTCTCTATGTCCTCCTACTATTTGTCTTCTACTGAACTCAGGGACAGCACCGAGAAGGGTCATGTCTAATAAATGACAATGGTAAAGATCCACTTGAAGCCACCCCAAAGCCAACAATTTCAGGTAGTTGCATTCATTGAATTATGTCATTGTGTTCATCAGAATCATTTATGTTCCAACTAACAGGTAACCCAATAAATACCATGGCCAGTTTCTGCATGCAATCCTGTTCAAAGAGATGCAGTTCAGCCGCTCAAGGTATTAATTAGATTCCAGTTTCTATATGCTTCCCTTAAGGGACCCTAGGGAGTTTCTAGGATATAACTCACCATAACCTCATACCTTTCGACTGCTCATGAACTTCATTCTGGAAACCACCCTGAAAAAGCAACAGCAAAGTTTTTCCAAAACCCAGAAAGAGTGACATTCGTGCATTTCTCTTGCCTCCTGGCTACTTCCAGCTCCACCTGGTTTTTTTTGTTTTTTTGTTTTTTTGTTTTGAGACAGAGTTTCGCTCTTCTTGCCCAGGCTGGAGTGCAATGGCTCAATCTCAGCTCACTGCAACCTCTGCCTCCTGGGTTCAAGCGATTCTCTTGCCTCAGCCTCCCAAGTAGCTGGGATTGCAGGTGTAAGCCACCACACCTGGCTAATTTTTTGTATTTAGTAGAGATAGGGTTTCACCATGTTGGTCAGGCTGGTCTGGAACTCCTGACCTCAGGCTATCCACCCGCCTCAGCTTCCCAAAGTGCTGGGATTGCAGGCATGAGCCACCACGCCCGGCCCTCCACCTTTTTTTCTTATTCTCTGCTTCTCTGATTTGTCCTCAGCACTAGGTGTGACCTCAGGACATCCCAGGCACCACCCACACCAGATGTTATGATCTGAAATGTTCATGTCTTCCTGCAAAATTCATACATTGAAATTCCACCCTGCAAGGTGATGGTGTTAGGAAGTGGGGATCTTTGGAAACTGACAAGGTCATGAGAGCAGAGCCCTTATGAATGGGAGTAGTCATCTACCCATATAAAAGAGACTCAAAGGAACCTCCCTCTTCCTCCATGTGAGGACACGGCATACAGCAGAAAGACAGCCATCTGTGAGGAAGCAGCCGCCAGCAGACACCAAATCCACCAGTGCCTTGATCTTGAATTTCCAGCCTCCATAACTGTGAGAGGTACATTAAGTGACTCATTCAATGGTATTTTATTACAGCAGCTCAAATGGACTAAGACACCAGGCTTTGTCTTCTTCTCTCCCTCTCCCTTCCTCTCCTTCTCCATCTCAGTCTCTCTATATCTCCTTCTCTCTCTCCCTCTCCCTCTCTCCTCCTTCCCTACCCTCCTTCTTTCTCCTTTCTTCTTCCCCTTTCTCCATGTCTCCTCACTACCTCATATGGTCCCAGTAACTCTCTACTGTATCATTGCAGCTTTGTGCCCCAACAGCCCTGGAGCTTCATGTCCCAGGACACATTTTTTCCCCCAGGGAATGCTTTGAGTCAACCTGATCTGGATCATGTGCTCTCAACTTGGACTAATGACTGACAAGAGGGACAAAACATTAGGATTGACCCAATTTGGGTCGTATACTCAACACTCCACAAAACAAGAAGAGACAGTGTTTTTAATTAGCACCCTACCTCCCCGCCAAAAAATCACATGTATGCTCTTCAAAAAAAAAAAATAAGTAAAAGAGGCACTGTCCTCGTTGACCAAACAAAAGCACTCACTCCCATGATTAATGGTGAAGCTATTTCTTTTCAATCCTGGGCAAAATTACTAGTCTCAGTTTAGTAGGAAAAGGTACCTGATCCTATCATTTCTCTTCTCAAAAGTTTTCGGTGAGATCCCCATGATCCATCTAAAAATAAAAATAAAAATAAAAAATAAGGCCAGGTGCAGTGGCTCACGCCTGTAAGCCCAGCACTTTGGGAGGCCGAGGCAGACGGATCACAAGGTCAGGAGTTCAAGACCAGCCTGGCCAATATGGTGAAACCCTGTCCCTACTAAAAATACAAAAATTAGCTGGGAGTGGTGGTGGGTGCCTGTAGTCCCACCTACTCGGGAGGCTGAGGCAGGAGAATCGCTTGAACCTGGGTAGCAGAAGTTGCAGTGAGCCAAGATTACGCCATTGCACTCCAGCTTGGGAGAAGAACCGAGACTCCGTCTCAAAAAAAAATAAATAAATCAAAATAAAATAAAATAAAAATAAATAAATAAATCTGCTTTGCTGGAAATCAATCCACCCTCTACAATTTGAATCAACACTCCCATTTTCTTGCTTGAACCATGCATTCCAAATAAATTGGTGATATTCTGTCCCATAAATATTCTTTGTACCTTCTCATATCCAGACTTTTCCTTGTGCGGTTTCCTCTGCCTAGAATAACTGTTCTTCCTTCTCTACATATTCATCTCTTACCTGTCAGTGACTTCCTTCCCTAACCAATCAGGTGGAACAGAAATTTACCCAAAGCTCCCTTAAGATGACAGTGGGTCACCTCCTACTGAGAGCAGCCCTAATTCCAGGTCCCTAATTTCTACTACTTTCCCCACTCTGCTACTGAAGTTCCAATGTGCCTTACAGCTTAGCTGCTGCGGAATACGAGTAGCTGTCCTTCAATGCATCATTACAGTGCCAGTCCTCCAGAAACTGTCCTAACCACATTGCCCAATAACCCTTCTCTCTTCTGAAGTCCTGAAGCACCACTTTATGGCACATGCTGATTGGTTGATTCATAGAGAGATGATAACAGTTGTAATGTTAATAGAAGACCGCTTTCATTACTATTATTATTATTCGTTTTTGAGATGGAGTTGCCCTCTGTCACCCAGGCTGGACTGCAGTGGTGCGATCTCAGCTCACTGCAACCTCCGCCTCCTGGGTTCAAGTGATTCTCCTGCCTCAGCCTCCTGAGTAGCTGGGACTTCAGGTGCCCACCACCACGCTCAGCTAGTTTTTATATTTTTAGTAGAGACGGGGTTTCACCATATTGGCCAGGCTGGTCTTGAACTGACCTCATGATTCGCCCACCTCAGCCTTCCAAAGTGCTGGGATTACAGGCCACTTTAATTTTTAATAATCATAAATAATCACCATTATTGTAATTTTGCCCTGATCTCAATTTCCCTGCTGGAATGAATAAATAGGTGGGTGAATGCATGGAAACAGGAGTGAAAATAGTGAATACACTGCTCTCAGCTTGGAAATCTTAGGATGGATATGTGGATATGTGTATACATTTTATTTTCTTAAACTTGACCTTTTTTTTTTTTTTTTTCTGAGACAGGATCTCACTCTGTTGCCCAGATTGGAGTGCAGTGGAGGGATCTTGGTTCACTGCAACCTCTGCCTCCCAGGTTCAAGCAATTCTCCTGTCTCAGCCTCATAAGTAGCTGGGATTGCAGGTGTGCACCACCACGCCCAGCTAATTTTTGTATTTTTAGCAGAGACAGGGTTTCACCATATTGGCCAGTCTGGTCTCGAACTCCTGACCTCAAATGATCTGCCAACCTCGGCCTCCCAAAGTGCTGGGATTACAGGCATGAGCCATCCACCCGAACACTTAACATGTTTTTAAAATGCAAATCCTCAAACATTTGAGTGGACGACTACTGATAAATCTCTTTACTAATCCTTCAATTTATCAGCATCACTCGATTTATCAATGGTATATTGTTTGTCCTATGAAACTAGGTAATGTATCTTTTCGGATCCATATTTTGTTTTGCGAAGTGGCAAAATTTTTCAGATTTCGTGAGAGTGACTGGCAGGAAGTCAGGGGAGGAGAGAAGAGCAGAGCCACGGGAAGTGCTGCCGTCGGTGGGCAAGAGGGACTCACTAGCTGGTGAACTGCTCCCATCACACTTAGAGAATGCAACACACAAATCCAGGCCTCCACATCACATTCCAGGAAGCCTCAGGTTCGGTGGAAAGCGTGCAAAGTCACAAATGTCAAAGTCCTCAACTGCCAAGGGTCTACTATCACTATAATTGCCTGGTATGGTGTCATGGACCCTGGTAAGTGTCTAAAACACATTATTAAATGAAGCATCAAGGCCGGGCGTGGTGGCTCACGCCTGTAATCCCAGCACTTTGGAAGGCCAAAGCTTGCGAATCACCTGAGGACAGGAGTTTGAGACCAACCTGGCCAACATGGTGAAACTGCATCTCTACTAAAAATACAAAATTAGCCAGACATCGTGGCACATGCCTGTAGTCCCAGCTACTTAGGGGGTTGAGGCAGGGGAATCACTTGAACTCATGAGATGGAGGTTGTAGTGAGCCAAGATGGTGCCATTGCACTCAGCCTGGGTGACAGAGTGAGACGTGGTCTCAAAAATAAATAAATAAATAAAATTTAAAAATTTGAAACTAAGCCTCAAGAATAGGCATACAAGTTCTAAAAAAATTAATTCATTAGTAATTGTCCTCTTCACAAAGTTTTACAAAAGGGATAATTAACCATTTATGTCTTGAGAGTAAAATCTATGTTGGCCAGTCGGGTGGCTCAGCCCACATCTATAATCCCAGCATTTTGGGCTGAGGTGGAAGGATCACTTGAAGCCAGGAGGAGTTTGAGACCAGCCTGGGCAGCATAGTGAGATGCCAAAAAACTTCAAAAAACTTCAAAAAAAAATAGCCAGGTGTGATGGCATTCACCTGTAGTCCCAGCTAATGGGAAGGCTGAGGCAGGCGGATCACTTGAGTCCAGGAGTTGGAGGCTGCAGTAAGCTATGATCATGCCACTGCACTCTAGCATGGGTGGCAGAGCAAGACTCATCCTCTAAAAAATAAATAAATAAATAATAAGATATATGATAAATAAATACATAAAATATATATTAGATATAAATGTAAATAAAATATACATATTCCAACATGCTAGAAATCATTTACTATCTCAGATAGATATAAATGGTTTCTAACACATTGGAATTTATTTGAAAACCTTCCATTGTACTTGTGCTAAAGATGCGATCATCTTTTGCTTGCATTCGTAACTTCACCCAAGAATAGCTAAAGAAGGTAATGAAACATTGTCAAGTATACATTGAAGAGTTCTAGCTATCACAAGAAAGCCTCAACTATTTATTCAAGTGTCTGCATTTTCATTTTTGAGTAGGTGAGAATTATTTTTCAGCCTGCTCAGATCATGAGAAGCGGCCTTTAGTGAAGCGTTTTGGAACAGACTAATGCTGGTGAGATGTGTGGCATTAAGCACAGACGACCAACCAGGGAATTTTTGCTAAGGTGGGATCAATTCCTGCAAGCAGCCAGTGCCACCTTTTCGCAAACTCCCTTCCTGATCATAACAGGGGACAGTAGACACAAATATGAAATTTTTGACAATAAAAATTAACTTTGGCTGGCACAGTGGCTCATGCCTATAATCCCAACACTTTGAGAGGCTGAGGCACAAGAACTGCTTGAGCCCAGGAGTTCTATACCAGTCTGGGCAACATAGTGAGACCTTGTGTCTACTTAAAAAATTTAAAAATTAGCCAGGCATGTTGGAGTGTACCTGTAAGCCCAGCTACTCAGGAAGCTGAGGCAGGAGGATCACTTGAGCCCAGGAGTTGCATGCTGCAGTGAGCTCTGATCGCACCACTTCACTCCAGCCTGGGTGACAAAGTGAGACCCTGTCTCAAAAAAAATAAAATTAACTTCAACATAAGAGTCACTTTGGGCCGGACGCAATGGCTCACGGCTGTAATCCAGCACTTTGGGAGGCCGAGGCAGGTGGATCATGAGGTCAGGAGTTTAAGACCAGCCTGCCGAAGTTGGTGAAACCCCATCTCTACTAAAAATACAAAGATTAGCCAGGCATGTTGGCAAGCATCTGTAATCCCAGCTACTCGGGAGGCTGAGGCAGAGAACTGCTTAGACCTGGGAGGCAGAGGTTATGGTGAGCCGAGATAGCACCATTGCACTCCAGCCTGGGTGACAGAGCCAGACTCTGTCAAAAAAAAAAAAAAAAAAAAAAAAGATTTTGTTCCTTTAAACATTGAAAAGGGCAGGGGAAAGCAGCCCAAAATAATTTCGAACTTCCTTTTTTTTTTTTTTGAGACGGAGTCTCCCTCTGTCACCCAGGCTGGAGTGCAGTGGCGTGATCTCGGCTCACTGTAAGCTCCAACTCCCAGGTTCACCCCATTCTCCTGCCTCAGCCTCCCAGGTAGCTGGGACTACAGGTGCCCGCCACCACACCTGGCTAATTTTTTGTATTTTTAGTAGAGATGGGGTTTCACCTTGTTAGCCAGGATGGTCTCAATCTCCTGACCTTGAGATCTCCTGGCCTCGGCCTCCCAAAGTGCTGGGATTACAGGCGTGAGCCACCGGGCCCGCCCAATTTAGAACTTCTAACTGGAAATGCATAGACAGTCGTTGGCTCACACGTCACCATGTACTCTGTGTGACATTCTACACCTGGGATCTTTCCCCCACTAAAGTATCATCCTGCTCACAGATGGCCGCCATGCTGGCTCTAACCAGCAGCAGTCACACTGCGTCTACATCTAAGCACGCTGAGTGAGCCAGGGTGCCAATATCCCATGTTATAAAGGAAGGGAAATGATGACACAGCCAGATAAGCATGAATGCCCATCCATTATTCATAGCCCCCTGGGAGAAAATCAAACTCCCCTGTTACCATCGCCTTCCCTGCATCCCAGTCATTCGAATTCAGAAACGCAAGCATAATAAACACAGTGCTTAGGGGAAAAGGCTGCGTGTGTTGGGTGTACTACTTGCTGTTGGAGTTTTAGTTGCTATTACTGGAAAGGAAGAGAAGGTGCGTGGGTTTGGAGATAGGCTCCAGCTTAAAGGTGCTATCTCGTGCATATTTCTTCATGTCTTCATGCATATTTTTCATCTCCTTATCTGTGCAATGGGGATAATGTTCCCTATATTACATATTATGTAAAGATTAAACATTTCTAACTGTATACAAGCATATCTCGATATCTGACACAAAAGTAGTCAATAAATACATGCTTATAATCCACCAAAGTTATAATTTATAAAAAATTTGGTGTGAAAACTCATTCTAGGCTGGGCATGGTAGCTCACGCCTGTAATCCCAGCACTTTGGGAGGCCAAGGAGGGTGGATCACTTGAGGTCAGGAGTTCGAGACCAGCCTGGCCAACATGGCGAAACTCTGTCTCTACTAAAAACTATAAAAATTAGCTGGGCATGGTGTAATCATGTCTGTAATCCCAGTTCCTGGGGAGGCTGAGGCAGGAGAATCACTTGAACTGGGGAGGCAGAGCTTGCAGTGAGCCAAGATCACATCACTGCACTCAAGTGAAACCCTGTCTCAACAAAAAGAAAACCAAAAAATCCTCATTCTAGGTTATAACTAAGATGCCAAAAGTTCTAGCTGAAGACTGAAAATTCCAAATTTCACTTTTGAAATGTGAAAAAGCCAAATGGGTGATCTGGCTTCTTCTAGGTGGAAAACAGCAGCCAAATGCCCCCTTCTTAGTTGGTGGAATTCAAAGTGGTCTCAGTCACCCTGGCTTCCCCAACTGGCTTACTTTTCCCAGACGCCGAAAGCCTACTTCATACTGGACTCATTCTACCAATGCTCCAAGCAGTGAGTGCTCAAAATGTGCTCCTCTGATGGAAGTTCAGATAAAGATTTTGGTTCCTGTGAGCTCACAGATCTGCAAGGGTGTGGACTTAGAAGCTTTATAAAATGAATTCCTTAAGCCCTCTTTTTTTTTTTTTTAGTATTGTATTGCATTCAAAACGAGTCCCACGGGAAAGCCTACCTCCTCTTCTCCCCAAATTTTTAGCTATTGGGGTTCTTTTAGCTTTTCCTTTGATTGCTACACACACATACACACATACACACTCGCCCCTATGCAAATGCACAAAAACTAAAAAAAAAAAAAAAAAAAATTAGAGCATTTAAAAACCTCTCTGACAATGCAGCATGAAATCCAAAGTAAAAACCAAAGGAGACAGCCATGCAAATCTGACTGATACAGTTTGGCTCTGTGTCACCACCCAAATCTCATCTTGAATTGTACTCCCATAATTCCCACATGTTTTGAAAGGGACCCAGTGGGAAATAATTTGAATCATGGGGGTGGTTTCCCCCATACTGTTCCCATGGTGGTGAATATGTCTCACAAGATCTGATGGTTTTATCAGGAGTTTCCACTTTAGCATCTTCCTCATTTTCTCTTGCCGCCGCCATGTAAGAAGTGCCTTTTACCTCCCACGGTGATTCTGAGGCCTCCTCAGCCATGTGGAACTGTAAGTCCAATTAAACCTCTTTTTCTTGCCAGTCCCAGGTATGTCTGTATCAGCAGCATAAAAATGGACTAATACAGTAAATTAGTACCAGTAGAGTAAAGCAACTTTGGAACTGGGTAACAGGCAGAGGTTGGAATCATTTAGAGGGCTCAGAAGAAGACAGGAAAATGTGGGAAAGTTTAGAACTTCCTAGAGACTTGTGGAATGTCTTTGACTGAAATCCTGTTAGCGATATGGACAATAAGGTCCAGGCTGAGGTGGTCTCAGATGGAGATGAGGAACTTGTTGGGAACTGGAGCAAAGGTGACTCTTGTTATGTTTTAGCAAAGAGATTGGTAGCATTTTGCCCCTGCCCTAGAGATTTGTGGAATTTTGAACTTGAAAGAGATGATTTAGGGTATCTGGTGGAAGAAATTTCTAAGCAGCAAAGCATTCAAGAGGTGACTTGGGTACTGTTAAAGGCACTCAGTGTTATAAGGGAAGCAGAGCATAAAAGTTCAGAGAATTTGCAGCCTGACAATGGGATAGAAAAGAAAAATCCATTTTCTGAGGAGAAATTCAAGCTGCCTGCAGAAATTTGCATAAGTAACGAGGAGCCCAATGTTAATCCCCAAGACAATGGAGAAAATGTCTCCAGGGCATGTCAGAGGTCTTCAGGCAGCCCTTCCCATCGCAGGCCTGGATGCCTAGGAGAAAATGGTTTTTTAGGCCTGGCCCAGGGTCCCCGTGCTGTGTGCAGCCTAGGGATTTGGTGTACTGCATCTCTACCACTCCAGCCATGGCTGAAAGGGGACAATGTAGAGCTTGAGCCATGGCTTCAGAGGGTGCAAGCCCCCAGCTTTGGCAGCTTCCACGTGGTGGGACGCTCATGGAGAACCTCTGCTAGGGCAGTGCAGAAGGGAAATGTGGGGTCGGAGCCTCCACACAGAGTTCCTACTGGGGCACTGCCTAGTGGAGCTTTGAGAAGAGGGCCACCATCCTCCAGACCCCAGAATGGTAGATCCAACAATAGCTTGCACTACGTGCCTGGAAAAGCCACAGACACTCAACGCCAGCCTGTGAAAGCAGCTGGGAGGGTGGCTGTACCCTGCAAAGCCATAGGGGTGGAGCTGCCCAAGACCATGGGAACCCACCTCTTGCATTTGCATGACCTGGATGTGAGACCTGGAGTCAAAGGAGATAATTTTGGAGCATTAAGATTTACTGCCCCTCTGGATTTCAGACTTGCATAGGCCCTGTAACCCCTTTGTTTTGGCCAATTTCTCCCATTTGGAATGGCTATATTTATCCAATACCTGTATCCCCATTGTATCTAGGAAGTAACTAGCTTGCTTTTGATTTTAGAGGCTCATAGGTGGAAGGGACTTACTTGCCTTGTCTCATATAAGACTTTGGACTGTGGACCTTTGGGTTAATGCTGAAATGAGTTAAGACTTTGGGGGACTGTTGGAAGGCAGGATTGATTTTGAAATGTGAGGACATGAGATTTGGAGGGGCCATGAGTGAAATGATATGGTTTGGCTCTGTGTCCCCACCCAAATCTCATCTTGAATTGTATTCCCATAATTCCCACATGTTGTGGGAGGCACCCAGTGGGAGATAATTTGAATCATGGGGGCAGTTGCCCCCATACCGTTCTCATGATAGTGAATAAGCCTCACAAGATCTGATGGTTTTATCAGGGGTTTCCGCTTTAGCATCGTCCTCATTTTATCTTGCTGCTGCCATGTAAGAAGTGCCTTTCACCTCCTGCCATGATTCTGAGGCCTCCCCAGTCATATGGAAATGTAAGTCCAATTAAACCTCTTTTTCTTCCCAGTCTTGGGTATGTTTTTATCAGCAGTATGAAAACGGACTAATACACTGACAGAGTCAGGCACACCCCGTCCCACCCTACAAAGGAAAATGAGACATCCAGATCATCACAGTGAGCATCCCATAACCCCATGCCCCAGAAAAGAGAATTAGACTGGTCCCACATTACTTTATCTGTAGTCACATGTTTAGTCCCATTTCCTGATTGCCTTTTCCCACAATATCCTCATTTACCTAGCTAGTTCCTTCTGTCCTCTGACACCTAAGTCATCAGCATCATCCTCTGTCTTCTTTTCTTGCACAAACTGACCATGTCTTGGGAGCTCATGCACATTCATCCTCCCCACACACACAGTGATTCTCTAATCTTATCTGTGCTCAATCCCAGCACCTCACAGGGCCAAGGCTATGACTTTTCTGAATATGCTATTTGGTTATGAGACATTTCAGAATATCTATTACTAAACCAGGCAATCTTGAATGCAATCTATCTTAGTCCATCTGCATTGCTATGAAGGAATATCTGAGGCTGGGTAGTTTATAAAGGAAAGGGGTTTATTTGGATCATGGTTCTTCAGGCTGTACAAGAAATATGGCACCAGCGTCTGCTGCTGGAGAGGGCCTCAGGACGTTTCAAGTTATAATGGAAGGTGAAGAGGGAGCTGGCATGTTACATGCCAAGAGAGGGAGGAAGAGAAGAAATGGAGCTGCCAGACTATGTTTAACAGCCAGATCTCTTGAAAACTAAGAGTGAGAACTCACTCAATCTCTTGAGGATGGCACCAAGCCATTCATGAGAGGCCCATGCCCACGACCCAAATACCTCCCACTAGGCCCCACCTCCAACACTGGGGACCACATTTCAACAGGATATTTGGAGAGAACAAACATCCAAAATATATCACAACCTCAATGCAGAGTTACATTTTAATGATGTAGGAAGTTGAAAGGTCTCCTTCGGTTCACAATCAAACGGCCAGTCTTGTGATTCCCTTGCCCTGAGTGAATAAAATGCCAAGAATTTTCCTTTTAAGGCCATTCTACTTTTTTAAAAGTTTTTTTTAAAACTCTCTCCTATATTCCTGGAGGGCTGACTCACAACTTCCCTATGTCTCCTCACTCCCACCTCCCATCACACTGGACAATTTCTTTTCTTCTTCTTCCTCTATTTTTTTTTTTTTTTTTTTTGAGACAGGGTTTCACTCTCGTCACCCAGGCTGGAGTGCAGTAGCGCAATCTCGGCTCACTGTAACCCCCACCTCCCGGGTTTGAGTGATTCTCCTGCCTCAGCCTCCCAAGTAGCTGGGATTACAGGTGCCTGCCACCACGCCCTACTAATTTTTGTATTTTTAGTAGAGACAGGGTTTCACCATGTTGGTCACGCTGGTCTGGAACTCCTGACCTCAGGTGATCCGCCTGCCTCGGCCTCCCAAAGCTCTGGGATTATAGACATGAGCCACTGCACCTGGCCCATACTTGACAATTTCTTTTTTTTTTTGAGACAAAGCCTCGCTCTGTCACCTAGGCTGGAGTGCAGTGGCATGATCTTGGCTCACTGCAAACTCTGCCTCCCAGGTTCACGCCATTCTCCTGCCTCAGCCTCCCAAGTAGCTGGGACTACAGGCGCCTGCCACCACGGCCAGCTAATTTTTTGTATTTTTAGTAGAGACGAGTTTTCACCGTGTTAGCCAGGATGGTCTCGATCTCCTGACCTTGTGATCCGCCCACCTCAGCCTCCCAAAGTGCTGGGATTACAGGCGTGAGCCACCGCGCCTGGCCAATATTGGACAATTTCAAAGCCCCTGTTGAGATTCTTTCCAACACCCTGGCTTCAATCACCTGAAATCTCTAATTTAACACCTTTCTATTATAAGATTTTTCAACCATGTGATAATCAAACTTCATCTGGAGCTCATATCCAGGCTGAGCTCACACTGCCTTCACCTCTCAATCTCCCTGTCTCTCTTTTCAACTTTCTTTTTTTTCAGAGACAGTCTCACTTTATCGCCCAGGCTGGAGTGCAGTGGCGTGATCTTGGCTCACTGAAACTTCTGCCTCCTGGGTTCAAGCAATTCTCCTGTCTCAGCCTCCTGAGTAGCTAGGATTACAGACGTGTCCCACCATGCCCAGCTAATTTTTGTATTTTTAGTAGAGATGGGGTTCCACCATGTTGGCCACACTGGTCTCAAACTCCTGACTGCAGGTGACCTGCCTGCCTCAGCATCCAAAACTGCTGGGATAATAGGCATGAGCCACCGCACCCAGCCCAAGGAATTTGCTTTTGCTGAGCATCCCCTGCCCGCTGCATAGATCCTCCATCCCTGTCATCCATTCCCACCATCCCAGGAGCATCTGAAATATAGGCCCAATAGACCTCCCTAGTGGGTTCAAGGGAATTCTTACCGAAAAGTTGTCAAAAAATTCATTTTCTTAACAGAAACAGTGTAAGTAAGCCAATGGCTTGTGGGAGCTAGATTTTCTGAGCAATCAGAATCCTAAATTAGGCCGGGTGTGGGGGCTCACGCCTGTAATCCCAGCACTTTGGGAGGCCGAGGTGGGTGGATCACTTGAGGTCAGGGGTTCAAGACCAGCCTGGTCAACATGGTGAAACCCAATCTCTACTAAAAATACAAATATTAGCCGGGCATAGTAGTGCACACCTGTAATTCCAGCTACTTAGGAGGCTGAGGCATGAGAATTGCTTGAACCTGGGAGGCGGGGGTTGTGGTCAGCCGATATCACACCACTGCACTCCAGCCTGGGTGACCAAGTGAGACTCTGTCTCAACAACAACAACAACAAAACCCTTACCTATAGGCCGTCAGACAGTCTGAGTCTTAAACATGAGTGCTCAGTTCTCCTTGCTTGGCGTCCTGCAATAAACCCCTCACTTTCTCTTGCTGCAATCCTAAAGTCAGTGTTTGACTTTGCTGTGTTGGGCAGGCACACTCAATTTCAGTTCAGTAACACACTCATCTACACGATACTAAGCCTTGGTCTCCAAATGCCTCATTTTCTCCCTGCAACTAGCAACCATCCATTTTCCCCTTGAAAGACAATGCCAAAAGAGAGACAATTAGGTTAAGAGCAAGAAGACACATTTATAAGTCTTTCCTTTTGTACTTCTTGTTCTTTCTAACTTAAGATGTTGTTACCCATGATTTGTGCATTGACACCCTCTGGATATAGGAAAGCTCTGAATATAGGAATGAAATAGACACTTTGATGGATGTCTTCTTATTTTTCTGTCATTCACTTAATAACGTATCTTATTCCAAGCCATAATAGCAAGCAGTTTTTAGATTGTATCTTGCAGGGGAGAAAATACGTTATAAATGGTCTTGCTTTGCATGATCTTTTCTTTGGTGACATTTAGGAGAAAAGATACTGACTGGTAAACCTAGAAGCTGAGGAGGAGAAGGGTGTCCTTGGATAGAATGTGGGGACAGGGAGACTAATTTGATAGTGGTTTATTTGTTTGAAATGGAAATGTGATCATTTCCTATGAAATACGTTGACCCTGCAAATTCCATCCAGCTGCAACATTTTGTACTGACTTCAAAGATCTTTGATGTTTTCTTTATTGATATTTGTCCACTGTGAAGTGTCCTAAATTCCTGAGAACTTCCAAGAATCAAAGAGAAATGTCAGAGGTGTTACCTTCTGGTTTTGTCTTTTTCCTTTAATTCACCGAATCAGTGTGCCTCCACTTATTGTACCAGATGCAGTGTACAAGGTTTATTAAGATAAACTGGGGCCAAGTCTCTGTATTCAAATAACATACCCATCACAAAAAGATGGGTAGTTAGAGTTAACAATCAATGCAGAGATAGGATCACACAGCCACACAAACACAAAAGCAGAGGCATTAACTCTGAGCTGTGTTCTGCAGAGTGAGTTGGAATCTCTGGGCAAACAATGTAGTTAAAGAAACGTTCAAGCAAAAGGAAGACTGTGCAACAGCACATGTTATATCAGAGGCTGCCATACCTGGAGGAAACAGATATACCTCAGAGAACAAGAGGCAATGGAATTACAAGAAAAGAAACAACAGGGTATTTGTTTGTTTGTTTGTTTGAGACAGAATATCTCTGTGTTGCCCAGGCTGGCGTGCAGTGGCATGATCTCTGCTCAATGTATCCGCCTCCTGGGTTCAAGCAATTCTCCAACCTCAGCCTCCCAAGTAGCTGAGACTACAGGCATGCACCACCACACCTGGCTAATTTTTGTATTTTTAGTAGAGACAGGGTTTCACCATTTTGGCCAGGCTGGTCTTGAACTCATGATCTCAAGTGATCTGCCCACCTTGACCTCCCAAAGTGCAGTGTTACAAAAAAAAAAAAAAGACAAAGACTTTAATTCTGAAAACAGTACATTTAGTAAGCACTTAGTGAGCACATACTATGTCCTGCACTGTATACAAACATCTTTTGTTGATACAACTTACCTGAATGATCAAAGGCAGATTTTAGAGATAGGTGTGAACCCCAGACAACAAACCATTGTTGAGAAGTGAGTGCTGAGCTCATCTCAGCACTTATGCATTGCAAGACACTGTGGTGGGTCATAGGTCAAGGCTGTATAGCACAGTTTCAGGTACATAGGTCCAAATTCCAGTGTCTCTAGTTACGAGTCCTGTGACTTTGCACAAGTTATTCAACCTCTCTGTACCTCAAATTCCCCGTCTATGATTCGGAGATAGTAATGGCACCAGCCTCACTGGGTTATTAAAAAAAGATTGAATAAGCTAATCCATTATCTGTACATATTAGTTTGTTCACTAAATTAAAAAAATGTTATTGGAAAGCTTATCTAGTAGTGGTCCCTGCCATCAAGTCCTTAGAATAGAGTTGTAACCTGATTCTAAATGACAGTAGCTATTCACAGATCCTAGCAAGAAAAACTGTGCTGTACCTCCAAATAAATAAACTGGCTCTAACTCTGAAATCACAGCTGCTATTGAAAACTGCTAATTCAGGGAAGCTGGTAAAAATTGGTCCTCTCTAGACCAATCTTCATTCACAATAAAAAGTAGCAATTCTGAGACTTTGCTTTGAGTAGGAAGGAGAGGAGAAGCAGAAGTTAAATTTTGCCTTTGGTCGTGGAATGTTTCCTGTGTAGGGATGAAAACAATTTTAAATGGCTCCCTAACCCTCTCCTCATTCTGCTCTTCCTCCTAAGTTATCAAGAATTTATGACAAACTCGGCCAGGTGTGGTGGCTCATGCCTGTAATCCCAGCACTTTGGGAGGCTGAGCCGGGCGGATCACTTGAGATCAGGAGTTTGAGACCAGCCTGGTCAACATGGTGAAACCCCATCTCTACTAAAAATACAAAAATTAGTCGGGCGTGGTGGCACACACCTGTAATCCCAGCTACTCAGGAGGCTGAGGCAGGAGAATTGCTTGAACCAAGGAGTCGGAGGTTGTAGTGAACTGAGATAACCACTGCACTCCAGCCTAGGCAACACAGCAAGACCCTATCTCAAAAAAAAAAAAAAAAATTAAGCCATCAGGATTTGGAGTCGCTATTTGTTTGTTGGAAGGTTAAATAATTTTTAGAAATTAAAAACTTCCTTCTCTGATTTCTTGGGCCAGGTACAAGCAAAGATAATTAAAAAATAAACAATTCCCAATACATGGTCTTACAAAACCCCTGAATCTTTGCTGGTATTACATTTTCCGTTTGTCAGTACAAAGGCTATGTTGGAGGTGTTGAACGGTTCCGCTCAAACATTCAGCAGAGGGGACAGGATATTAATTTTCTCAGACAGACATGGTTGATGAACACCTTGAGACAAGCTTCCAGGACATGTTAAAATCTCCTGCTGTCACTTTAAACACATCATCTGGCCTCAACCATCTCTGTTTCCAGGGGCCTCGGGGAGACTGTGACAGGCTGTGTCTGGACCCAGGTTAGGTTGCCTAACATATGGGGAAAGGGCATGGGTGGGGTAGGGGGGCTTTGGGGGATCACCTTCATCCCATTGGTCTTGGATGGATGGGCATAGCTTTCCTTTTTCTCATGTTCCATCAGAATTAGGAACAGGTGGGAACAATGAGGCCGGGCACAATGTCTCATGCCTGTAATCCCAGCACTTTGGGAGGTCAAGACAGGTGGATCACTTGAGATCAGGAGTTCAAGACCAGCCTGGCCAACATGGTGAAACTGTCTCTAGTAAAAATACAAAATTTGCTGGGTGTGGTTGCACATGCCTGTCGTCCCAGCTACTCAGGAGGCTGAGGTGAGAGAATCACTTGAACCCAGGAGGCAGAGATTGCAGTGAGCTGAAATCACACCACTGCACTCCAGCCTGGGCGACAGAGTGAGACTCTGTATTAAGAAAATTAAAAAGAGAGAGAGAGAATTGGGAACAGGTAGGAACAGTGATGTCAAGGATAAAAGACTCATTCCAATCACTGTATCCCTCTCAGGTTAGGTACAGTTTAGGACTATTATTTAAAAAAAAAAAAAAAAGCAAGCTTTTAGCCTAGCTACCAAAGACTCAAATAGGTAGGATCTGGATATATAACCTCACCATTATCTGTTTTAGCTTGCTTGTATTAAGTGGAAATTATACGCACTCTTTAACCCAAATTAAAAGGTTACTTGCAGTTATAGCAAGTAGAATAGCTTTGAACTTCAGCCTTCATGCAAATGAGAGATTCTTACCTCTCTCTTGCCGGGAGTTATATTTAAATACTTCTGCCTCCTATGAGCCCACAGTTATACCCTCTCTGCAGCCCCTACAGTAACAATCTCTGTAAAGCTTCCCTTTCAAAGGGTGATCCCTTACAAAACACAGAGGCACACAGACCTGAACTAAAGGATACGTTCAATATGATTTTGACTTAGTGGCTCTGATTTTTATCTTTTGTACTGTGTAAAGAAAAAAAGGAGTAATGTTTTATCAGCAACTACGTGGGTAAGCATATCGTACACTTCAATTAGACTCCCTTTATCTAGCACTTCCCCCCGCCTTAAGTGAAACGCTGCCTCGTGTTTCTTCGATCCCCAGGCAGGCTGCTCAGCCCATGTTGAGGGTTCCAGTATGCTTTATTAAACAGAAAATTAATATAATGCTATTGTGTCAGCTGGCAGCTTCTTGAGAGTTAAAGACCCTGCAGATTTTTATTACCAGAACCAAATTCTGGCTTCTGGGAGTTGGCAACATGGAGATTTTGTACAATGTGTGTTCCCCAGGGGTAAACTGTCTTAAGTCCAAGGTGAAGCTTTGGCTGCAACCACCTGATGCCAAAACAACAAGTGATTCTATGAATGGAGCCAAATACCTGGCTATTTCCTGGGCAAGAATAAAACTAGAATTATATTGTGTATAAACCCATGGGATTGGGAGATTTAAATAGTTTCCGTTTATTTACTCAATAAACATTTAATGCGTGCCCACTATGCCAGACACTGTAGGTCCCAGGCAGAAGGAAATGAGATGCAGTGTGGTCTTCAAGAAGCTCACTGTTCTGGTTGGTGAGGAAGACAAGTAACAAAAGAATTATAGTACTCTATGTGGCAGGCTGGGTGCAGTGGCTCACACCTGTAATCCCAGCACTTTGGGAGGCCCAGGCGGGATGAATCCTTTGAGCTCAGGAATTCAAGACCAGCCTGGCCAACATGGCAAGACCCCATCTCTACTAAAAATGCAAAATTAGCTGGGCATGATGGCACGTGCCTGTAGTCCCACCTACTTGGAGGCTGAGACACGAGAATTGCTTGAACCCAGGAGTCCACCTCCACGGTTGCAGTGAGCTGAGATCATGCCACTGCACTCCAGCCTGATCAGCAGAACAAGACCCTGTCTCAAAACAGAAACAAAAACAAAAACAGAAAACAAAAACACAAAACTGTATGTGGCAGATGCTGTTATCATTTTTCCAATATTAAATCCCATCATCCATTATTTTTGTTTTTTTTTCTAACAGATGCCAATTGTGTTTGGGCTGGTGATGTGTCCAGCTCTGTCCTTACTTCATCAGCTTCCCTTGCAGCTAGGTGTAGGCTAATGATAGAATTTTGGATAATAAAACATATGCAGAAGTATACTGGGGGATTCTGAGATAGCTTTTGAACTCTTAAAAATGGACAGGCATGGCCAAGGCTGCTCTACCTTCTACTTTTTGCATTGAACACAGATGTGATGCCTGGTGCAGAAGCAGCCATTCTGCAACCATGAGGTGACAAACACAGGAATGAGAGCTAACATGCAAGTAATGACAAGGCACAAGGACAAAAAGGGCCCAGCTCCCTGATGACAGCATGAGAAGCTGAATCAATGCCAGTTACTATCAAAGCCTGGGTGTTTTTGTTAAATGAAGGGAAAAAACTTTTTATTTAAGTTATTCCTCCTCCGGTTTTCTATTACTTGTATAGCCATACATATTTGTAACAGGTACTGACATAAGAGCTAACAAAGGATGTATCTAGGTTGCATAGGAAGGTGTGGGTAACCATTCTTGGGTTGGGAAAAGTTAAGGAAGGTCATTGAGAGGATATGCTTCTTCCATGAAATGACATTTATTTTAAATTTTTATTTATTTATTTATTTTTGGGATGGAGTTTCACTCTTATTGCCCAGGCTGGAGTACAATGGTGTGGTCTTGGCTTACCACAACCTCTGCCTCCCAGGTTCAAGTGATTCTCCTGCCTCAGCCTCCTCAGTTGCTGGGATTATAGGCACCTGCCATCACGCCTGGCTAATTTTTATATTTTTAGTAGAGATGGGGTTTCACCTTGTTGGCTAGGCTGGTCTCGAACTCCTGACCTCAGGTGATTTACCCACCTTGGCTTCCCAAAGTGCTGGGATTCAGGTGTGAGCCACCATGCCCGGGCTGGAATGACATTTGGATCAAGTATCAGTGGAAACACAGGAGTCCTCTAGAGGGTCAAAGATGAGAAAAGCATGTTATATTCAGGGACCAGCGCATGCAAAGGCCTGATGGCATAAAAATGCAAAGCACACCAGGAGATCACAGTGGTTCAATAAGAAGGAAGTGTGAGTTGGGGAAGGAGAAGGTGTGGATATGATGAGATGTGAGAATGGGAGAGTAGCAGATGCTGGATTATAAGCAGTTTCAAAAGTTATATTAGGAAACCAATGAAGACTTAAAGTAGGTGAGTGATGTGACAAGTTAGAAAGCTAACTAGTTGTCATTGAAACACGTGCAAGAAAAAGAAGAGGCATTAGGAAAGTAGGTCTAGGATGATTCGTTGAAATATAATTTTATAATTATCCACAACAATGTAAGCCCTGGGGCTAATAAGCAGTTTTTATAGTATTTGGGAGAGAAATAACATTTACATTTCAAGCCCTGTGCATATGCTATTTTATTTAATCTGTATACACTGCACCAGGTTACATATTATATCGCCATTTTAGAATGAAGAGACAGTGTTGGGAGCTTAATCAATTGCCCAAATTTTCTAATTGCAGACACAAGGTCTGATTTCCAAGACCATGTCCATCTGGAGCACCACACTGCTATATATCCCCCAACCCTATAAAAAAAAAAGGTACTGTCTTCCTCCAACTGGATGAGAGTTACTGGGGGTCTTTGCAACGTTAGATGCTAACACCAATGACTCAGAGATCACAAACATACTGACCAGGAATATTCTCTCCTAACCCTAGGAACACCTAGGGGAAGAACCCAGGTAAATGGATCGTGTCAATAGGGTACAGGCAGTCATAGGCTTTGCCAAAAATAGAACTGCTGGAAATTTTCCCTCAATAGAAACCAGAACTTTTGTCTTTTACCTTCTCAAGATAAATCACTGATATAGTTTGAATGTTTGTCCTCTCCAAATCCCAGTGTTAGAGGCGGGACCTGGTGGGAGGTGTTTGGGTCATGGGGGTGGATACCTCATGAAACCTTTGATGCCCTCCCCATGCTAATGAGTGAGTTCTCACCTTGTGAGTTCACTGGAGAGCTAGTTGTTTAAAAAGAGCCTGGTGTCTCCCTTGTTCCCTCTCTTACCATGAGACACATCTGCACATCTGCTCCCCTTCAGCTTCCACCACGAGTAAAAGCTTCCTGAGGTCCTGACCAGAAGCAGATGCTGGGGCAGTGCTTCTGTACAGGGTGCAGAACTATGAGCCAAACAAACCTCTTTCCTTTATAAATCACCCAGCCTCAGGTATTCTTTTATGGCAACACAAAACGGACTAAGACAATCACCTTGCAACATTTTTGTAAATAACACTATTCACTATAAACATTCTTAGTAATTTTCCTCAATAGCCAGGCACTGTTCTAAGTGCCTGACATGCATTAGCTCATTTAATCAATGACAACATCACATGGGAAAACTTCCAGAGTAGGATTTTTATGTTTCACGTTAAACCGTGTAGAGGCTGCCAATGTAGAGTGGTATCCACAGGGGGAAGGGAGGGAGCCCGCTGCCACCTGCTTCCTGCTATTTAAAACCACTACAACCAGGGCTGAAAATGCATATTCCTTAAGGGCAGAGCCTCTGGAGAGAGGAACAGCAGCTGAGACTGGCAGGAAGAGAAGCAGGTAGAAAGGGAAAACAATGAACATTTATCAGGACATATTATATGCTTGAGATGGAGCTGGGTTCATTGAAAGCCTATATGAAATGGATTGAACACTAACAACCCCTGAGCTAATGCTATCAAGAGGGTTGTTTAATGGCACTACCCAGGAAGAATCATGGCAGTTTTGTTTCTGCGCAGCGAGGAAATCCATTTTCACTTAGGACATCAACCAGGAAGTTCCACAGTCAGCCGAATGGAATAAAGCATGACTCCCACAGCCCATCTGGGCAGAACGGAGGTGGTAATTCTAATGGCTGGCATTTATGGAATGTGTGCTACCCACCTGGCTTGGACCTGAGCACAGTGCATTCACTATTTTATTTGATTCTCATGAAGGGGGTGAAAATGCTATCTTCATTTTACAGATGAAAAGAAGGACACACAGGAATTGAATTAACTTGACCAGTTTATCCAGCAGCTGAGTTGAAATGCTGCAAAATACAATATATAGAGTGACCACATTAGAAGGAAAGCAGGGCTGGTAAAGAAAAGAGCCCATTCCCTGCCGGCCGCGGTGGCTCATGCCTGTAATCCCAGCACTTTGGGAGGCCGAGGTGGGAGGATCACGAGGTCAGGAGATCGAAACCATCCTGGCTAACACGGTGAAACCCCCTCTCTACTAAAAATGCAAAACAAATTAGCCAGGTGTGGTGGCGGGCACCTGTAGTCCCAGCTACTTGGGAGGCTGAGGCAGGAGAATCACTTGAACCCAGAGAGGCGGAGCTTGCAGTGAGTTGAGATCGTGCCACTGTGCTCCAGCCTGGGCTACAAAGCGAGACTCTGTCTCAAAAAAAAAAAAAAAAAAAAACCAGAGCCCATTCCCACAGTGGTTAATAAGGGTCATATTCAAAACACTGAACAATCAGTATGGAACCAGCACTGGCCCGCCATGGGGCCAGTGGGCACCCACTGTGATTGGTCTGTGTTTATCAGCTGAACATCTGCCCCAGTATGAGCAGGCAGCCAGCATCTTGTCAAGTATTTTGGAGTGAAGCTAAGACTCCTTGACAATAGCACAATAAAGATCTAGTTTCTTGAAATGAATTTTGAACAAGAACTAAATAAAGACTGAGCATCTCTACTTGGTTTTATTTTATTTAGGGATACTCATTAACTCCTCCATTCAATCAGTAAGCATGTATTGAGTACCGCCTGCATGCCAGGCAGTGCTGTAAGTGCCTAGAATACAATCGTGAGCAAAAAGAGACAAAAACCCTTGCCCTTATGGAGTTTGCATTCTAGTGAAGAGAGAAAAACATTAACAAGAAGAGTAATAAACATCGAATCTGGCCAGCCACTGTGGTTCACATCTATAATCCCAGCACTTTGAGAGGCTGAAGCAGGAGGGTTGCTTGAGGCTAGGAGTTCAAAACCAGCCTGAGCCAGGCATGGCAACTCACACCTGTGATCTCAGCACTTTGGGAGGCCGAGGTGGGTGGATCACCTGAAGTCAGGAGTTCGAGACCAGCCCGGCCAACATGGTGAAACCCCATCTTTATTAAAAATACAAAAAATTAGCTGGGCATGGTGGCACGTGCCTGTAATCCCAGCTACTTGAGAGGCTGAGGCAGGAGAATCGCTTGAACCCGGGAGGCGGAGGTTGCAGTGAGCCGAGATTGTACCATTGCACTCCAGCCTGGGCAACAAAACCAAAACTCCGTCTAAAAATAAAATAAAATAAAATAAAACAAAAAAGACCAGCTTGTGCAACATAGTGAGACCCCATCTCTATAAAAACTATTTTCAAATTAGCTGGGCATGTTGGTACATGTCTGTAGTCCTAACTATTTGGGAGGCTGAGGTGGGAGGATCGCTTGAGCTTAAGAGTTCAAGGCTGTAGTGAGCTATAATTGCACCACTGCACTCCAGCTTGGGTGACAGTGCAAGACCCTATCTCTAAAAATAAATGAATAAATATATAAATAAATAAATAAACCATTTTTGAAAGAGATGTATGTTACACAAAATAGAATAGGGACAGGTGGGTTAAGAATGCTGGGAGGAGGGGCAGGGCCCAAGGAAAAAGTGACATTTGAGCAAATTCTTAATAAGTCAAGGGTTGGCCATGTAGCAACCTAGAAGAACATCTGTTCTGGACACTGGAAACCACCAATGACAGTCCTAAGGAAAAATCAGTATCTGCAGAGTTTGACATATGATGGGGAAGAGAGGAGGATACAGTAAAGCCAATAAGACAGGGGGAAAAAAAAGGAACAGAAAAGGAACAGAGTATGGAATCCTAGAATCCACATGATGGGGTTCAACTCAAAGTTCCCCCACATTCTGAACAAGCTTTTTTAAATGTGTATTTATTTTTTAATTTATTTTTATTTGTAGAGACAGGGTCTTGCTCTGTCACCCAGAAGTGCACCAGCAGGATCGTAGCTCACAGCAGTCTCAAACTCCTGGGTTCAACTGATCCTCCTACCTTGGCCTCTTGAGTAGCTGGGACTGAAGGTGCACACCACCATGCCCGGCTAATCTTTGTATTTTTGGTAGAGACTGAGTTTGGTTGTGTTGCCCAGGCTGGTCTCGAACTCCGGGGCTCCAGTGAGCTTCCTGCTTCAGCCTCCCAAAGTGCTGTGATTACAAACGTTCTGAGTCTTGTTTCCTTGCCAGTCAAATTGAAACCAATCCAGTAGTCCTATAAACCGGTTTTTTTCTTTCTTTCTTTCTTTTTCTTTTTTCTTTTTTTTTTTTTTTTTTTTTTTTTTGATAAACAGAGAAATTGACCTTCTGGTATTAAATCTTGAATCTTACAGTTGTTTTATTTGAGTTCCTTCCCCAGGAAATGACCCTCAGGCCTCTCAAAAAGTATCAAAGAACTGAAACTCACATCACCACATCCAGAAAAATAGATGCCAGACCTCTCACTCATCATGATTGCTTCCTTATTCCTCCCTAATACTTGTTTTCCTAACAAACCACCTGCTTCTTGTTGACCAGCTCCACTTCCTTACCCCTCCCTAGTTCCAGTTTTCCCACACATGGTTACATTTCTTCCCTGCTATATAAACGCTTAATTCTAGTTGGTCAAGAAGATGAGTTTGAAACTGATCTCCCATATCCTCAGCTGCAGCACCCGATTAAAGCCTTCTCCTTTGGCAATAATTGTCATCTCAGTGATTGGCTTTCTGCATGGCGAGCAGCGGAACCTAGACCAAACCCCCGGCATTTCAATAGCAAAATGAGACTGATAATTATGGCTGCTCACAGGTTCTTATTAAGATTAAATGTATCAATATGTGTAAAGTGCTTTGCTCCATTTCTACCCAAAATACAAAGATTAGCTGACCATGGTGATGTGCAACTGGAGTCCCAGCTACTCAAGAGGCCAAGGCAGGAGGATCACTTGAACCCAGGAGTTTGAGACTACAGCAAGCTATGATCCTGCCACTGCTCTTCTAGTCGACAGAGTGAGACCCTGTCTCTAAAAATAAAATAAATAAATACAAATTTTAAAAGAGCTTGTTCAGAATGTGGGGGAGTTTTGACTTGAACCCCATGATTCTAAGATTCCATACTATTCCTTTTTTCTTATCTCACTGGCTTTGCTGTATCCTCCTCTCTTCCCCATCATATGGCAAATTCTGCAGATACTGATTTTACCTTCTGTTGGCTGTTTCCAATGTCCCAAACAGATGCTCTTCCAGGTAGCTGCATGGCAAACCCTTGATGTATAAGGGTTTGCTCAAATGTCTCCCTGTTTACCCAGCCTGCATGGCCCTTCAAGGATCCAGGAAAGAGGTATGATTTGCCCAGTATCCCAGGTCACTGCTGTCCATAAAACAAGAAGTTTGAATGTGTGTCGGCAGGCAGTGACTCCTCAGAGGATCCGCTACACCAGGGCTCTTGCCCATATCACCTAACCCCATGGTTACCTCTCTGTCCCGTTCCTGAGGGGCAGGGGCTTTTCTTACTTAACCCTAAACCTCCAGACCCTTGATTAGGACCTGGCATGAAGTAAGCTTTTAGGGAGGGGTTGTTGAATAGGGGACCCAGGTAGAATTGTAACTCTAAGCCTTAATGGTGCAAGTCCTTAGCTGTTCCATTGAGAGACATAAGCTCTCTCTAAAGGTGAGAGTTGGGTCAGGCATCTCTGGACCTTAGTCTTAGAGGCAGGAGACACGTAGCCAGGGAGGTGGAAGAACAACCAGAAATAGACACCAACCTGAAGGGCTCTACATTTACCGAGGCTGCAGGGCCCTTCAAGGATCCAGGAAAGAGGTATGATTTGCCCAGTTTCTGGGGTCACTGTTGTCCATAAAACAAGAAAAGCCAGAGCCTGGAAATGCTCTCTCCTTCCTCTGGGTCTGCAGAATGTGACTCCCGCCAGCCTCACATCCCTGCCCAGACAGAGATGCGCCATGAGGAGCTAGAATTCAGCTCATGCCTCATTCATGGGATTTCTCTATTTTGAGTGACAAAAAACAGGCTTTTTTTTTTTTTTTTTTCCTGGAAGCCTAAATCTGCTTTTCATGTATCTCTGTCCTCAAATGGCCTAGGGACAACTGGGCTTGTGTGTTAAATAGAACAGGAGGAGCAAAATAAAATCTATGTTTACTGGGTGGCTCCCTTAACCCTCTCATAAGGGGTGACATGGTTTCTGCACAGCCTCCCAGGTGCAAGGCTTGGGCAGGAGGCAACTTGGGAGCTGCCGCTAATTCCTCAGCCTCTCTAGCAGCCAATTTTAGTCCAACTCCTTGATTTAATTACACTCCTGTGTACAATAGGAAGCTTGCATTCTCCTATATGCAATGAATATTAAACTGATAGACCTGTAATTTCCTCCATCAGGCACACTCCCATTTTTGCATATTGATGCCACATTTAGTTTGTTATTTTCTAATTTTCCATCCTTCTGGTCCTGTGCTTAGCACCTTCTTCCATAATAATTTCTAGCACCTTCTCCCCATAGTAATTCCTGGCAGCAAACACACGCACACTGCCTTATTTCCCTAACCATGTGACTCCTCCCAGGCAGGAAGTAACACACTCTTGAGTGCCCTGAGCTTCCAACAGGTTTGCTTTGTCAACACCCTTTTATATCTGTCACAGCGACAGGGAGAGTTCTGGGTTCTGGTCTTTCATTGGAGGCCACACAGCTACAAAGAGTCAAGGAAAGACTCTAAGGAATGGATCTGCAGATGGGATTCTGAGGACAAAAGGGGAGATTGGAGACATGTACATGGGTGTTTGATTATTGGGCGCTGTGCAGACCCCATTAGAGGTGTTAGTCAGTCCTCACATTGCTATAAAGAAATACTTGAGACTGGGTAATTTATAAGGAAAAGAGGTTTAACTGGCTCACAGTTCTGCAGGCTGTACAGGAAGCATAGTGGCTTCTGATCTGCTTCTGGGGAGTCCACAGGAAACTTACAGTCATGGCAGAAGTGAAGGGGAAGCTGGCACTTCACTTGCCTGGAGCAGGAGGAAGAGAGAGAGGAGGGAGGTGCTACACACTTTTAAACAGCCAGATCTCATGAGAACTCACTATCGCAAGGACAGGACCAAGGGGGTCATGGTGTTAAACCATGAGAAACTGCCCCTATGATCCAATCACCTCCCACCAGGGCCCACTTCCAGCACTGGGAGTTATATTTCAACATGAGATTTCAGTAGGGACACAGATCCAAACCATATCAGGAGGTATACGCAGAACAAAGCCTGTGCACCATTACCTTTCTAAAATAGAATAAATTTGAAATACTGCAAGAGACTTTGCTGCAAGGAACCATAGCCAGCCTTGCTACTTCCATTTTATAAGAGCAGGACCTTGTTCAAGATAAGGGTTCGAAGGAGCACTACTTTAAGAATCCAGGTTTTTCTGACTCCTGGGACAATGCTCATTTCATGCTACATGGTGGAAGTGATGGGAAAACTGATGGATGGAACATCAGAGCTAGCCTTCCCCTTGACGTTCCTCCTGCCAGAAGATGGTGGGTACCCCTATGGTATTTGGAGGGCAGCAACCAATCACCAAGAACTGAACAGGAATGGTCATCTGGAGCAGGCAGGAGCCTCCAGTAAAACACTGCCTGGCTCACACATGTCCTTTCCCGGCAACAGTTTGTGATTTTTGGACTTCCTTGTCTTTATTCCTTCTTAGTACCCTCCTCCCATTTCTCTGGAATGTTGTTCCACAGGCAGCCCACTTTTGGCTTGAGCCAGCTTGGTCTCTGGACTTCCAAATCTTGTTCTTTGATTCCATGTCAATTTCCTTTTAGTTCTGATTTAATTTTGTCCTAACTCCTTGATTTGTTCTTACCCAAAACCTTCTCCTAGCACCACCATGGGCTCTGGCTTCTTCCTTCCCAGGAGTCTGCTTCTTTTGTCCATTCCACACATACTTCAGTGGTCCCCTAGGCATGGCACAGAGCTAGAATTTACTTGTACCGGCCTGGTTTCAGGCTCATGCTTCAGCCAAATCCAAGGTCTCTTGCTAACCATGATTAGCTTCTCCTCCAAAGAACGGACAGAGGAAAAAAGAGGAAGCTCAGAACCATTCCATGCAGGCACCTTTGCCTTCATCTCCCAATAGTCCCTCTTTGTGTTCAACCATTTGGACACATTTGTTTAACCTGCTTGGTTCTCAAAGAAATTATCCGTTCATTGGTCTGGTGGCTGTTGATAAGCAGATGTACTCCCAGGACTACTCATCCATGTAAGATGTGGGATAACATGACCAGGAGCTCCCAACCCGTTGAGGGTGGGCACCATGCACATTTCATTAATAACAGTTCTCATTCACACAGTCATTCATTAAAACGATTGGGGAACCAAAAACAAGCAAACTCCAGGGATACCTGAATCTCCATAGAAGCATGTCTCACTTGATAAATCTTCCCTGATCAAGTGTTTTTATTATGTATCCTAACTGAGGTTTACCAACACACAGCCACCATTTCCATTTATCAAGTTTAACAATAAACATAAATGGACATTTTAACATAGATGCATCCCTTTTGATGAGATCCCTTTCTTTGAAAGTCACATGACTTTTGATGCATCCCTTTCTTTGAAAGTCACGTGAAAAGTAGGTCATTTATCCTATTGAAATTATAATCTTAATTTATTGAGAGTGATGTGCTAAAGACAGTGCATTATTGATAGGAACAGGAGGCAGGAAAATTCTAGGCAGAAGAGGGTGGGTCCCCAGCAAGGGTCCCACCCTCAAGCCTGGAACTGCAGCCCAAAGTGAGAACTTTACATCCCTGGTTTCCCACTTGAATGTTGCCTTTTCCAAAATCACTCATGGCCCTCCCTCCCTGCCCCCCCATCCTGTGCCCATAAAAACTCCAGGTTGTGCCAACAGAAAGGAAAAAAGAGAAGAAACAGCTGCGCGTTGGAGACTACAGTACGATGTCAGAGAGAGGCAGCTTGACTTCAGAGGCATGGTTTGATAGCGTTGCTCCAGGGGAAGATCACCTTCCCTCTCCATCCCCTTTCCAGCTCCCCTTCCCACTGAGATCCACTTTCATCAACAATAAAATCCTCTGTATTCACCACCCTTCAATTCATTCGTGCAGCAAGAGCTCAGGTGCCACAGGTGCAGATACTAAAGGCTGTCACCCTGACACTCTGCCCTCGCTGGTGGAGAGCAACCACCTCACACAAATGAGCTGTTTAACACTTAAGCCATCCGTGGATGGAAAAGCTAAAAGGGCACCATAACATACACCCTCTGGGGCTTTGGGAGTCGTGGGTACTACACCTCAGATGCTGCTGTGGGGACTGCGTGGAGTTTCGCTCCTGCCAGTGCCCAAAGGCAATTGTCACAGCTCTTGCCCCCACTCACCTATGTGCTGCCTCCTGTGAGGGATTGAGCACAAAGGGTTCCAGTGAGTGGAACCCTGTCGACAACCAAGCAGCTGGCTAGCTCCAGCACCCACACTCCAGTTCCCTCCCACGAAGGGGTCAAGGAAAAATTTCTGCTTCCTTATCTCATTTAATCCTCACAACACCTTCTATAAGGTAGGTATTATTTTTATTTCTGTTTCGTATATTAGAAAACTGAATTTCATATATGATCAATGATTTGCCCAGGTGCCACTAGTACCAAGTGGCATGAAGGACATTTAAACCCAGATTTTTCTCATCTAAAACCTGTGCTCTTAACCACTCTGCCGGAAAGACATCTGGATGGGAGCCAGCTGATAGTAGAGACCTACCACCCCATTCCAGGACAGCCTGCAGCAAGGCTGACAGAGTCTAGAGCACAGCTCAACTTAAATACAAGAGGCTTCATTTCCAAAGGTCCTGACACCTGCTGATCAAACTTTTAGAGTCAGTGGCCATTCCATTCTTACTCCCAGAGGCAAGTCTACAAGGAAAGCCACTCTCCCCTTTGTGACCACATGGGGCACCTAGAACCAGTCAGAGACCCGGGTGCTCTTCAGGTCACAGTTGCCTACTTTGGTGGCCTAGGGTCTCTCGCTTTAAGAAGAAATTGATCAAGCAGCCCACAGAATTCTTCTCCCTAGACAGAGCACATTCTTTCATCAGTTCTGACAAGCTCTGGCTCACGGACTTCCCCTTTCTAGACTGGACTCAAATGTCTTTCTATTATTAGGGTCTTTGTTTGGACAAACGAGGAGTGATTTGTGAGGGTGAGGCTGGCTTTTCTTCGCATGTTTGTCCTGAGCACACTCTGGCCACCCCGATTAGACCAAAAGATGAGCCGATCTGATGGGATTGTCTAGAGGTCCCCGAATCCCCTTAGCAACACGTTTATAAAAGCTCTTAGAATAGATTACATCTGCAGCTGACTAATTCCATCCATTATGTGTTGATTCACACTGGCTCCACTTGCAGGAAGATCTTTCCTCTGTGAGCATCAATTATCTCGCCTAAAAAATGGGGATAATTATTGAGGAGGATGATATCAATGACGATGATGATCATGATTACTGGCCTGTTTCATAAGATTGCTGTGAAGATAAGCAAAGTAATGCACATGAAAATATAAACTGTAAAGTGCCAAATTGAGTAGAAGTCGATTATCCAACAGACTGTATGATAAAATAGAGCAAACACTGGACTAGGAGCGATTATGTTGGTGCAAACTGTGGTTTTTGCCATTTATTTAAAAGTAATGGCAAAAGCTGCGATTACTTTTGCACCAACCTAATGTATTGCATATTATTTCCAAGGCCAGACACGTATCTTAATATGGCAGGAGGGGCATTTTTCCATCTGGCAAGAGGAAGTAATAATCCTTGCCTTTCCTACTATCAGAACTATTGTACAACCCAAGTGAATATTCTTGAAAGTTATTTGTAAACTGTAAAGTCCTGTGCAGTCATACAAGATAACCAAATTCACCAAAGAAGTTTCTAACATGAAGAAATCATACAGCAAATCCTTAGGTAAAGCCAAAAAAAATTTTAGACTCAGTATGATTCCTAAGTCCAGAACACGCTGAGATTTTCTTCTTAAACCTGCTCAAATGAATTTGCCACATGCCCATACTGAGGCTAACATTATTCAAAAGCTTTTTGTTGAAGGCATGAATGAAGGAAGGAAAGAATGATGCCAGATGCAATGAAGACATGGCTGTATTCTTATAGCACCACGTTCAGGTGATGTTTTTAAATTTCCCCATATAATTAGCTTCACAGGCTCTCACCAGGCAACATAAATCTTTATTGGTACTATTAAGGGTATCTGAATTAATGAAAAATCACTCCTACTACAAAGTTTTATTAAGAAGTGTGACACGTGTTATATAGTGTTTCTGTTAATTGAGCATCGAGTGAGTGAAATACATACGGGCACTGAGAATTGACTAGGCAAGCAGTCAAGACGTGGAGGCGCATTCACTCCTGCGTTCAGTCTCACAGCTGTCCTGGGTTTCTGCCCCCACTACGTGCCCCGAGCTCTGCAGGCTGGAAGGAAAACCCTGCCAGCTTCCCTTAGGGTCAAGCTGCCGTCTCTTCTCTCCATCCGTAATAAATCCAGCCCTTCAGTTACCATCTTAATTTATCGAGTGCTATGTGCCTCATAATGCAGTATCTCATTTAATCTGTACTAGACCCCCCCCCACCCCACAACGGAGGTACTATTTTTGTTTCCATTTTACACGTTAGGAAATTGGGTTTCATATAAGATGAGTAATTTGCCCAGATACCACTGGTGCTAAGTGGTTTCAGTCTCTTTGCATTCCACTTTGTGGAAAGTTTTGTTTGTTTGTTTTTGAGACCAAGTCTTGCTCTGTCACCCAGGCTGGAGTGCAGTGGCATGATCTCAACTCACTGCAACCTGTGCCTCTCGAGTTCAAGCAATTCTCCTGCCTCAGCCTCCCAAGTAGCTGGGATTACAGGCGTGCACCACCACACCCAGCTAATTTTTTGTATTTTTAGTAGAGACGGGGTTTCAGCGTGTTGGCCAGGCTGGTCTCAAACTCGTGACCTCAGATGATTCGCCTGCCTTGGCCTCCCAAAGTCCTGGGATTACAGGTGTGAGCCACCACACCCAGCTAATTTTTGTATTTTTAGTAGAGATGGGGTTTCACCGTGTTGGCCAGGCTGGTCTCAGACTCCTGACCTCGGGTGATCTGCCTACCTCAGCCTCCCAAAGTGTTGAGATTACAGGCGTGAGCCACCATGCTGGGCTGGAAAGTTATAATCACATGCTAAATGTTGCCTGCTCATTCTGCCATTGGTAAAATCCTATCTCTTCATCTCAGCAGCAAAGAAAGCCTTCACTGTTTGGTTTCTTGGGTGTCTGGCATTCTGCATTTCTTACCTTAGTCAGGGCACTCTTCCTTGTCCCACTTCGAGTCCCACAAAGACATCTCTTCCTGCTCAGTCCTCTGAATCCTATGCCTTGTGGTCCAACATCCCTATATTACAGTATGCTCTTCTCAGAGTATATTTCTGGCCTTACCTTAACACTGTAAAAATTAATGGACTGGAAATGTGCGTTCAGCTCTCAAAGAACTTCTCTTAAAAAGCTTCAGTCAATGAAAGCCAATTTCAATGGTGAAAATGATGACTAGCTTGGATGATGACCAATTCAGATAATTGGCCATAGACCTCTAATCTCGCTGGCCTCCTCTGTCACTCAGCAGGGAACTTGCTGATCATTCCATCAATACATTTATTTTGTCAGCTGTCACTACGCGGCGCCCACATGTCTCAGCTGGGTGACTTAGGCTGAGAAATGGAAACCTGCCAATATCAGAATCATTTCATCCCTATCACGTGCCTTTCTTGTTGTATGGATTTTCAATGAACTTCTGCCTGGCTTGGCAAATCTAAGCCATGACCTTGCTTTTAGCTGCTGGGTTCCTTTAATTGTTACTATCAATTCCAAACATAGTGACTTGAGTCACTATGTTTCTAAACTGTCTAAGCTCTGTAAGTTCTACCTGTAAGATTTCTACTCTATTCGGTCCAGCAGTCTGCCTCAAAAGCACACATACATACACACATACACACATATACATATACTCAGCCAACATCACTTAGAACTGGTTATTTCTTCTCAGCAGGGAACACATGTGTGTACCCACTTTGATCTGTTTATATATGATTTTTCATGCACAATTTTTTCTTACTCCTGTCATAATGAAAGCTCAAGTGAATTCTTTCTTAAGAGATAGGATCTCTTTCTGTTGCCCAGGCTGGAGTGCAGTGATGCAATCACAACTCATTGCAACTTCAAATTCCTAGGTTCAAGCCATCCTCCTGCCTCCTGCCTCAGCCTCCCAAGTAGTAGGACTACTGACTTGCACCACTCATGCCTGGATTTTTTTAAAAAAAATTTTTTTTTATAGAAACAAGGTCTTGCTATATTGCTCAGGCTGGTCTCAAACTCCTGGCCTCAAACAGTCCTCCCATCTTGGCCTCCCAAAGTGCTGGGATTATAGGCATGAGCTACCACACTGGGCCATAAATTCTTGAAAATGTTTAATAAATAAACTATTGCCTGTTCAACACTGAGCCTTAAGATTCCCAAACCAGAACCTATGAGTTCCTGGAATATTGGACTTTGTTTTAAGAAATGAGGCCAAACAGTCTAAAAACAAACAAACAAACAACCAAAAACCTTTCTCACAGAAAATCCACTTCTTATTTCATCATAATCCCAGAAATGAAATGAGAACATTACACATCTCACGAGAATGTGATCATGAAATTGCCTATCCCACACATGATTAGCGATCCCCCACTGTCCCCTTCCTTTATAGAGCCCTTGCCTGCTGATCTCCAGAAAAAAAACAGCATTTCTGAGCATTGCACTAACTGAAGTGATTGTACTAACTAAAGTGATGCTTTTAGCATTTAACTGATGCTAAAAGTATTGCACTAACTAAAGTTGTTTTTTCTATGGGATTGCAGGCAGCTCACAAAGACATGGAAAGGGAGAGAATGTGAAATTTTAAGCCAGATAGACATTCAAACCCAGCTCTAGGACTCTATGATCTTAGACATGTTTCGTCGTCTGTGTAAGGGGAATAAGGATTGGAAGGACAGTGAGGTTTATGGTAATGATGCACAGATGTAAAGCCCCAGTATTGAGCCTGTTATCTAGAAGTTCCTCAAAGACATGTGCTGTTCCTGCTGCTACTAATATTATCGTACCAGCTTAGCCATTAACCAAGTATAGAGGCAATAACACTTCAAGCTTATCATGAAATAATCCTTCAACTCCTAATCCCTCTCAAAATAACAACAACAACAAAATAGTATAGAAAGTCTACTAGTTGATTTTCAACAAATATATATGTATCGCCATATATATGTATACATATATTTATTTTTTTATTTGCTCAGGCTGGAGTGTAGTGGTGCAATCTTGGCTCAATGCAACCTCTGCCTCTCAGGTTCAAGTGATTCTCCTGCCTCAGCATCCCAAGTAGCTGGGATTACAGGTGCTTGCCACCACGCCCAGCTAATGATTGTGTTTTTAGCAGAGACGGGGTTTCACCATGTTGGCCAGGCTGGTCCTGAACTTCCGACCTCAGGTCATCTGCCCACCTCGGCCTCCCAAAGTGCTGGGATTACAGGTGTGAACCACCGTGTCTGGCCAATTTCCAACAAATATTATCCCCTTCTTTAGTATCATAATCATGATTTTACACTAAAAATACTGTCCCCCACTTGAAAGAGCACATGCCACAACTGCCCCTGCAGCTAGATGTATACCTGACAAAGTTCTGGCTAAGGAGATATAAATGAAAGTAGTGTGAAATTTCCTGGAAGTATCTTTAAAAGGAGGAGTCATTCTCTCTTTCCTTCGGCTTCCTCCATCTTGTTGCCCCAAAACACTGATGTGAAGACTGGTGCTATAGCAGCCATTTTGGGTTTTGAGAACAGGTTCACAGCCTAGGGACACAGAGGAAGAGTTTGTCCACCATTCATGGGCTGCTTATTCATGGACTTTTTTTGTTGTTGTTGTTGTTGAGACAGAGTCTCACTCTGTCATCCAGGCTGGAGTGCAGTGGCACGATCTCAGCTCACTGCAACCTCCACCTCCTGGGTTTAAGCGATTCTCCTATCTCATCCTCCTGAGTAGCCGGGACTACAGGTGTGTGCCACCACACGTGGCTAATTTTTGTATTTTCAGTAGACATGGGGTTTCACCATGTTGGCCAGACTGGTCTCGAACTCCTGACCTCAGGTGATCCACCTGCCTTGGCCTCCCAAACTGCTGGGATTACAGGCATGAGCCACTGCGCCCGACCCCCATGGACGTCTTTTACATGAGGGACAAATATATTTTTATTTCATATCAGCCATTAAGTTGTTTGGGGGTTCCTGTTGGGAACAGACAAATTTTAACTCGTTCACCTGGTTTGTCTAGTCCCCTCCACCACAGTCAGGTCAAGGGCCAGCTGGCTTAAATAAACCCTGGCCATTTTGTCTCTCCTTCCTTCGTTTAACCCAAAATTCAAAACTTCAGTGTAGATATTCCAGATAGCTGAGCTTAGATCAGGTGCCTACCCAGGCTCTGCCAGGAATAAGGGACATCGAATCTGGAGGAAGGCATCCTCAGAGACTCCTGCACTGACCACATCTTTGGCATGTGAAAGGTAGAATCCCAAAGGGAAACTAGGGTGCTGCTGACACAGGTATACTATAAAAAAACTCCCTTTTCTGGCCAGGTGCGGAGGCTCATGCCTGTAATCCCAGCATTTTGGGAGGCCGAGGTGGGTGGATCACCTGAGATTAGGACTTTGAGACCAGCCTGGCCAACATGATGAAAACCCGTCTCTACTAAAAATACAAAAATTAGCTGAGAGTGGTGGCGGGCGCCTATAATCCCAGCTGCTCGGGAGGGCAAGGCAGGAGAATCGCATGAACGCAGGAGGTAGAGGTTTTAGTGAGCTGAGTTCGCGCCACTGCACACCAGCCTGGGAAACAAGAGGGAAAGTCCATCTCAAAAAAAAAAAAAACAAGCACACAAACAAACAGGCCAGGTGCTGTGGCTCACGCCTGTAATCCCAACACTTTGGGAGCCTGAAGCGGGTGGATCACGAGGTCAAGAGCTCAAGACCATCCTGGCCAATATGATAAAACCCCATCTCTACTAAAAGTACAAAAATTATCTGGGCTTGGTGGCGTGCGCCTGTAGTCCCAGATACTCAGGAGGCTGAGGCAGGAGAATTGCTTGAACCTGGGAGGCGGAGGTTGCAGTGAACCAAGATCACGCCACTGCACTCAAGCCTGGCGACAGTGTGAGACTCTGTCTCAAAAAAACAAAAAACAAATGAAACAAAACAAAACAAACAAAACAAACTCCCATTTCCCCTGTTCATCAGCTTGTCACTTCTGGATCCCCAGCAGAGACAGAAATCAGCGTAGGTGCAATTAGGCGTTCCAGGATCTTTGATGGTCAAATAGGGACAAATGACACTTTTGTCATGGGGTGGCCCTAGCAATGGGACAATAAAGCATAGATTTGTGGCACAGAAGAGGATTTGGGGCTGTTTCACTCAACATGTATTTGCAAGTCTACTAAATGCTAGATCATTTCTCCAGCACCATCTTGCCCTCTTTCCTCCCACTAAGGGCTCTAAGAAGCTCTGCAGTGGGTGCCTAGATACTGGGGACACAAGGATGCACAATTACCTGTCCTGTCGGATACTTACAGCCAAGAGGGAGCTGTATAGATTGATAGACAAGGGTATGATACAAGGTAGAGGTATGGGTGGAGGTTTACAGGAACACATAAGGGGTGCATATGGCAGACTGGGAGGACATGGGGAGCAGAGGGGAGGATTAGGGGTAATTTCCTGGAACGGATGTACCTGAGTTAAACTTTGAAGCAGAATAGGACTTAAGCAAAGCTGAAGGGGAAGCAGAGGGAAGAGAAGGCGGGAAGTGATGGAAGGGAGGAAGAGCAGAGCATGTCAGGGCAAATGCAGGTTACACGGCAGGGCTTCCTCAAGCCCTTAGTGGGAGGGAACTTAGTGCAAGATGGCGCTGAAGAAATGGCCCATGATCAGGTGATGGAGAGGCTCCTGGGATATGGTGCAGAGTCTGGAATGTATCCTGTAACCATGGGAGAGCCGCTGCCCAGAGCCTTGTGTAATCATGAGGAGAGACATGATGAAACACGCCTTTTAGAATGATTAGATGATTACTCAGTGTAATAAATGGATGGCGGAGGAGGGGATACGAATCACAGCACAGGGACCAATCAGGGCCCTATTGAAATAGTATAAGCAAAAGATAATGGTGTCCTGAACTGAGAAGAACATTGCTTTGCAAAAAAAAAAAAAAAAATTGCAGTAATGTTCTCCTTCTGGCCAGTTCTTATTTCATGCCTCCAGTGAAAGCCAAAAACATAACGTTAAATTGCTGGCATCTCTGCATGAATCCAGAGGAAGAGAGGCCAAGTGTACAGATTGCTGGGGAGCTCACTTGATACTGGAATGGAGCATCAAAAAATTTGCAGTTCATACAGTGTTTCTCAGACCATCTCCTTAGGATCTCAGTGGTTTCCAACAAGCCTACCTTTTGTCAGGAACTGGAAAACTGACAAATCAGAATGGCATTGCTGGTGATCCTTGCATTCTAAATGTGGGAATACATGAATGCATGAGCTTTTCAATTAATTGCATTTGAGGCCCCCAAGTTTCTATAGTTAAACATCGGGATGGTGGAATTTTTGCCCCTTTCCCATCTCTGCCTTTCTTTTTTAAGTTCTTCTGAAAAGAACTAGAAAGTGTTATCGAACCATCCCTACCTCCCCACTCTACTCAAAGATGTGAGCAATTATTCTCCATCAGAAATGGTATCTGGGACAGATGTGAGACAACCTAGATCCTGGAATTTAAAATGATCTTATAGTCTTTTACTGAAAGTGGAAGTGGATAATTTAGGAAATGTATTTTTGGAAATGCTGTAAATGCAGAAAAAAAGTTAAGCAGATAGATAACACATCAAACTTGAATTATCAACACCTTATTAGTCTATGAAAACCCTCACTAAGCTGTCAGAGCCCCAGGAGAAGTAGATTTTTTTTCCAGGTATTGCAATTGTCCTGGTGGGAGTGAATTCAGCAAAGGAAATAATGTACCATATGTCTAGCATAGTCAGTGTTTATATTTACGCTGAATCGTCAATTACAGGTTTATTCCCTTTTCATCTTGCCTCTTAACCTTCTGAAAGAAGAAAAGATAAGTTCCAGGGAAAATTTGTGAACAGGATTATCAAGCAGATGTTGCCCTAAGTCTCATATTTGAAGATATCTAAGAACATTCACCAAAGCCTCACCTTCCTTGTCACTGTGATCAGACATGTTCATTACCATCCTTGGGGCTTAGGTCTCTGAGACGCCCCCACAGAATTTCTAGTGGCTTCTTGTTACCCAGGGCCAGGACACACAATGCATGATCATGCAAAACAGTAGCACAAACTAATGCTCACTCACAAAGCATCTCTGAACCACCTCACAACCATTAGGATGGCTCCTATCAAAACAGTAAGTAAAATAACAAGGATTTGGAGAAATTGCAACATTTGTGCACTATTGGTGGGAATATAAAGCAGTGCAGCTGCCATGGAAAAAAATATGGTGGATCCTCCAAAACTTAAAAATAGAATTATCGTGTGATCCAGCAATTATTCCACTTCTGGGTATTTGCCCAAAAGAACTGAGAGCAGGGGGTCAAAGAGACTTTTTTTTTTTTTTTGAGACTAAGTCTTACTCTATAGTCCACGCTGGAGTGCAGTGGTGCGATCTCAGCTCACTGCAGCCGCTGCCTCCTGGGTTCAAGTGATTCTCCTGCCTCAGTCTCTCGAGTAGCTGGGATTACAGGCACCCACCACCGCACCTGGCTAATCTTTGTAGTGGAGATGGGGTTTCACCATGTTGGCCAGGCTGGTCTCGAACTCCTGACCTCCACTGATCCACCCACCTTGGCCTCCCAAAGTGCTGGGATTACAGGCGTGAGCCTCCGTGCCCAGCCAAAGAGACCTTTATATACCCATTTACGTGACCACGTTCATAGCAGCATGATCCTCAAGAGCCAAGGTGGAAAAGGTGGATGCAACCCAAGGGTCCATCAATGGATGAATGGATTAAACAAAATGTAACAGACAATGGAATATTGTTTAGTCTTAACAGCGAGGGGAATTCTGACACATGCTATAACATGGGTGAACCTTGAAGACATTATACTAACTGGAATAAGCCAGTTATGAGAAAAAAAAAATCTTAACCACATGATTCCACTTATATGGGGTTCTTAGAGTAGTACATAGAGTACATAGGGTACACAGAGACAGAAAGTAGAATGGTGATTGCCAGGGACTGGGGAGAAACGGGAATGGGGAATTATTGTTTAATGAGTAGTTTAGTTTTGCATGATACAAGCACTCCTAGAGGTGTATGGTGGGGATGGATGCACAAAGTGTAAATGTACTTAACATCTCTGAACTGCATGCTTAAAAATTAAGATGGTGGCCGAGCACAGTGGCTCACGTCTGCAATCCCAGCACTTTGGGAGCCTGAAGCCGGCGGATCACCTGAGGTCAGGAGTTCGAAACCAGCCTGGCCAACATGGTGAAATCCCGACTCTACTAAAAATACAAAAATTAGCCAGGTGCAGTGGTGGGTGCCTGTAATCCCAGCTACTTGAGAGGCTGAGGCAGGAGGATCACTTGAACCCGGGAGGCAGAGGTTGCAGTGAGCCGAGATCCCGCCATTGCACTCCAGCCTGGGCGATAGCAAGACTTCGTCTCAAAAAAAAAAAAAAAAAAATTAAGTTGGCATATTTTGGCCAGGTAGTAGTGGCTCATGTCTGTAATCCCAGTGCTTTGGGAGGCTGAGGCAGGAGGATCCCTTGAGGTCAGGAGTTCAAGACTAGCCTGGGCAACATAGCAAGACTCCATCCCTACAACAAGAAATTAAATTAGCCAAGTGTGGTGGCCTTTGCCTATAGTCCCAGCGCTTCAAGAGGCTGAGGTGGGAAGATCACTTAAGCCCCAGAGTTTGAGGATGCAGCAAGCCATGATCATGCCACTGCACTTTAGTCTGGGCGACAGTGCCAGACCCTGTCTCTAAAAAAAATAAAAATAAAAGATAGTAAGTTTTATGTTATGTGTATTTTACCATAATTTAAAGGAGAAAAAAAACGCATCTATGGGTCTGCAGAAAAGAGGCAAAGGACTGGTCAAGGCAAAATACATTACACAACTATTTTTCAAACCTCAGTACAGAAGCATCTTCTCTCTTCTTCCCTCTGCTTTCTCAGTGCCTTCCTTCCTCCCTCTACCCTGCTCACTCCAGGCATGCAGACATCATGCTGGGGTCCTCCAGAGCTCGGGTGACCTCTGCTCTAATCCCCTCCTCCACCTTGAACGTCATTTCTCACCAAGATGACGAACTTGTCCGCCATTCCCTAGTTCCCAAGAAGTCCCAAAGCAAATGTCCAGATTCCTCCTTTCCCCTAAGATTCAGACCCACATTTTCACCTGTCCCGTGGGAACTTGCCCCTACATGTCCCATGTGGAACTCATGCTCTCCCCAAATACCTCTTTCCTCTTAAACTTCTGAAAGAAGAAACAATAAGTTCCAGGGAAAATTTGTGAACAGGATTATCAAGCAGATGTTGCCCTAAGTCTCATATTTGAAGACATCTAAGAACATACTTAGATAGGAGGGAGGGCAGGGCATGGCAGGGCAGGGCAGGGAAGGGAAGGGAAGAGAAGGCAAGGGAAGGGAAGGGAAGGGAAAGGTGGGGAACCTCTTCCAAGTTCCCAAGGCAGAGTGACTTATTTTTTTAATTTTTTTTTTTTTTTAGACAGAGTCTCTCTCTGTCACCAGGCTGGAGTGCAGTGGTGTGATCTTTGCTCACTGCAACCTCTGCCTCTCGGGTTCAAGCGATTCTCCTGCCTCAGCCTCCCGAGTAGCTGTGACTACAGGTGCCCGCCACCATGCCCAGGTAATGTTTGTATTTTTAGTGGAGATGGGGTTTCACCATGTTGGCCAGGCTGGTCTTGATCTCTTGATCTCATGATCCACCCACCTCCACTTCCCAAAGTGCTGGGATTACAGGCATGAGCCACCGCGCCCTGCCAGAGCAACTTACTTTTAAATCTCTCAGGAAGAAAACAAATTGGCCCAGATTTGAGTCAGGTGTTTATCCCTAGGCTGACCACATATGACCACAAAGATGTAGTCATTCCAGAAGAAGGTAGCTGCAGTGGGTAGAATTCTAAAAATGATACTCCCAAGATCCTGACCCTTGGTTATTAAATCAAATATTCATCTAGGGACTGCTATGAAGGAATTTTGAAGATGTCATTAAAGTCTCAAGTCAGTTAACCTAAAACAGGGTCAGGTGGGCCTGACCCAATCAGGTGAGCCCTTAAAATCAGGGAACTTTCTCTGGTTTGTAGCAGAAGGAGGTGTCAGAGAGATTCAAAGCAGAAGGACTCAGTGTGCTGGTGTTGTTTTTGAAAATGGAGAGAAACCACAAGCAAGGCCCAGAGTTCAGCCCCTAGAAGTGGAGAGTGACCCCCAGCCAGCAGACAGCAAGGAGTCAGGAACTACAGTCCTACAACTGCAGGGAACTAAATTCTTCCAACAACCTGAATAAGCTTGGCAGTAGATTCTTCTTAGACTTTCCATGGGAGAACCCAGCCTGGCTAACATCTTGATTTTAGCCTTGTGAAACCCCAAACAGAGAACTCAATCAAGCCCACCCAGACTTCTGACCTGAGATGCTGCAAGATCATGGATGGATGTTGTTTTAAGCCTATAAGGTTGTGATGATTTGTCACACAGCAAGAGGAAAGGAATATAGCAGCTATCTGGGATATCTTTTGGGAATGGTGGGGCCAGTGAGGAGGGCTTCCCAGAGGAGAGGGAGTGCTATGCAGACGATTCCACACAACTCACTTTAAATAGTACCATTGGCTTCTATCTGATTTTTTGTGGTTGTTGTTGCTTTCTCTACTCCTTATGAGATTTACTTTGGAACTTCATGATAAGACCTTGTAAAACGAAGCATTAAAATTGCAATCACTTTTATCCTAATCTAAATATATTTGTTTTACCATTGCCAAAGTCTAATATACCATAATCTTTCCCACACGTCATTGTATACAGTTGTAATAAGCTTAATAAATTTCTCCCACTACCTTCATCTCTCACTTCTCACACCCTTTCTCTATTTTTCCCTGTCTCTCTCTCTCACACACACACACACACACATGTGCATGCACAACCAAATTGCCCATTTATCTCTTTTTTTTTTTTTTTTTTTTGAGATGGAGTCTTGCTCTGTTGCCCAGGCTGGAGTGCAGTGGTGCAATCTCAGCTCACTACAACCTCCGTCTCCCAGGTTCAAGCGATTCTCCTGCCTTGGCCTTCTGAGTAGCCTGAGATTACAGGCATGCACCACCCACCTGGCTAATTTTTTTATATTTTTAGTAGAAATATGTTGGCCAGGCTGGTCTCGAACTCCTGACCCCAAGTGATCTTGCCTCAGCCTCCCAAAATGCTAGGATTACAGGCATAAGCCATCACACCCAGCCCCCTTTATAAACTCTTAATTGGAAGAAAATAAAGTGCCATTTTCAAGAAAGAAAATAAAGGCATCTACACTGTCTGCTAATTCTGACTTACGAACATGAACTTTTTGGAATTAGAGCAAAATCTGAATCCCAGCTGCCTGATCTCTTCCTCTCTGTTTTATCGATTGTCAAATGGGTACAATAATATCACCGACCTCATAGCATTCCTGCCATCATGTTGGCCCATCAGGCCCTTAGCAGCTGCCTAGCACAAAGTCTGTACTCAGTTAATAGGGGCCATTACTGTTGTAAAGGAGATGAATGAGCGTAGACCTTTAAAGTTAAGGACATTAGGGCCAGGCGCGGTGGCTCACGCCTGTAATCCCAGTACTTTGGGAGGCTGAGGCGGGCAGATCACGAGGTCAGGAGATCCAGACCATCCTGGCTAACATGGTGAAACCCTGTCTCTACTAAAAAAATACAAAAATTAGCCGGGTGTAGTTGTGGTGGCAGCTGCCTGTAGTCCTAGCTACTTGGGAGGCTGAGGCAGGAGAATGGCATGAACCCAGGAGGCGGAGCTTGCAGTGAACCGAGATCCTGCCACTGCACTCCAGCCTGGGCAACAGAGCAAGACTCCGTCTCAAAAAAAAAAAATTGTTAAGGACATTAGAATCAGCTCAGCTGGCTCAGCTGATGCTAGCTAGGGGCCCTGAGCTAACAGTTCATTTTGGTTAATCATTTTGAGTTTAGCCAGGTCCAAATAATTGCTCTCACTGGCTCTAAGTTCATGCTTTCTGCCATTTCTGCTCATGCCTGTAATCCCAGCACTTTGGGAGGCCGAGGTGGGTGGATCACTTGAGGTCAGGAATTCGAGACCAGTCTGACCAACCTGGCAAAACCCCATCTCTACTAAAAATACAAAAAATTAGCCAGGCCTGGTGGTTTGCGCTTGTAATCCAAGCTACTCAGGAGGCTGAGGCAGGAGAATCACTTGAACATGGGAGGCAGAGGTTGCAGTGAGCCAAGATTGGGCCACTGCACTACAGTCTGGATGACAGAGCCAGACTCCATCTGAAAAAAAAAAAAAAAGAAAAAGACATTAAAGGGGCAATTTGGTCAGTGAGTTGCCTCTGGCTCGTTTTTGAGTTACCTACAGACAGTCAGTTGGTCAGAAAGAGAGAAGAGGAAGGCAGTTAGGAGGCAATGATGACATCTCTTCTTTCTAGTGCCATTTCAGAGTCAAGCCCAGGATCTTGAGTGCTCTGAGCACACTGCAAATCGACCTCCCCTCATCACGCGCTGTTCCCGTGGGCTGTGATTGCCACATCCTTGAGCACTGTCAGAGTCAGATTACTGAAGATGTCAGAAACAAAATAGGGGAGATAAAGTGTGCACGGAGAAGTGCAGAGTGAAGCGACAATTGCTCTTCATCTGAGTGCTAAAAAGAAAGGGTCAAAGAACGCAGAAAATGCAGCCAAGCTTGACGTGAGAAAGAGGAGCTTCACCAGCAGCAGCTCTTGGGACCCCAGCAGAGTCTGGTGAACAGCTCATTCCCACGAAGTCATTGAAGCATTTGGGGAAGTTTTTCACAGGGAGGGGCCCTAGTCCTGCCCAAGGTAGAGAGGTTTCCCTACATCTCAGGGAGCCCAGATAATAATGAAACCAGACCAGGTTCTCAAAGCATGATCCCCAGACCAGCAGCATCAGCATCCCCTGGAACTTATTAGAAATGCAAATTCTTGGCCGAGCTCAGTGGCTCACACCTGTAATCTCAGCACTTTGGGAGGCTGAGGTGGGCGGATCACTTGAGGCCATGAGTTCAAGACCAGCCTGGGCAACATGGCGAAACTCCATCTCTACTAAAAATACAAAAATTAGCCAGGTATGGTGGTGCTGTCCTGTAATCCCAGCTACTCAGGAGGCAGGAGAATCACTTGAACCCGGGGGCAGAAGTTGCAGTGAGCTGAGATCACGCCACTGCACTCCAGCCTGGATGACAGAGTGAGACTATGTCTCAAAACAAACAAACAAACAAAAAGAAATGCAAATTCTCAGGCTCTATCTCAGATCTACCGAATCAAAAACTCAGGTGCGATGGTCCAGCAAAGTGTGTTTCAACAAGCCTGCCTGGTGATTCTGATGCCACACTCAAGTTTGAGAACTATGATCTTAAGAGCCATAGGTTGCAACCAGTCAGAGCCTGTCTCCGCCCCATGGGAGGCAAGTGGAAGAGGTGGGACATTACAAAGACAGAGGACGCTATTGAATTTAGAACAGGAAACAGGATGCTGAACTCTCTGTGTGCAATCAACAATGATCTCAAGCCGGGCATGATGGCTTGTACTTGTAATCACAGCACTTTTGGGAGGCCAAGGCAGGAGGATCGCTGGATCCCAGGAGTTACATAGCAAGACCACATCTCTACAAAAATTTTAAAATTTGGCTTGGTGTGATGGCTCATGCCTGTAATCCCAGCACTTTGGGAAGCTGAGGCGGGCGGAGGTCAGGAGTTCGCAACCAGCCTGGCCAACATGGTGAAACCCCATCTCTACTAAAAATACAAAAAATTAGCCTGGCATGGTGACAGACACCTGTAATCCCAGCTACTCGGGAGGATGAGACAGAAGAATTGTTTGAACACGGGAAGTGGAGGTTGCAGTGAGCCGAGATCGTGCCACTGCACTCCAGCCTGGGTGAGAGAGTGAGACCCTTTCTCAAAAAAATATAAATAAATAAATAATTAATTAATTAAAAAATTAAAAAAAAAATTCCACACCTAATTCCAGTGGAGCCCTGGGTAGAAATATATTGTAAAAGTTTCTCTTGGGCAAGGGGTTTTCCTTCTCACAAATATTTGCAAGAATTTTTTTTTTTTTGGAAACATATTATCTACCTCTCCAACCCAACCATCCATCATGACTGCACCTGACGCCCACACCACAATCCTGCCACACAGAATGCCTCCCCCTTGAGCTTTTGCTTTTAACATGCTTCCTTCTGCCAGGAATGACTTATCCACCTCCATTCACCTACTCCTCATTCAAGCTCAGTTCAAGCATCTAGGGTCACATGAACTCCTTACACACACTTGTAACTTTTTATTGCACTGAATCATTTTCGTATTTGATTTCTCCTACTAAACACTAAGTACATTGGCTCTGACGACAATAATTGTGGGCTGGAATCCTGGTACTACCACTTTCTCGATTCATCCCTGGAACCACTCCCAGTGGGGAAAAGTAGATATTGGAATTCAGCAATCAGATCAGCTACTCTTCCTCCCTCCCAGAGGAGAAATTAATAGGCTGGTGGAGAGTGCTTACTTCAACATCACCATTCCCAGTAGGAGGGAGAGAAGACCCCTACTCTCTCCTCTGTGGCCAAATAAGATAGGTTGAGAGGAGGGATCTCTCAGTAAGACAAAAATAGTTTATCACCCCCAAGAATTTTCACCTGGAGAGCAGATAGACACTTTATGTCATGTCAGTGAACAGACACTCAATGCTCTTGTGATGGATTGAGTCTACACTCAGCGTTGGTGTGATAGGCTGAGTCTACACTCAGTGTTGATGTGATAGGCTAAGTCTGCACTCAGGGTTGGTGTGATAGGCTGTCTGCACTCAGCATTGGTGTGATAGGCTAAGTCTACATTCAGTGTTGGTGTGATAGGCTAAGTCTACACTCAGTGTTGGTGTGATAGGCTAAGTCTGTACTCAGTGTTGGTGTGATAGGCTGAGTCTATACTCAGGGTTGATGTGATAGGCTAAGTCTGCACTCAGGGTTGGTGTGATAGGCTGAGTCTACATTCAGTATTGATGTGATAGACTAAGTCTACACTCAACGTTGATGTGATAGGCTAAGTCTATGCTCAGTGTTGGTGTGATAGGCTGAGTCTACACTCAGGGTTGGTGTGATAGGCTGAGTCTACACTCAGGGTTGGTGTGATAGGCTAAGTCTACACCCAGGGTTGATTGATAGACTAAGTCTACACTTGACATTGATGTGATAGGCTAAGTCTACACTCAGGGTTGATGTGATAGACTAAGTCTAGACTCAGGGTTGGTGTGATAGGCGGAGTCTACCCTCAGTGTTGATGTGATAGACTAAGTCTACACTCGACATTGATGTGATAGGCTAAGTCTACACTCAGTGTTGATGTGATAGGCTAAGTCTACACTCAGGGTTGGTGTGATAGGCTGAGTCTACACTCAGTGTTGGTTTGATAGGCTAAGTCTGCACTCAGTGTTGATGTGACAGGCTAAGTCTGCACTCGGGGTTGGTGTGATAGGATAAGCTAAGTCTACACTCAAGATTGGTGTGATAGGCTAAGTCTATTCTCAGTGTTGGTGTGATAGGCTAAGTGTATGCTCAGTCTTGCTGTGATAGGCTGTCTATGCTTAGGGTTAGTATGATAGGCTAAGTCTACATTCAATATTAGTGTGATAGGCTAAGTCTCCACTCAGCGTTGGTGTGACAGGCTAAGTCTACTGATGAGCATGATAGGGTGAGACTACAGAGAGGAAACCCCTGTCAGCCTGAGGACTTATGCAGGATTTTCTCAAGAAGACCCCTGAGCTGAGACTTACAGCACCTCAGGAAGTTAATTAGGTGAAGAAAGGCAGGAACAACTTTATAGCAATAAAATAAAAGAATGTGATGAGTGAGGCCTGAAGAGGCCAAAATGTATGGTCATGGGAATATCCACCAGTAGTTTGGGGGCTGGAACATGAATTTTTAAAAAAGTCAGAGACTGGTAGAATTTCTGGCTGAAATGGTCAGCAGAGACCAGATTGTGAAGTGCTTTGTTCACTATAAGAGTTTAGAATTTGAGGCCAGGCGTGGTGGCTCATGCCTGTAATCCCATCACTTTGGAATGCCAAGGCAGGTGGATCATGAGGTCAGGAGATCGAGACCATCCTGGCTAACACGGTGAAACCCCGTCTCTACAAAAATACAAAACAAATTAGCCAGGCGTGGTGGCAGGCACCTGTAGTCCCAGCTACTTGGGAGGCTGAGGCAGGAGAATCACTGGAACCCGGGAGGCAGAGGTTGCAGTGAGCCAAGATCATGCCACTGCACTCCAGCTGAGCAATAGAGTGAGACTCCATCTCAAAAAAAAAAGAGTTTAGAATTTGAAAGAGGATCATCAGAGGTTTTATTCATGTGTCAGATTTTTTTTTTACAAAGATAATAATAACCGGCATTTAGTGAACATATTCAGTGAGCCAGGCATTGTTCTCTATGCACTATGGGTATCAATCTATTTAATTATTTTTTCTTTTTTCTGTTATTTGTTGAGATGGAATCTCGCTCTGTCACCTAGCCTGGAGTGCAATGGTGTGATCTCGGCTCACTGAAACCTCCGCCTCCCAGGTTCCAGCAATTCTCCTGCCTCAGCCCCCTGAGTAGCTGGGACTACAAGCATGTACCCCATGCCCAGCTAATTTTTGTACTTTTCGTAGAGATGGGGTTTCACCGCATTGACCAGGCTGATCTCGAACTCCTGACCTCAGGTGATCCACCCGCCTCGGCCTCCCAAAGTGCTTGGATTACAGGCGTGAGCCACCGTGCCCGTCCTCCAGTTCATTTAATTCTTGTCAACTCCTTATGAGACCATTATTAACCTGTTTGTAGGTGGGGAAGCAAAGGCACAGAGAAATTAAGTAACTCCTTCAAGGCCACATAGCTGGTAAGTGGAAAATGGAGAATTTAAATGCAGTCCATCTCTCTATGAAGCCAGTACGCTCAGTACCCTACTGACTTCCCCACTTCCGTGACTTCAGTCTTTCATACCTGAACCAAATGAAGGGACCCTTGTGAAGGGGGTCTGATATATCCTTCTTGACGATTTGGAAAAAGGTAGAGCTGTTTTTCAAATTCATAAACTACATATGTTACTTAGAGGAAACCACTAGGATTCCAATTTGTTCTTTGAAACCTGAGAAAAGGTGATTGGTTTCTCACGGAGTTGTTAAGATCAGGAAAAATAACTAATGGCTACTTGGCTTAATACCTGAGTGATGAAATAGTCTGTACAATAAACCCCCATGACACAAGTTTACCTGTGTAACAAACCTGCACATGTACCCCTAAACTTAAAATAAAAGTTAAAAATAAAGTAAGTTGGTGACTGTTTTAAAAAACAATTCCCAGACTGGGTACAGTGGCTCACGCCTGTAATCCCAGCACTTTGGGAGGATGAGGCAGGCAGATCACCTGAGTTCAGGAGTTCGAGACCAGCCTGGCCAACATGGTGAAACCACATCTCTACTAAAAATACAAAAATTAGCTGGGCATAGTGCCATGCTCCTGTAATCTCAGCTACTCAGGAGGCTGAGGCAGAAGAATCACGTGAACCCAGGAGACGGAGGTTTCAGTGAGTGAGTCGAGATTGCGCCACTGCACTCCAGCCTGGGCAACAGAGCAAGACTCCACGTCAAAATAAAAAAGAAAAGAAAAAGAAAAAAATTCTCCCATTGATGTTATAAACTATTAAATAAAATTCTGTTTGACAACAAAAGATTAAACAATAAAACACATGAAATGTGTACCAGTGCACCTAGTACACTGCCTTTGACATAAAACAATAGGTTTCTGTCAAGTGTGATCAGCTTTTAGTATTGCATTTCACATCGGGCTGAAAACTTGCCCTCATTATAGCATTCTTGAATATCTTAAAATCAAGTAGGGAGTTATGTTTGGGGTAGATGCGCCTCTGAACCCACACTAGTGCCACTGGGTAGATTTTAAACGTGGTCCTGATTTAGAACTTTTGGTGGAGTTAGAGTACATGCTGCATTTGTTGAATGAAAGAGAGAAAAAAGAGGAGGGGAAAAATGAATGAATATGAGAGCTACATTCTAACGACAAATGGAAAGTTATCTGGGGCACTAGAATTACCCATGGAGTAATGAGTCAGGAATTATTCTCCATGCTCTATAGGTAACAATTCATTGAATTCTTGACAACTTCTTATGAGACCACTATTAACCTGTTTGTTAATGCAGGGTTCCTTTGTTCCCACCAACTTGAAGGGACAGAGTGACATGCCCATATCACTGAGACAGGGCATTGGACTGGGACCGATAATCAAATTGGACTGCAGCGACGTATCAAAGTCACTGCAGACTCATTTCTATATGTGTTATTGGGAAAGGCCATTGAGAGGTTCTGAATGAAGATACCTGGGGATATCCCTAACTTCTGGGAATTCACTGCCCCAAAGTGAATGAATAGGTGTCATTAATTTAAGGTAGGAAGTCCTTACCTAGGTTTGCAATCATAAATGTGGACGGAGAAAATAATGTACATCCTTAATTTTCTCTTACCTTTAATTGAAATACAGCATTTCCTTCAATGATCAATGCAGATAGCAAACTGGCATAGAATTTGCAGTATCTGAGATTGTTCATAATAGAAATCACACGTATTTTTATATCAATCACATCACACTGGTGCAGATGCCACATAATATCAGTTACGCTCATCACGACTGCCAATAATTAGAATCATTATTAGATCTGTAGTTCCAACTTGCAACCTAATGTGTTAATAAAGAAACATACCTATGACTATATCATAAATCCGTTTTCGTAATGTTGCGATACATCATTTAAATGTAATTGGTTTCTCCTTTAATCTGAGTAATTTTATTTTATTCTTCAGAAATGGTATTCTGAGAGGGGGCCTCAGGGTTCCCCAGACTGGAAAAGGGGTCCATGGCTTGAGTGGAGTGTAATGAATCTGCTGCCCAAAACCTCAATGCATAGGACCTATCACTGCAGAATGTGCCTCTGCCCAGGGGCCTAAGGTGGGTATGTGGACTCTACATTCCGATGAAGAGGAAGAGAAATTTCACAAGGAAAGGGGTCTTTATGGAGTGCCTACTCTATAGCACATACTGTGTCTTACTGGAAATAATCCCCTATGATTCTAATAGGAAGCTCACAAGGTAAGAATGATTTTCCCCATTTTACAGATGAGGAAATTGTGGCTCAGGCAAGTGTAAGCATCCTGCTAGAAAATAAAGGACCTAGGAACAACTCAAACATAGGTCAGTTTGACAGTCCACTCTCTGGCCATGGCAATGACAAGGAGACGTCATTTCAATAGAACTGCTGGACAGGCCAAGTGTGGTGGCTCACACCTGTAATCCCAGCTCTTTGGGAGGCCAAGGCGAGAAGATCACTTGAGGTCAGGAACTTGAGATCAGCCTGGACAACATAACAAGATCCCATCTCTAAGAAAAATTTAAAAATTAGCCAGGTGTGGTGGTGCATGCCTGTAGTCCCAGCTACTCAGGAGGCTGAGGCAGGAGGATCGTTTGAGCCCAGGAGTTGGAGGCTGCAGTGAGCTATAATGGCACCACCACACTCCAGCCTGGGCAACAGAGCAGGATTCCATGCCTTTAAAACCAAAGAAAACCAAATAAAGAACTGCTGGACAGAGGAAGGAGACAGTGCATCACCAGAGAAGAAGCCACCATGGATGGTCTTTGAGGGGCACCACCCAGATGTCCCCTTATGAGAACCTGCTGTGAAGAAATCCAGCATCTCCACCTTCAGGACCTCTGCAGTATTTGCTCTAAGGACACATTCTTTCCAGTCTATGCCTAGCCAATACTTGAGAAGAGCTGGGTTACTCAAGCCAGGCCATTCCTACCTGATGAAGCATGCTTCTTCTAATGTCACCTGCCTGTAGGCTGAGGCTTCTCTCATTAAATCTCCCTTCCTTCCCTCTTCCCTTTCATGGGTGCCAGACCAGCATTGTGGTCTGAAGGCTCCCCTGGCCTGTCTCTGCTCACTGTCACCTTTATCCTTCACAACTATTTCTCTCAACCAATTTCTGGGGTTTTGTTTGTGTGTGTGTGTTTGTTTGTCTGTTTGTTTGTTTTAGAGAAGGGATCTTGCTTTGTCACCCCAGATAGAGTGCAGCAGCGTGATCATGACTCACTGCAGCCTCAAACTCCTGGGCTCAAGCTATCCTCCTACCTCAGCCTCCTGAGGAGCTGGGATTACAGGCAGGCACCACCATGCCCTGCTAATTTTATTTTATTTTTTTTTAAGTTTCTTGTAGTGATAGGGACTTGCTATGTTGCCCAGGCTGGTTTTGATCTCCTGGCTTCAAGCAATCCTCCCACCTCAACCTCCCAAAGTGCTGGGATTAAAGGCATGAGCCACTGTGCCCAGCCGATAAATTTATTGGATGTCTACTTCCATCCATCCTGGTATTTGCTTCTCATAGGGGCCAAATTAACACATCATCCAAATCTCAGAAAATCTCAGGGCCCCCGGGCCCCTGTGATCGGTAACCAAAGGAGAGTGTGTTTTTTGTGATAGTTTTGTGGGCTAGAGAAGAAAACCAAGCTCATCATCTAAGGAACATCACATGGGGAGTGCATCTTGGGAAAATAAATAGACATGGCATGGGGCAAGGTTGTTAAGACTTAAAACAACAGGGTCATTCTATTAAAAGTCGGGATAATGGTTACATTTGATAGAGAACACTTGCAGGGAGGGACATGAAAGGGAACTTCCGGGGTGCTGGTAACGTTCTGTTTCTTGATCAGGGTGCTGATTAAACACGTGCTCAGTTTGCGACAATTCATCAAGATATTCATTTGTGATCTGTGCAGCTCTTTTCATCCTTTTGTTCCTCATTAGAAAGTTAGGGGGAAAGAAATGAGGTATATTTATGGCATCTAGCACCTTTCTTGGTGATGCAAAGTGCGAGGCCTGCTCTCTATAGGTATAGGATGTAATTTTATTAATTATTAATTATAACTATTAATAATAATTAATAATGCAATGCATTAATTAATATTAATGGTGGTGAGAGTAAGAGGTACTCTGCAAAAGCCCACGCAGGAGCTCCAGGGAACCCCGATTTTAACTTGGTTGTCCTTAACAAAGAACCCTGAGGCTATTTATCTTGGGGTCCTGAGTTGCTAACAGAGATTCTAGACTCATCTGATATATGTGCCCTTCCCAGCCAAGCTTCAGTTAAATAAATAAATGACTCCCTTGCATCTTGACATTTTGGATATGTCAGAAAGAGAAGAAATAGAGAGTTCTACAATCCTCTGGATTGCCTGTGGCAGGATGCAGTGCTTGACTTTGAAAGCGTGATGTGTAGCTTGCAGAGAGAATGAATCTGTCCGGGTGGAGAAATGTGGATATATGTTTGACAAATCAATTCTGTTTCTTGGAGGAGAGGGGAGGCTCCCTCAGAGGTCAGGCAGCTCAATTACCACAGGCAAAGCAGGGCAGAGGAGGTCCTGCAGCATCAAGGGGCATCCTCACGTTGATGCTTGCACAGGGACTCACTGGCATCACCTGGTCGTCTGGGAGCCACCGCGGCAAGACTCTGAAATTAATGACATCCTCACCTCCACGAGCAGGTCCAGCCTCTGCCTTCAGTCTCACAGGTTCAGAAACATCTCTCAGCTAAAAGGCACAGAGCTCTCTGATAAATAGGGAAAGACTCCCATTGGATCAGAGGAGCCTGCCCAATAGTTGCTTTCTCCTGTCCGTTCAGCTGACTCTCCACCCCTAAGGTGCTCTCCTTGAATGCCCATGACTGGGGTCCTCTACCTCTTACCTGCAGGCAGAGGGAGCTGGCATTTTGGCGCCCAAGCAAGTTACAGTAATTATGCCCTCATATCAACAGCAGCACATTAAGAGGCAGAATACTATATAGATTAAGAATCTGGATTAAGATTGTAGAAGACAACGTGGCGATTCCTCAAAGGCCTGGAGGCAGAACTACCATTTGACCCAGCAATCCCATTACTGGGTATATACCCAATGGAATATAAATTGTTATATTACGAAGATACATGCATGCGTATGTTTATTGCAGCACAATTCACAAGAGTAAAGACATAGAATCAACCTAAATGCCCATCAAGGATAGACTGGATAAAGAAAATGTGGTACTAATACACCATGGAATACTATGCAGCCATAAAAAGAAATTAGATCATGTCCTTCGCAGGGAAACGGTTGGAGCTAGAAGCCATTATCCTCAGCAAACTAACGTAAGAACAGAAAACTCAACACCACATGTTCTTACTTATAAGTGAGAGCTGAACAATGAGAGCACATGGACACAGGGAAGGGAACAAAACACACTGGGGCCTGTTGGGGGATGGTAGGGGGAGAGAGAGCATCATGATAAATAGCTAATGCATACAGGGTTTAATACCTAGGTGATGGGTTGATAGGTGTAGCAAACCACCATGACACACATTTATCTGTGTAACAAGCCTGCACATCCTGCACATGTATCCCAGAACTTAAAATTAAATTAAATTAATTTTTTTTAAAAAAAGCTTATTGTAGTACTTACCTCAAAGGGTTATGATAATTAAATTAGTTAATACATATAGACCCCTGTTTTTTTTCTTTTAAAAAAAAATTTTATTGGCCAGACACAGTGGCATCACACCTATAATTCCAGTGTTTTGGAGGCTGAGGCAGGAGGATCACTTGAGCCCAGGAGTTCAAGACTAGCCTGGGCAACATAGAAAGATCCCATCTCTACAAAAATTAAAATGAAAAGTTAGATGGATGGAGTGTCACTTGCCTGTAGTCCCAACTACTCAGGAAGCTAAGGTGGGAGGATTGCCTAAGCCCAGGAGTTCAAGGCTGCAGTGAGCTATGACTGCACCACTGCACTCCAGCCTGGGTGATAGAGCAAGACCCTGTCTCTAAAGAAGAAAATATATATTCATTATAGTACTTAGTACTTAATTCAGAGGGTTATGAGAATTAAAGTCATTAATACATATAGACCACTGTTTTTTAAAAGTACATAGCAATTGATAAACATTAGCTACTGATATGGTTTGGCTGTGTCCCCAACCCAAATCTCACTTTGAATTGTCATAATCCCCACGTGTCAAGAGTGGGGCCAGGTGGAGGTAATGGAATCATGGGTGCAGTTTTCCCAACACTGCTCTTGTGATAGTGAATAAGTCTCATGAGATCTGATGGTTTTATCAATGGGAGTTTCCCTGCACAAGCTCTCTTACCTGCTGCCATGTAAGATATGCCTTTGCTTCTCCTTTGCTTTCTGCCATGATTGTGAGGCCTCCCCAGCCATGTGGAACTGTGAGTCCATTAAACCTCCTTCCTTTAAAAATTACCCAGTCTCAGGTATGTCTTTATTAGCAGCATGAGAACAGAAAAATACAGCTACTATTACTGTGGTGGTCATTAGTGTTGTTCAAATATTCCTTACTCTCTGTCTCCCAAGTACATGGTACATGATAGGATTCCTCCTGTATAGATAAGTCAATGAAATATCCACAGAAGTATCATATGTCATTTCCACACAGAAATTTTATTTTTTTAAGAACTGGGGCCGGGCATGGTGGCTCATGCCTGTAATTCCAGCACTTTGAGAAGCCAAGGTGGGTGGATCACCTGAAGTCAGGAGTTTGAGGCCAGCTTGGCCAACGTGATGAAACTCCTTCTCTATCAAAAATACAAAAATTAGCCGGGCATGGTGGCCCACACCTGTAATCCCAGCTACTCGGGAGACTGAGGTAGGAGAATTGCTTAAACCCACGGGGTGGAGTTTGCAGTGAGCCGAGATTGCGCCACAGTATTCCAGCCTGGGTGACAGAGCAAGACTCCATCTCAAAACAAAACAAAAAAAGAACTAGGGAGCAGTTCACCATATTCCTTCTTGGAAATGAAGGAATATGGAGACATGGAGAGGGAGCCTTCTTCAGGCTGAGTCCTTGAGTGGGGAGGGAGGACCTAGAGCCAGTGTCCCGCCCACCATAGGTGGACTCGAAGTAACCACAGAAAGTAAATCTCCACTGAAATTTTGAGTTGGTTTGCCACTTCAACATTATCTAGTCTATTCTGACTGAACATAAGCTAGTACCTAAAAATGAGGTGCTACCATAAAAAAAACTTCAAATTTAATTGACCCTTGAAAAATGCAGATTTGAACTGTGCCAGTCCACTTACATGTGGATTTTCATTCACCTCCGCCACCCCTGGGACAGCAAGACCAACCCCTCCTCTTTCTCCTCCTCCTTAGCCTCCTCAGTGTGAAGACAATGAGGATGAGAATGAAAACCTTGATGATGACCCACTCCCACTTAATGAACTACAGAGGTATTTTGTATTTTTTCTTCCTTATAACTTTTTTCTTCCTTCTTTCCTTCTTTCCTTCCTTCATTCCTTCCTTCCTCCTCTTCCTCCCTTTTTCCTTCCTTCTCTTCTTTCTTTCTTTTCTTTCTTTCTTTCTTTTTTCTTTCTTAGTTTATTTCCCTCTTTCTTGCTCTCTCTCTCCCTCCCTCCCTCCCTTCCTTCCCTCCCTTCCCCCTTCCTTCCTTCCTTCTCTCCCTCCCTTCCCCCTTCCTTCCTTCCTTCCTTCCCTCCCTCCCTCCTTTCTTTCTTTCTTTCTTTGTATTTTTTTTTTGTTTTGCTTTTTGTTTTTTTGGGTTTTTTTGTTTTTTTTTTTTTCTAAAACTGGAAATTCATTGTTAGAAGTTAACTTAGAACAAAATCAGCTTATAAGAATGTCCTATGGTATATCAGACCTACTGTCCATGACATCTCTGACTATCTTGCTTAGAGAACAGACCTTCACTTGGTCATTTAATTAGCTCAAGCCACCATGTTCAGAATCAGATATCCTTGACCTCCTGAGTATTAATCTGGAAACTCCACACAGTGTACAATATGTTCGTTTTAGGTTTGAGTATTTTTTTTTTTTTTTTTTTGAGACAGGGTATTGCTCTGTCACCAAGGCTGGAGTGCAGTGGAGCAATCATGGCTCATTGCAGCCTCAACCTCCTGGGCTCAAGTGATTCTCCTTCCTCAGCCTCCCAAAGTGCTGGAATTATAGGCATGAGCCACTCTACCTACCTAATGTATGTTATATTTTTGTAGCAATGAGGTCTCGCTTTGTTGCCCAGGCTGGTCTCAAACTCCTGGACTTGAGCAGTACTCCTGCCTCAGCCTCCCAAACTGCTGGGCTTACAGGCATGAACCACTGCATGTTTCTTAATGATACTTTCTTTTACTATCTTACTTTATTGTAAGAATACAGTATATAATACATATAACATTCAAAATATGTATTAATAAACTGTATATGTTATGGTAAAGTTTCAGGTCAACAGTAGGCTATTAGTAGTTAAGTTTTGGAAGAGTTAAAAGTTATATGTGGATTTTTAACTGTGTTAGGGGTCAGCTCTCCAACCCTCCCATACCCCCCTTCTCCATTGTTAGAGGGTTAACTGTATATAATATTTGCTTAGGATTCAGGGGGCGTACAATGAGGAAGCCATTATTGGAAGTTGGAATAATGGCAACCCTTGTCATGGAAGGCTAAATAGGTGGTAAAACTGTTACCTGCTATATACCAGAAAATATATGGTCTTTTTTGTTTTTTCGAGACGGAATCTTGCTCTGTAGCCCAGGCTGGAGTGCAGTGGTATGATCTTGGCTCACTGCAACCTCTGCCTCCCAGGTTCAAGTGATTCTCCTGCCTCAGCCTCCAGAGTAGCTGGAATTACAGGCACCTGCCACCACACCCAGCTCATTTTTGTGTTTTTAGTAGAGACAGGGTTTCACCATGCGTTGGCCAGGCTGGTCTCAAACTCCTGACCTCAGGCACCTCAGCCTCTCAAATTGCTGGGATTATAGGCATGAGCCACTGTGCCTGGCCTATAGCTCTTGAGAAAGAAGTTGGAAAACAAAATGTGTATGCTGGTTGCTCCTGGCTTCATTTGGCCAGGTAATACAAGAAAGAGAGTAGTTCAGAAAAGAAGTAGCCAGTTTACAGGTAGGGATGAATAGAAATGCAGAGTCCAGAAATGCAGAGACATGGAGATGTGGATGAATAAACATTAGAGATAAAATCAAGACATGCAAAGTTTAGTTAAGCCTTTGCAGCAAGAATCAAACCAACAGTTTGGCCTCGCACCAATTGTTGATATTTCTGAATGTCTGCAACTGTATTTGGAGGCTCAGTTCCACACAGAGATCCAGAAGATGGTCTGCACCTGTGGTTCAGAGGTGTTGTGGCCCACAATGACCCCAGGCTCAGTTCTAAGACCCAGGATTCTCCTTATTCTTGTGATCCATATCTGCTTCCCTGTCTTCTCTCACTTTCTGCCTCATATTCCCCATCCCTGTCTTTGTTCTATGTCAAAAATTCCAGCTGTTTTAACTCCGCTTTGCTCCTCTGTCTAGAGACCAGAGTCCTTCTCCTGATCCCTGATCCCCATGATTCTGTCTCTGCCAGCTACTACCAGGCCTTTGGGATGCTGCCTACTAGGGCCTCTGAATATGACTGTGGCCAGGCAATCCTGAATCTGTGACACTGGCCTGTTGTCCTGGGCTCTCTCTAGTTGGTCAATTCACAAGCCACAACTTAGTCACTGGGATATGATGACCACCAGCTCACTGTTCCCCAAGAGCTCCAACTCTGATCTTACCTTTGTCTAAACTTGGTGCCCTCAGATCACCTGAGGTCAGGAGCTTGAGACCAGCTTGGGCAACATGGTGAAACTCCATCTCTACTAAAAATATAAAAATTAGCTGAGCAAGGTGGCACACGCTGTAGTCCCAGCTACTCGGGAGGCTGAGGCAGGAGAATCTGAGAGAACCTGGGAGGCAGAGGTTGCAGTGAGCCAAGCTCACACCATTGCACTCCAGCCTGGGTGACAGAGCGAGACTCCCTCTCAAAATAAATAAATAAATAAATAAATAAACAAATAAATAAACTTGGTGCCCAAAGCTGCCCATTATGGTCCAGATGGCATTGCACAAGGGCAAAGTGCAGTGAGACTGTCACACTCTTCCCTAATGCACAACTGCTGTTAATGCAACCTAAGATTTCTCTAGCTGTTTTCTCAGGTTTGTGGTTTTCTTGCAACCCACCTAGCTGCTCCTCCGCACGCAGCCAGCATCTTGAAAGCTCCAGATCCTGACATGTTTGCTCTGTTAGACCCCACATCTTAGCTTATTGCACTCCGCTTCTAGGCTTCCTGATCCCCCCGGCTCCTGACCTCAAAGTCTTCCCTGAAGCTCTGATGAGACCATAGCTCCTCTCTGATGGGACCTATGGCTCCATTTCCAGACCAAAATTCTCACTTATTCCTTTGAATTATATCTGCTTCCAGCAAATGGAACACCCCAGCCCAGGTCAACCTGGTCTTCGGACCTATCTTGAGATGCTTCATGCAGTTGACTCTTTCACTGAGTGCACTCCAACTCAGCAAAGAAGTTGAATGCTTGCACATCCTCGCTTCAAATGAACTTGTGATCCACAAAAATGCCAAGGTGTTTTTCACACAAACAGCTTTCAAGACACCAGTATCTGGCCAGGTGCAGTGGCTCATGCCTGTTATCCCAGCACTTTGCGGGGGCAAGGCAGGTGGATCACTTGAGGTCAGGAGTTCAAAACCAGCCTGGCCAACATGGTGAAACCCTGTCTCTACTAAAAATACAAAAATTAGTTGGGCATGATGGCAAGTGCCTGTAATCCCAGCTACCTGGGAGGCTGAGGCAGGAGAATGGCTTGAAACTGGGAGGGAGAGACTCCGTCTCCAAAAAAGAAAAAAAAAAGACACCAATATCCCTCATATTCTATCTGAATACTTAATTTGCTGTGCCTATATTGAATTTTTAATAACTTATTTTAGAGCCATTGGGCGCAAAATTAAATTAATCACAATCCTTGGTGATTGACACACTGTCTATGTGGAGTCTAGACTGGTCTTCCTCTGATTTATTTCATTAATACTTATTTACATATCAATTCATTAAGTTTCAAAAAAATATTGCTCACACATATAATCTCAGCACTTTGAAAGGCCAAGGTCTTTCAAGAATCACTTGAGGCCAGGAATTTGAGACCAGCCTGGGCAACACAGCAAGACCCTGTCTCTACAAAAAGAAATTAATTAACTAGAGATAGTGGCATGCACCTGTAGTCCCAGCTACTCAAGAGGCTGAGGTGGGAGACCCTGATTCTAAAATATGTTTCTTTCTTTCTTCTTTCTTTTCTTTTCTCTCTTTCTTTCTTTCTTTTTTCTTTCTCTTTCCTTCTTTCCTTCTTTCTTTCTTTTTTTCCTGTGTGACAGGGTCTTGCTCTGTCACCCAGGCTGCAACACAGTGGCATGATCGTAGCTGACTGCAGCCTTGACCTCCTGGGCTCAAGCAATCCAGCCTCTCAAGTAACTAGGACTACAGATGTGTTCCACCATACTTGGCTAATTTTTTTTTTTTTTTTTTTTTTTTTTTTTTGTTAAGACAGGGTCTCGCTGTGTTGCCCAGGCTGGTCTCAAACTCCTGGCCTCAAGCAGTCCTCCCACCTGGGTCTCACAAAGTGTTGGGATTACAAGCATGAGCCACTGTGCCCAGCCCATATTTCCCAGTGTCTGTAAGTGTGTTTAGAGGCTCAGCTCTATACAGGGAGTCAGAAAAGGGTCTGCACCTCCGGTTCAGAAGGCTTGTAGCCTACTATGACTCCAGGCTCAATTCTAAAACCCAGAGTTCTCCTTCTATATATTTAGCGAGGACACATGAACCAAGGATCAAACTCCAAAAATGAGTTTTTTTTTTTTTTGAGGCATGAGCCACTGCACCAGGCCGCAAAAATGAGTACTAAAAACAAACTATATCAGCCAGGCGAGGTGACTTACATCTGTAATCCCAGCACTTTGGGAGGCCGAGGCAGATGGATCACCTGAGGTCAGGAGTTCGAGACCAGCCTGGCCAACATGGTGAAACCCCATCTGTACCAAAAATACAAAAATTAGCTGGGCATGGTGGCGCGTGCCTGTAGTCCCAGCTACCCAGGAGTCTGAGGTGTGAGAATTGCTGGAACCCGGGAGGCAGAGGCTGCAGTGAGCCAAGATCACACCACTGCACTCCAGCCTGGGCGACAGAGCAAGACTCCATCTCAAAAATAAATAAATAAATAAATAAATAAATAAATAAATAAATAAACAAACAAACTATATCTAAAAGAATTGAAATCATTTAAAAAATTTAAAATGAAAGAGTGGGTAAAAAACTTACCCGTGTCTTTTGGGGCATGCATTCCTTATCCCATCCTACTGGTGTACAACTGGTACCAGTAAAGAAATATCGCCTTTTTTTTTTTTTTTTTTTTTTTGAGACGGAGTCTTGCTCTGTCACTCAAGCTGGAGTACACTGGCGAGATCTTGGCTCATTGCAAGCTCCGCCTCCCGGGTTCACGCCATTCTCCTGCCTCCGCCTCCCGAGTAGCTTGGACTACAGGCATCCGGCTAATTTTTTTATTTTTAGTAGAGACGGGGTTTCACCGTGTTAGCCAGGATGGTCTCGATCTCCTGACCTCGTGATCCGCCCGCCTCGGCCTCCCAAAGTGCTGGGATTACAGGCGTGAGCTGCCGTGCCCGGCCAATACCGCCTAATATTTTCTTGGGTTATTCATGCTGCCTTTATCCGACCCTTGCTTTTTTTTTTTCTGAATGCAAACAAATTCCCAGATGCCCAGCTGGTCTGACTTTAGGCAACTTTGAGCTTTTGTTCTTTCCTGACTCCGGTGTTAACCCAGGCACCCCTTGTTATTTGTCCACTCAGTGCCGTGCGCGAGGGGCAGTGTCATCTTTCCAGGCTTAGATTTACCTAGTACACCTTCCTTGCGACATCTCTTCTACTCGCCATGGCTTCCCTCCTGATTTTTCTTCTTCCTGCTTGTTCCCACAGAACATTCGTTTGCCAGCGTCCCATTTTAGAACACTTTCGGTCTTTAGAAAAACCCACGGTTTGGTTCTTTTGAACCTGAACGTGAAAATTCACACAGCCGTGTTCCTATCTATATGCAAAGTTACATCCCATTGTGTCACCCCTGACATTCCAGCTTGCCTGGCTTGCATGCCTGACCAATTGTCAACTGTCTAATTTTTCTTCACAATCAATAGAAGCCTGAGAAAAAGATATGCTAACATCTGCTGAGTTATTAGGCAACTCATTATTATATGAATTCACTACTGGGGTTTTCTGCAGAAAGAGAAATGCTTCTGAGAGAGAAGCATCTCCTCAAATCTTCCCCAGGAAGAGAGTTCACAGGGGGCTCTAGATTCATCTATTCATTGGGGAATTGATGCAGGCAAATCTCATAAATGTCAAAGGAAAATGCATTCAAGATGCTTCCTTTGGTACATTTCTAAGGGCAACAAAGCTCATGCTTAAAAGGCAGTAAGGTGACACCTTAGCAGGTAACTATAAATGGAGAAAGGAACAGAGATAAAGAATGTGTGGGAAGAATGGAGAGGGGAAAGAGAGAGGGGGAGAGAGAGAGGGAAAAAGAGGGAGGGGGAGAGAAATAAGAAAGGGAGATGGGGAGAGAGAAAGAGAGGGAGAGAGGAGGAGAAGTGGGGGGGAAAGAAAAGGAGGGAGAAAGAAAAAGAAAGTGGGAAGAGAACGGGAGAGAGAAGAGAGGAGAGAAAGAGAGGGTGGGAGGGAGAGGAGAGAGAGAAAGAGAAGGAGGGGAAAAGAGAAAGAGGGGGAGAGAGAGATAAAAAAAGAGAGCAAGGGGGAGAGAGAGAGAAAGAGGGAGAGAAGAACAGAAAAAGACAAAGGGAGACAGAAAGAAGCGAGGAAGGGAGAAAGTGAAAGAGGGAGAGGGAGAGAGGAGAGAGAAAGAAAGGAGAGAGAGAGCAGGGAGACAGAGGGATGGGGGAGAGAAAGAGAGGGAGAGAGAAGGGAGAGAAGGGGAGAGAGAGAGGGAGGGGGAGAAGGGAGAGAGAAAGAGAAGGAAGCAGAAAGAGAAAGAGAGGGGAGAGAGAGAAACAAGAAAGGGAAGGAGAGAGGGAGAGAGAGAATGAGGGGGAGAGAAGAAGAGAGAGAGAGGGAGAGAGAAAGGGAGAAGGGAGAGAGAAGGGGGGAGAGACAGAGAGAAAGAGGGGAGAGGGAGGGGAGGGGGAGGGCGGGAGGCAGAGGGATGGGGAGGGAGAGGGAGAAAGAGAGATGGAGAGAGAGAAAGAGAGGGAGAGAAGGAGAGAGAGAAAGAGAAAATGAGAAGTGAAAGGAGACAGAGAAAAGGGGAAGAGGCAGGGGGATGGAGAGAGAGAAAGAAAGAGAGAAAGGGAGAAAGAGATAAAGAGAAGTGGGGAGAGAGAGAGGAAGAAAGGCAGGGAGAGAGGGAGAGAAGAAGAGGTGGGAGAGAGGGAGAGAGGAGAAAAACCCAACAGAGGAGCAAGCCATGGGTTGAAATCTACTCAAGACACTGTAGACTCGTCCTGCAGGCTCGCTGCAAGGAAGGTGCTGGGAAGAACAACAAGAGCCCATGAGATACAGGGTCTGTTGTGCCACCAAGCTGACCACCACTGGGTAGGGAGGGGCCGGGAAACACACACAGGCCTGTGAGTCCATCAGGGAGCTACTCACAGGAGGGCAGCTCCTGTGGCTGGTGAGCAGACTCATTAGCCAGCCTCATAAATGTTAGCAGTTGTATACATAATCCAGAAATACAGGTCGTGAATTACATGACAAAGCTGGAATGTAAGACCAATAAAATCTTATAACTAATCATAAATTTTCATCATAGATGAGTATTCTGGGTAACAAAGTGGTTGTCATGTCACACACTGGGCCCAGAACAAGCACACGCTTGGATCTGAAATGAGTCAAAAGAGACCTTTTCACAACACATTACCTGGAACAACAAAAATGTTCAGATTCACGACCATTGAATAATACAATTTTCTTTTAAGAAATAGGGTCTCACTCTTTTGCCCAGGCTGGAGTGCAGTGGTGCAATCATAGCTCGCTACAGCCTCGAATTCCTGGACTCAAGGGATTCTCTTCCCTCGGCCTCCTGAGTAGCTGAGACTACAGGTGTGTGCCACCACTGCCCTCAGTTAATTTTTATTTTTACTTTTTGCAGAGATGGGGTCTTGCTTGCTACGTTGCCCAGGCTGGTCTTGAACTCCTGGCCTCAAGCAATCCTCCTGCCTTGGCCTCCCAAATTGCTAAGATTACAGGTGTGAATCACTGTGTCCAGCCATAAACAGATATAATTTTTAAAAGAAAAGCTTTTCTGCTTTCCCCTGTGCAAACTGCTTTTTCCTTATCCTCATCTTCCCCCAAACAAAAAGAAAACAACAACAAATAAAAAAGAAACACCTAAATCATCAAGTGAATCAATCATTAAGCAAATTTAACTTCAGTAAATCATTCCTAACTCTGTCGTCCTTCCATTAAGTAGCAGTTAATCATCAATGTCCTCACTTCTTTCAATTACCTCGTATGTGATTCCACCCAGACTCAGAAACCACCCACAGAATTAAGTCTACACAGAGTTTTTTAAAGGACTTGGAATGATATGATGCCAATAAATGGTTCTGAAAGTCAAAAGGACAAACTGAACCATCAACCAAGAATCAAGAAATGAATTAATACAGGAGCTTGTCATCCGTAGGACAAGAGTGAAGACATCAGAATTGGGTATACTACTAACTCCAACTTTCACCAGTAGATTCAAAACTGTTCTTTTTTTTTTTTTGTCAGAGAGAGGGTCTTGCTGTGTCACCCAGGCTGGAGTGCAGTGGTGCAATCATGGCTAACTGCAGCCTCGAACTCCTGGGCTCAAGTGATCCTTCCACCTTGGCCTCCTGAGTAGCCAGGACTACAGGTGCGGGCCACCACAGCTGGCTATTTTTTTATTTTTTGTAGAGATAGGGTCTCACTATGTTGCCCAGGCTGGTCTTGAACTCCTAGCCTCAATCAATCTTCCCACCTTGGCCTTCCAGAGTGCTGGGATTATAGGCATGAGCATCTATGCTTGACCTCTTTTTATTTTTTATATAATTTTTTTTGAGATGGAGTCTCACTCTGTTACCCAGGCTGGAGTGCAATAGCCTGATCTTGGCTCATTGCAACCTCCGTCTCCCGGGTTCAAGCAATTCTCCTGCCTCAGCCTCCCAAGTAGCTGGGATTACAGGCGTGTACCACCACTCCCGGCTAATTTTTGTGTTTTTAGTAGAGATGGTGTTTCACCACGTTGACCAGGCTTGTCTCGAACTCCTGACCTCAGGTGATCCGCCTGCCTCGGCCTCCCACAGTGCTGGGATTATAGGTGTGAGCTACCGCGCCCAGTCCTCTTTTTTTGAGACGGAGTCTCGCTCTGTCACCCAGGCTGGAGTGCAGTGGCGTGATCTCGGCTTACTGCAAGCTCCACCTGCCAGGTTCACACCATTCTCCTGCCTCAGCCTCCTGAGTAGCTGGGACTACAGGCTCCCGCCACCGTGCCCGGCTAATTTTTTTTTTTTTGTATTTTTAGTAGAGACGGGGTTTCACCATGTTAGCTAGGATGGTGTTGATCTCCTGACCTCGTGATCCTCCTGCCTCGGCCTCCCAAAGTGCTGGGATTACAGGCATGAGCCACTGCGCCCGGCCCTGGCCCTCTTTTTATTTTTTGATTCAGCCTAGCAGTTGCTCTTCAGTTTTATTTCATTTTGCTTTTGTGCATGGTGGATCCGCCTACTCTGGTTGACAGGGTACTGTCCCATGGAGTACAGGTAACAAATGGTGCTGGCGGTTTTGAGACGTCACAGTCCTCAAAGCAGCTAGGGAGTCAGAAATTACATGTTAAGTGCAGTTTTTAGTTCCCTGGATATGAAATACCCACTACTATATATTTGAGGACTGACTTACCTAAGTCCTAGTGAATAAAAAGAGAGGAAAAGAAAGACCAAAATCATAAGGCAAAATCTAATCAAGTGCTAGTTTTGAGGCATGATCTAATTATTTGACAGCTTGTATGTGCCTTTGAAAGGCTCGATAAGGCCAGGTGTAGTGGTTCATGCCTGTAATCCCAGCATTTTGGGAGGCCGAGGCAGGAGGATCACGAGGTCAGGAGATCAACACCATCCTAGCTAACATGGTGAAACCCCGTCTCTACTAAAAATACAAAAATTAGCTGGGCTTGGTGGCGCACACCTGTAGTCCTGCTACTAGGGAGGCTGAGGCAGGAGAATCGCTTGAACCCAGAGGTGGAGGTTGCAGTGAGCCAAGATCGTGCCACTGTACTCCAGCCTGGTGACAGAGTGAGACTCCGTCTCAAAAAAAAAAAAAAAAAAAAAAGTCTTGATAAATAGATTCCCCCAAACCCCGTTTTAGTCTTCCTGCTCTTTCTCCTTGTTCTAAACAGGAAGAACAAATTCTGATGATTGTGAATGAGAAGACACAGTCCCTGGTGGGATGAAAACTTGTAATTCTATTTCACCCCATTCATAAACCTTCCTAGGTAAGCTATTGGTTGGATTCTAGTTCTGAATTATTCAGAGGAGACAGCATTGAAATATCATGTGAAATAAGAGAGAGCCTGTAATACATATTTAGTATTCTTTTAATCTGCTGTCCTATGTCAAACCTCCCTAATCCTCCCTGCTCCCCCAGGCTCAGTAATCTCTCCAGTGACACACACACAACCCACTCTAAATAATCCCCTCACTTCTTCTGCAGCAGAAGGCAGCCTTCTTTAACAGATTTCATTCCCATAATGTAATACAATCCTTCTTTTAAAAAGCTATTTTTAAAACGAACAGTTGCTTTCGAGGAAAATTATAAATAGTACCTCATTAATTGGGACCCAGCCTCAATAACGGTATGTATGTGAGAAGGCTGTAAAAACATGTCACATCGGATCCCTTAAGAGCACAGATAATTTGAGTGTTATCACAATCGTTCTTCCACCCTAAGGGTCTGGGTGGCCCACTTCTAAAACAGATGTATTTTAAAAGAGTTTGGTTTAAGTGGGACCAACTTAAAATGAATTAGCAAATGAAATCCAGGAGCACATTTAGGTAGGAAAGACTACAGTAGGGTGAGACTGTATAGAAATGGAAAGTATATTTCACTACAACAGAGATAGAAACGTTGTTGTGTTTTGTATCTTCCAACAGTGGGCAATGGACAAATTCATGTTATATAAGGAAGGATTGAAAGAATCAGGAAAGGGGCCGGGTGCGGTGGCTCATGCCTGTAATCCCAGCACTTTGGGAGGCCGAGGCGGGCAGATTACGAGGTCAGGAGATCGAGACCATCCTGACCAACATGGTGAAACCCCATCTCTACAAAAAATACAAAAAATTAGCCGAGTGTGGTAGCCCGCGCCTGTAATCTCAGCTACTCCAGAGGCTGAGGCAGGAGAATTGCTTGAACCCGGGAGGCAGAGGTTGCAGTGAGCCAAGATCGCACCACTGAACTCCAGCCGGGTGACAGAGCAAGACTCTGTCTCAAAAAGAAAGAGAAAGAAAGAAAGAAAGAAAGAAAGAAAGAAAGAAAGAAAGAAAGAGAGAGAGAGAGAGAGAGAGAGAAAAAGAAAGAAAGAAAGAAAGAAAGAAAGAAAGAAAGAAAGAAAGAAAGAAAGAAAGAAAGAAAGAAAGAAAGAGAGAGAGAAAGAGAGAGAGAGGATGGAAGGAAGGAAAGGAAGGAAGGAAGGAAGGAAGGATGGATGGATGGATGGATGGATGGATGGATGGATGAGGAAACGATTCACCTAGAGAAAGGGGTAGTGATTAAATGCCACTCTTTGGGATACAGAAGAGGAAAGGTGGGGTGGAGGAGGAAGAAGACAGAATTAGGAGAGAAGGAAGACAGAGGGGAGAAGAATAAGATCAGCATCTTCAATACTCAAAGAAAACAATATATTAAGAAAGGAAGCAGACTTAATCTGTGAGGCCCCAGAGAGCAGGATTAGAATGTACAAACATTTTCGGCTGGGTGCGGTGGCTCATGCCTGTAATCCCAGCACTTTGGGAGGCCGAGGCAGGTGGATCACCTAAGGTCAAAGTTCAAGACCAGCCTGGCATGATGAAACCTCGTCTCTACTAAAAGTACAAACAAAATTAGCTGGGTGTGGTAGTGGACGCCTGTAATCCCAGCTACTCGGGAGGTTGAGGTGGGAGAATCACTTGAACCCAGGAGGCGGAGGTTGCAGTGAGCTGAGATCGTGCCACTGCACTCCAGCCTAGGTGACAGAGTGAGACCCCATCTCAAATAAAAATAAAAATAAAAACGTACAAGCACAGTTACAATGAGCAAATATTTCAGGTCTGCATAAGAAAGTGCTTTCTGGTCATCAGAGCTAAGATGGGATATGTTCTATGGTTGTGAGCACCCCATCAGCAGAAGCATCCAAGCTCTTCACAAAGGGATTTCCCTATAAACTCTGAGATTCTATGATTTTCTGATCACATCAAGTGAACAGATCTACAGTAAAATCAGTAACACAAGGAAGATACATCGATTCCTGTTATTCACAGAAATTCCATTCCATAAAGCCACGGCAAAGCCTGAATTATCAAATACTGAACCATCGCTCCTAGAAGTACAGAGTTAGGTTCCCTCAAGCTTCTGGCTGTAATATTTTCATCAGCTGATCAATACATACATTTGCTTTTTGTGTGTTTCTTTTAAAGATACTTTTTATTTTATTTCGTTTTATTTTATTTTTTGAGACAGGTTCTCACTGTGTCATCCAGGCTGGAGTGCAGTGGTGCAATAATAGCTCACTGAAGACTCAAACTCCTAGAAGAAAATAATAATAATAGTAATAATAATAAAAAGACTCAAACTCCTGGGCTCAAGCGATCCTCCCACCTCAGCCTCAAGAGTAGCTGGGATTACAGCTGTGCACTACTATGTCTGGCTATATATATATATATATATATTTTTTTTTTTGAGATGGAGTTTCGCGTTTTTGCCCAGGCTGGAGTGCAATGTCACTTTTCTCAGCTCACTGCAACCTCCGCCTCCCAGGTTCAAGTGAATCTCCTGCCTCAGGCTCCCAAGTAGCTGGGATTACAGGTGCCTACCACCACGCCTGGCTAATTTTGTATTTTTAGTAGAGACAGGGTTTCTCCATGTTGGTCAGGCTGGTCTCAAACTCCCGACCTCAGGTGATCTGCCCACCTTGGCCTCCCAAAGTGCTGGGATGACAGGTGTGAGCCACCGTGCCCAGCCTGCCTGGCTATATTTTTTGTACAGATAGGGTCTCACTATTTTGCCGAGGCTGGTCTCAAACTCCTGGGCTCAAGCAGTCCTCCCACCTTGGCCTCCCAAAGTGCTGAAATTGCAGGCATGAGCCACCATTCCTGGGCTAAGAGGATTCTTTGTGATCTCAGTAACACCTACATTTTCCCCTTGGGGAACAAAAGTAGCTCATGAAAACTGGCCTATCTGTGTGGCATCAGCACCCGCACTGACCACATCACGTTCACACACATCTCCAAAATAAGAACATGATAATCACCACTGGACTCTCACTTATTAACAAGCCAAGTGTAGATTTCACATTTCTGAAGACAGGCAGAAACAGAGAGATATGAACATGAAAAAACGTTTTGATTTTTTTTCCCAAATTCAAACAACATGGCCAAAAGATGAGATCCTCCTTGAGAACAATGAACTTATTTATACTGAGTATTCTGCAAGGATGAATGATTGCTTCATTATACAAGCAAGCAGTATTTACCTTTTGGCCCAGTGCAGTGGTTTATGCCTATAATCCCAGCACTTTGCAGGGCAGAGGTGGGCAGATTGTTTGAGTCCAGAAGTTCAAGACCATCCTGGGCAACATGACAAAACCCCATCTCTACAAAAACATACAAAAAATTAGCCAGGTGTGGTGGCATGTGCCTGGAGTCCCAGCTACCCGGGAGGCCAAGGTGAGACGATCACCTGAACCAGGAAGGCAGAGGCTGCGGTAAGCCATGATCACACCACTACACTCCAGCCTGGGTGACAGTGAGACCCTATCTCAAAAATGAATAAATGGGCCAGGTGCGGTGGCTCATGCCTGTAATCCCAGCACTTTGGGAGGCCAAGGCGGGCGGATCACAAGGTCAGGAGATCAAGACCATCCTGGCTAACACAGTGAAGCCCTGTCTCTGCTAAAAATACAAAAACAAATTAGCCAGGAGTGGTGGTGGGCACCTGTAATCCCAGCTACCCAGGAGGCTGAGGCAGGAGAATGGCATGAACCCAGGAGGTGGAGCTTGCAGTGAGCCGAGATTGCACCACTGAACTCCAGCCTGGGTGACAGAGCGATACTCTGTCTCAAAAAATAAATAAATAAATAATAAACAAATGAAATGTTAAAAGCAAACAGAATTTACCGTTTTATGGATTTTCATGGAATGGTGTGTGCACATTTATTGTTAGTTCATAATAAATTGCAAGAATTGAGCCTTTGGGAGCTAAAAGGGTGCTCGATGGTAATCCAGCCTCAATGAACTCTCTCTGGGGTTGGCTGAGGACTGGCTGGTATAAAGGACAAGACTAACAAACAGTGGCCACTGGGGCAGATGTGGCAGCCCCTGTAGTTCTTTCCAGCCACAGTGGCCATGGCAGGAACCACTCTGGCTCTCAGATTCTCCAGAATCAGCCAAGTCCACTGGGTACAGAATGCTGAGGGCACTATTCACATGCTTGCCTGGCCAGAAAAAGGATGCTTCATGCTCATGGGACTGGCACTCACATGGACTATAGTGTGAAGGGTTCCTCTTGCAGTCCCACAAACCAAGCAGTGGTCCCAACAGGGAGATGAACATCAGTGCTGGAAGAGACTTGTTGGTCACCTAGCTCCTTACCTGTACATGATCCTTTATACTTTCTCAAAAAGGTCACCTCGTTATTACAAATATACCATCCCTTCTATGACCTGGATCCTGTTTCTCTCTGTAGGCTCATTGTTTGCCACTCTTTGCATAGATTGGGCATTTTTGCAGTGTCCTCAGTGGGCCAGGTTATTTTTAAAAACCACAGGGCCTTTGCCTATGCACTGTCAGTTGCTTAGAATGCCCTTGTCCTCTTGTTGTAGGATTGCCAGGTTTGTGTGCCTGCTGTGCAATGACATACGAATACACCGAGACAGCAGAGTTTGCATTAGAGAAAGAGTTTAATGATTGCAGGGCAGCCAAGCGAGGAGACAGGAGGAACCCTCAAATCTGTCTCTCCAAAGAGTTCTGGGTTGGGATTTTGTTTTTTTGTTTTTTTGTTTGTTTGTTTGTTTGTTTTTGAGACAGAGTCTTGCTGTGTTGCCCAGGCTGGAGTGCCGTGGCATGATTTCAGCTCCCTGCAACCTCTGCCTCCCAGGTTCAAGCAATTCTCTGCCTCAGCCTCCCAAGTAGCTGGAATTACAGGTATGTGCCACCATGCCCAGCTAATTTTTGTATTTTTAGTAGAGACGGGGTTTCACTGGGTTGGGATTTTATAAGGGGATCCTGGAGGGCAAGGGGCTGGAAAATTAGGGTCATTGACTGGTCAGGGAAAGGGAGATAAAATCATCAAGATGTGGAAACTGCATTCTTTGGTGAGTCAGCTCCTCTTGGAATCCTTCAGACCAGTGGATGTCGGTAGCTTCACTGGTATGCAGAACCTGAAAGAATATCTCAAAGGAAAAGCTTAACACTTCACAAAGCAGTTAAGGGGAACCATAATCTCGTGACAGGGTCTATGTGATTCTAGGACAAGAGGCGCCAAACAGCTGTGAGCAAGCAAGTTGGAGAGCAAGCAAGGTGACCTCATGATGAACCCTGAATGTGCTGCAAGCTTGGTTTATCTTCATTTCTCCCCTACTCTTCTTCCCTGATTAATTTTATAAAGTTTATAGGGACAGTGTCACTCTCACCTCCTGAGTATCTCCTACTTCTCCTTCAGGAATCAACCATGCTATCAACAGCTAGGGCTCTTATACCCTGACTCAATTGGTTTAAAGAATAGCAAAGATGTATTATCTCACAAAAGAGGAAGTCTCAAGACAAGAGGGTTCTGCAGTGGGTACATTTAGCTGCTCAAAAATGTCAAAGATGGTATTTCCATCTTTCTGCTCCATCATCCTCTGCCTGTCTTATCAGTTCCTGCAATGTTCATGGATAGCTGCCACAAGTCTAGACAAAACTTGTGGTCACAGCAGTTTCCCAAGGAAGAAAAGGCTCTATTTCACCCTGTGTGCCTCTCTTTAAGAGTGAGGAAACATTTCTCAGAATCCTTCATTGGACTTTCTCTCAATTCTCAGTGACCAGCATTGTGTAACAAACCCATGCCTAAATCAATCACTAGCAAGAGAAGGATTACTGTGATAGGATTAGCAAAGCAGGGATTACAGAAACAGAATTAAGTCCACTAGAAAAGGTGATGGTTTGGGGCTGACAACCAACACTATTTTCTGCAATCTCCCCCCACCATTGTTGCTTTAGGTGACTATGTGCGACCACTTCTCTCTATTATTTCCTCTATCACAAACCTGAACCCCTTATACAATAATTGACCATTTGCCTAAATATTAACGCTATAATCTTTGAGATTCCTAAAGCCAGACATGATGGCTTATTCACCATTATATCCTAGAACCTAGTAGATGCTTGGGGCTTCAGAATGAATGAATGGATGAATATGAGAATAACGCATGGCTGACAGCATAGGTAAAAAATAACCCTCTAATGTAGGCATTCTTTTTCCCATTCTGTCAGAGGTGTTTGAACCAAAGTGACTCCATCTTGAAGAACAGGCTGGATAAAATGAGATGGAGACCTGCTGGGCTGCACTCCCAGGAGGTTAGGTATTCTTAGTCATAGGATGAGTGAGGAGGTCAGCACAAGATACAGGTCACAAAGACCCTACTGATAAAACAGGATACAGTAAAGAAGTTGCCCCAAACCCAACAAATCCAAGATGGCGACAAAAGTGGACTCTGGTCATCCTCACTGCTCATTATACGCTAATTATAATGTATTAGCATGCTAAAAGACACTTCCACCAGCACCATGACAGTTTACAAAGCCATGGTAAGAATCCAAAGTTACCCTGTATAGTCAAAAAGGGGGAGGAGCCCTCAGTTCTGGAGAATTCCTGCCCCTTTTCCAGAAAACTCATGAATAATCCACCCCTCGTTTAGCAAATGATCAAGAAATAACCATAAAAATAGCCAACCAGCAGCCTTATGAATAGCTATTCTTTTATTTCTTTACTTTCTTAATAAACCTGCTTTTACTTTACCCTGTGAACTTGCCTCAGATTCTTTCTTGCATGAGGTCTGAGAACCCTCTCTTGGGGTCTGGATCAGAACCCCTTTCCAGTCACAATTCTACCCCAGGACAAACTCTCTTCCAGAAAGAATGAAAGATTTCTTCATCCTCATATGCAAAGGAGCAGATCCAGAACTTAACTTCAGAGTTTCTGACTCCACGTTGAACGTTGGATCCAACAGAAATGAGGGAAAGAAGGCCAGAGTATTAAATAACAGCACAGAGTAGCAATGCTTTTTAAAAATAATTTTGTTAACATGCACCAGGACTGTTTAAAATGTTGGGTATAGACACACAGAGATAATCCGAAGACTTTTTTTCCACCTGACTCAAATCTGACTCTGCCTTTAGCTTTTTTCATCCTAGAAACATTTATATAACAAATGGATCCCAATCTTTTGAGGATTCAGTTTGCAATCCTTGACAAATTAAGGACCCTGAAGAATCAATTATTTTTACTTATCTCTCAGGCTGGAGGGGAAGGAGCCCTATATTTCTGGAACTTTGGCTTTGAAACCTCTTGAAAGCATTACAGAAAACGCAAGGGAATTAGACAATAAGGATTCTTTCAAAACAGTAGGATTTAAAGGATCTTATTACCTACTTCATAATCTTACCTTAAGGCTATAGAAAGTATTAATTGGAGCAAAGACATCCAAACGGGAACAGCAACTGTAAGTCATCTATACTGTTAAAGTCAGTCTTTTATCTCTTTAATTTGTTACATTGCCTCACCCTTGGCATCTCTTTCAGATAAACCTACCCGACTCCTGACTCCCTGGAGTTATGGGTATTTTTTTTTCTTCTGGGCATAGAGAAGGAAAAAAAATTAAAAAGAGCCAGGCCAAGCGAATCAATGGCACTTCAAATCCCATTTCCTGCCTTGATCAGTGGTTGATCCCTTTCGAGGAAAGTGGGATGGAGAAAGGAGCAGGCAGGCTCCAGGCAACTGGAAAAACTCACTCCAGGTATCTCTAGAGGAAGCTTGCACATGGCCTGCATCCCAAGCACCCAATTCTTACAAGCAATAATATCCCTTTTCTGTACAGATAGTGCGAAATGCTTTAAAATAAGTTGGAACGGCTGACAGCCCCTCTGATAAATGAAAACAGAATGTACTAATCAGATCCTGTTGTTCCTCTGTGGCTAGGCCAGAAAACCACCTTCATCCCTCTCATACATTTCTGTAGTAAGATCAGAAATACTTATTTTTTTATTTGAAGTAATAATCTTTGGCCAAAAATGCTATAATCCCGTAGAAAACGCAGAGGAAAAAGCATCTTCAATCTTCTGAAAGGGGACAAAAAGCAAAATCCACTCCTGTTATAGAAAAATTTTTCTTGGTAGAATTTCCTCTCCCCATTTGTTAAAGGTTTCTGAGTGTATTCACCTAGTGTATAATTCTTTTTTTTTTTAAATAAATGCTACCTTTTTGAGAGCAATCTAGGCTGCCAAAATATTTCTCCAGTTGAAGTCCTTGAATCAATTGGCTTAGGGGCTTGTTAAAAATGCAGATTCTAGGGCGCCACTCTCAGATCTACTGGCTGCAAATCTCTGAGGGATAGGGCCAGATATTGGAAATGTCTCAACCTCTTTGGGAAGTTCCTATGCATGTAAAAATTTGAAAACCACTGGCAGGATAAATTAATTCATGGGCTTTGGAGCCAGAAGAAAACAGGATTTGAATCTGACCCTACCTTCCCAGTTTAATAAACAAGGGAAATCAGCTACCATGAAGAAAGCAGATGCATTTAATCCTTCTTGATTTAATTAGGTAAACAAAAGTTCTAGATGAATATCAGTGGCTCTAGGATGTCAGTTTCACAAAGATTTTATAGATTATAGTCAACTAACTTTATTTAATAAAGAGAGACTAGCCCTTTTAGGGAAACGCTGTGTTCCATGTAACTGACTTACATAATTTTTGTATCCATCTTTCTCAACGCCTGTCATTTCACCATAAGTTGTGAGTTAGGTGTGCCCTTTTGATTCTCACAGGTTCTGGCTATATCTGCATGTTAGACACTACAGAATAATTGCTGTTAGTAAAAGATGACTTGAATTTCAACAGTCAATCTCTCTGATATTTTGACAGATTCTAAACTTAGAAATAGCCAAAGAGCTGACCTGAGAAAGCCTGGGATCTGGGTGCTGGGTGTTTTGATTGGTAAGAATTTCAATCTTTTTTTTCAGTCTAGTTGACACTCAGCAGAACCAAGGCCCCTGTATCTAGTGAAATTGCATTAAGGAGTGGATTTTTGTATTTCTTAAAATTACACTGATTGCAATAACAGAAAACAATGTGGGTGAGCTTAAGGAAATAATGATGGTGATGATGATAATGGTGGTGATGATGTGATGATGGTGGTGATGATGATGATGATGGTGGTGATAATGGTGATGATGATGGTGATGGTGATGATGGTGATGATGATAATGATGATGGTGATGATGGTAACAGAGATATTTCAAAGAATCCAATGACAAGCTGAACAAGCAAACCAATAGAAAGACAGGAAGCCACAGATGCTCTTGAGTTTTCATCAAGAAGAGTTAATAGATCTTTGTTCTAGAACCTTGATTTTACTCCCAACATCCACGAAAGAGAGACAGAGAGACTCTAATTGACCCCCTAAAGTCACTTCTCCCTTTGACCAATGTGCCATGGCCTGGAGAAAAGTGTCTTTCCTCCCATGGAAGTGTCATGGTGTCTTGGAGATCCATCCCTGAGAGTGGGGTGGCCAATTCCCAAAATGGCCATCCAAGGCAACCTCATTGTCATTTACCATGGTCAAAAAATAAAAATAAAGTGCAATGGAATGCAAACTCCCAACAGACTGGTAGCTTGTTGAGGGAAGGATCTATTCCCAATTCATCTTTCTGATACTGCTCATAAGGACTCAGTGGTTGAGAGCACTGGTTTTGAACCCACCCTACCTACTTCAGTTTAAATGGTCATTCCTCTTACTTGTTATCTGACTTTGGGCACATCTCTTAACTCTCAAGTACTGTTTACTCATCTTTAAAATAAAGATAGCCCTAGTATGTAACTCCAACATTTTCACAAGGATGAAATGCAAACACCAGTATCCTCTTAACATAGCACCAGCAAAGTACAGGATTTCACCATCTCCCAAGCACTACTGGGCAAACTTTCAACCACAGCCCAGACAGGAAGGTACGAACATCATTAACTGACAGCAGAAAGACTATGTTTTTCAACCTGAACCTGTTGGATTATCCTTTTAAATCTAAAAGAAACATCCTAAAGAAGGTTGTCCAGAGCTTTCAAAGATGTCCCTTAGCAGTGAGGTGTGCTCCATGATGAACCAATCCCAACTCGTCCAATTTAGCCAACATGGGGATCTTCTTGGTGTCTTCCTTGATATCTCAGAACAGCCACCTTCACGCTCTGCTTCCACTATAGAAATTATTCAAAATCTTACATGGTATAACTGAGGGAGAAATTAGCGGGAGTCTTGCCCTCCTTCTCACCCAATCTCCATTCTCTTCCCCTCAGGGCTAGGAATAGAAACAGGGTTTGGGTTTCCAGTAGAGGTGGAAACTTAGGCCCATGACTTCATAGTGCGTGGAGTAGTCAGGACCTGGGTAGAGCATGGCTGCAAGGAGGCTCATGGAGGCTTGGGGCTGTAGCCTTGGGACCATCAGCAACACCCCTGCTGCCAAGCCTGTCTTTGGAAGCAGACTAAAGGACATTACTGGGAAGTGCTGGGCATTGCTCCAAAGGCATCATAGCTACCCCCAGTGGGTATGGCATCCCACCCTGATCTTTCTGGGACTATGTAAGCCTTTGTGTTCCTGTATAGTCCAATGGGGGAAAAAACTCCAAATATCGGACTTCTCAATGACCTTGATCAATTGGGGTTGTGGAGTGTGGTATCTCTTGGACCTCCAAGACAGTGGAATAATGCCTCCTGATACATACTGGGATCATCTGACCTCTTGCCCCCTCCCTATTGTGGGCTTCATTACTCCCTTCTTAGTTGGGGTAGTTCGTTCAGCCTTCCACCCACAGAAAGCCAATGGGGCCTGGGCACCAGAAAGAACCAGTGAGGCCTGGGCCTGTAAGGCCAAGAACCAGAGAAGCCAAGAGAGACCTTCAGAAAGGGGCCAGCTGCAGAGAAGATAGGCAGAGAGTTAAAGAGGGGTCCAGTCGAGACCCACAATAACCAGCCAGGAAGGAGCTGGAACACCAGTGTCACAACATAGCTCCAAACCAAGATCCTAATAATTACGTTAGTAACTGCTACTTTTGTAATGATCTAGATGCTGTGCCAAGCACATGATGTACATAAATCTCACCCAATTGCCCCAACAACCCTGGCAAATAGCATTAAGAACTCCTCCCTGTACAGGAAGAAACAGACCCCAAAACTTGCCCAAGATTACCCAATTGGTAAAAAAAATAGCTCACTTGCCTCTTGAAGCAACCCTCAACGCCTCCTGTGCCCTATCAGAGCTGATCTAGGGCTTGGGAAGATCTGATCCTGAAAGAGAAGAATAGAACTGTGGCTGGGGTGAGGATGGCATGGGTTAAGGGCCAGACCACTCTGGTGCTCTTTTCCATACCTTCTTAAGGATGATGGAAGAGACAAACAGAACTGACTTAAAGTACAGTTGGTTTTCATTATTCACAGTAGCAATGTTTCCTAAAGTCACCATCAACAGTGAATCAGTGAACACTGAACCATTGCTCCTAGCGGAAGTGCAGGGTTAGGTTCCTGCAAGCCTCTGATCACATTTTCATCAATCAATCAATACACAACCTTGTTTACATGGGTTTCCGCAGAACAATACATATCTATTATTCATATATATTATTGATTCATTAACATTAAACTCACAGCCAGCAGCACTATAATTCATGCCTGAATGAAACTTAGGTAATACATGTATATTCTCCATAAGACATGCCACAAAACCTTCTCCTGCTTAGGGACACTAGAGAGGTCTTCAGTACTGCATTTGGGTAGTGCATTTTAAATAGCAAAATAACCAACGAAAGCACAAAAAATGGGAAAATGTGGCACGAAGATCACAAAAAAAGATGCTTATTTACAGAATGAACTGGAACAAGGAGGCAGAGTCACCTTTTTTGGCCTCAGCTGGGCATATGTCCTTTGGGCAACTCAATATTTTCAAAGTTCTGTGCCTGTCTGAGAATGACTATGAAAGAGCTGCAGGATTTGAGGGTTACAAATAAAGTTTATGGAGTAAGGAAATCCACAAGGTCAAAATTCCTGAATGGTGAGGAGTGACTGTAGCTTCTTCGTTAGCTGTATAGCCTCTGATGAGACGAACACCCAAGTTTGTTCCCTCACCTGTAAAATGAGGATAAAACCAGCCTGTTCTCAGGGTTGCAGTGGCTGTAATGGTGACAATGCAAAAAATCAGGCAGTGGTAGTTTTATAAAATGGGCTCAGAAAGCATTCCTTTCCTTCTCTCTATACCCAGGCACATGCATTAATTAACTATCTCAAGTCAGGGATGATGGCCCACTCCTGTAATCCCAATGCTTTGGGAGGTCAAGGTGGGAGGTTCACTTGAGGGCAGGAGTTTGAGACCAGCCTGGACAATGTAGTGAGACCCCATCTCTACAAAAAATTTTTTAAAATAGCCATGCTTGGTGGCATGCACCTGGGGAGGCTGAGGTGGGAGGATCCTTTGAGCCCAGGAGTTTGAGGCTGCAGTGAGCTATTATTGTGCCGTTGCACTCCAGCCAGGGGTACAGAGAAATACCTTGTCTCTAAAAACAATAATAATAATAATAATAAATTATCTCCAATCCCAAGAACTGTTAAAGAGCCTCTGCGAGGCTAAGTGAGTGCTCAAAGCCCCATAGCTTGAAAGCCTCCAACCCAAAAACTTTCGAAAATGGGTTGGGCATGGTGGCTCATGCCTGTAATCCCAGCACTTTGGGAGGCCAAGGCAGGCAGATCACAAGGTCAGGAGTTTGAGACCATCCTGGCCAACATGGTAAAACCCCGTCTCTACTAAAAATACAAAAATTAGCTGGATGTGGTTGCGCACCTGTAGTCCTGGCTACTTGGGAGGCTGAGGCAGGAGAATCTCTTGAACCTGGGAGGCGGAGGTTGCAGTGAGCCAAGATCATGCCACTGCACTCCAGCCTGGGTGACAGAGTGAGATTCTGTCTCAAAAAAAAATTAGGAAAAATAACCCATTTCAATTCCTCTCAACCCACTGCTAAAATAACTGCTATATGCATAGACTTGGCTGTTCATATTCTTTTTCTTTTCTTTTTTTTTTTTCCTCAATTCCTCTTCTCTCAGCCCAGGGAGACTGGCTTCATGAAGGAAGGAAAGGAGGCAATTAGTCTAGACCTGGCCAACACCATCATACAGCAAGCCTGCCTGTAGCAAGTTCATGAGTCAAGCACAGGCATTGAATCCCAGCATGTCAGAGCATCGACAGCATCTTCATCTTTCAGCTACTCCCAGGCCATTCACTTACCACATAGACAAATATCTGCATTTTTGTAGATAAAATGAATGCAGGAGGAGCTATTTCCAAAGACGGATGACTGTTCTTTTTCCTTCAGCAAAGTTTAAAAAGGTAAAAATTATCATATTATGGGCACGGTGGTCATGGAGAGAAAATGAGGCCACAGCTCAACAGGGGGAATTGCTCTCCTTGCACGGGAATGTTTTAGCATTAAATTAACTCTCCTATCTCTCGCCTGCTAATAAGAAAGCCTTCACCTTCTGGTTTGGCAGGGGATCTGAAATTTGCATTTAGATGGAGCTGTTGTAAAGATGGCCCGGCACAGGAGCCTCCCTCCCTTATTTACAACAGCAGCTGTGTGATAAAATTATTATCACATAAGTGGTTGTTTTGCTGGTTTTAATAGGGCTGGAAGCAGAATGGAAAAGGCTGTCATCTGAATTAGTCAATGAAAGGAAAGGATCGTTTCTCCGCATGGTGAGAGCTCTGTGGCCTCCTCGACAACAGGGAGGTATGCTATCTCCCTCCTGTCCCCCAGAGCAAGGCAGGCAGGAGAGCTGGATGCTGGCAGAAAAGGCAGTGGTGGAGCCTGCTGTTGCTTTCCGGATAGATTTCATGTTACAGTTTGCAGATCAGTGGAGGTAGACAGAACATGAGTCATTGCTCCTGTTTTTTCAGATGAGGAAACTGAGACCTGGGAGGGAAAAGTATAGTGGTTGTCCCTTGGCCATGCCTAGAAAATGGCCAGAATTTGGATGAAATGCTAATCCCAACACAATACACTATCTACCGCCAACATCTACCCTTATCCTTACCCTCCATTCACCCTTGCAAATTCATCTTGAGTACTTAGGATGAAAAAAAGAACAGTGAAGCGGCAAATGAAAGAGCTAACATTGATTCTGATTTCTGCAACCAACTATGTGAACTTAGGTTGGTCCCTCTTCCTGTTTTTCCTTTAGCCTCAAAGCTTTTACCCATAAAAGTTAAGGATTTGGACAAATGTATTGAGAAGAAAAGCTTGCCTCTCTTGTCTGAGCATTCTAGCTCATTTTAACATCGCATATGTGCCTCTTGTGTGAACTGTCTGAGCAAATGTGCTGCAGCTGTTGCAGGTGTCAAGAAAATTAGTCTGTTTCCAGCGCTAGCTCAGTGATTTTCAGACTTTAGCTACCTTCCCAATCACCTGGAGGGCTTGTTAAAACACAGTTTGCGGGGCCCCATCCCCCGAGATTCTGATTCAGTAGGTTCACGGTGTGGCCCAAGAATTTGTATTTCTAGTATATTCTCCAGTGACACTGCTGCTATCGGTCCAGAGATGACGCTTGGAGAACTACTTCCCTAAAGATAAGAAAACTCATCCAATGCAGGACTCTGACCCCTCCCTTTTTGTGCCATAACTAGAGCTTTGTCCTTTCCCACTATTTTTTTAAATTTCTTTAGAGACTAGGTCTCGCTCTATAACCCAAGGTGGAGTGCAGTGGTGTGATCATGGCTCACTGCAGCCTGGACCTCCTAGGCTCAAGAGATCCATCCTCCTCAGCCTTCCGAGTAGCTGGTACTCCAAGTGTCCACCATCACACCTGGCTCCTTTTTCTTGTTTTTTTTTTCTGTTTGTTTGTTTGTTTGTTTGTTTTTGTGAAAATGGAGTCTCACTATGTTGTCCAACCTGGTCTTGAACTCCTCCTGGCTTCAAGTGATCTTCCTGTCTCAGCCTCCCAAAGCACTGGACCCGGCCCCTTTCCCAACTGTGTCTGCCCACCTGCAATGACACCAAATGGTCTAAGCCCAACAAATGAGGTATCTCTCCATCCAAATGCTTTTATTGGCTGGGGGAACAATAACCACCATAACTGGCCAAACTAACCTCTGAGCAAGAGGATGTGATCTTGAAATAAGCCAATGGAAAAATCCCTATTTTGCAGGAGCTGTAAAACCAAGTCATACAAGGTCTTTGGATGGTTAGTCAAGTCAAGCATTGGTTGTATGTCCTGTAATCAACAGACGTGTAACTTCCCCTTAACTAGGGATAGACACAAAGGTAGACAGAGAGATAGACATCAACTAAAGGAATCTAGAAGAAGTTAACCCAAGGAGACCCAGGAAGCCAGATAAGGGAAGCCCTGCCTTCACTGCATATGATGTTGTCCCTGTAGGCCTAGAAGGTGGCCATCATTATTGCTTTCTGTCTCACTTCTTGCAGACTGGGATCCATCTACTCATCCCAGCCTGTGAGGGGGTTATTGGAAAGCAAATTCCATGTACCTGTGGCTGGGCTCCAGGAACTCCCAACAGGTTAAGGTAATAAAATCGTCTCCAAGGCTTCCTACAGGAATTAAAATCTGTGACTGAGTGTTGCTGCGTTTAAGGCAGGTTATCCATCACGTCACAGATGACAAAGTTTTCCTCAGTAAAAGTTAGTTGCTTAACAAAAAAGCCAGAAAACATGGTTGGCTTAAGCAGATTGTGGTTCCAACCATGAGCCCCAGAAAAACCAAGGACAAGAGGAATGAGGTGTGTGGCTTCATCAGCTCTTTTATTTATCTTATTTTATTTTATTTTTTGAGATGGAGTCTTGCTTTGTCACCCAGACGGGAGTGCAATGGCATGATCTCAGCTCATGGCAACCTCCATCTCCCAGATGTAAGTGATTCTCCTGCCTCTGCCTCCCAAGTAGCTGGGACTACAAGTGTGCACCACCATACGCAGCTAATTTTTTTGTGTATTTTTAGTAGAGACGGGGTTTCACCATGTGGACCAGGCTGGTCTTGAACTCCTGCCTGTCAGCTATTTTAGAAGCTAGTTTTTCCTAGCCAGGGACAGATGCTTATACCCAAGCAGTAAAGCAGGAAAAACTCTCTATCATCCACACTAAAAAAGAGACAGAGAGAAAATAAGACCAGAATGTTCAAAACAGATTCTCCCCAATCTGTGTTCTTAGATCTGAGAGTGGTATGCATCCATTCTATGTCCACCATACACACACACACACACACACACACACACACACACACACACACAGATGATCCTTCAACTCACTATACATCTACCTCCATGCCTCGTTGCTGCCCAAAGACTCAGGAGGGCAAGAGTCCTCCTTATTGATGAAAGAGGAAAGAGAAAGAAGAATGGCAACTCATGACAACTGAGTGTCCTAATGGGCTGGACGCTTGACTTTCTTTTCTTTCTTTCTTTTTTACTTTATTTTATTTATTTATTTATTTGGTGATGGGGAGGGGACAGGGTCTTGCTCTGTCACTCAGGCTGGAGTCCAGTGGTGCAATCATAGCTCACTGCAGCCTCAAACTCCCGAGCTCAAGCGATCCTCCTATCTCAGCCTCCCAAGGAGTAGCTGGGATCACAGGTGGGTGCCACCACGCCCAGCTAATTTTTTAAATTTTTTGTAGAGATAGGGTCTCGCTGCGTTGCCCAAGCTGGTCTTGAACTCCTGGTCTGAAGTCACCCTCCTGCCTTGGCCTCTTGAGTTGCTGGGATTACAGGCATGAGCCACCAAACCTAGCCACATAAGTTGTATGGATTTTTGTGGATTTTTTTTCTGGGTCTCTTTGGCTACAGTGAAATTATGTTTCCAAGAATTCCCTTCCCTGCATAGTTCTGGGTTAGCATCGACCTAGGGGACATTCTCCATGAGATTCAGAAGGTGGACCTAAAGCAGCAGCCATGTTTCTTATTTGCTCAGGTGATTGGCACTGGGTACCAGGCACAGTGTCTGCTCAGGTACACTGTCCCTCATCTCTGGCACACCTGGCTGGCATGGTGAGGGAACTTGTCAGTCACATGGCTTGTGAATGATGAAACTGGAATCCTGATATGGCTTGCATCGTGTCTCCACCAAATCACATGTCCAACTGTAATCCCCAATGTTGGATGTGGAACCTGGCGGGAGGTGAAGGAATCATGGAGGTGAATTTCTCATCAATAGTTTAGCACCATATCCTTGGTACTGTTCTCGTGATAGTGAGTGAGTTGTCATGAGACCTGGTTGTTTAAAAGTGTGTGGCATGTCCCCCTGCCTGTCCCTGCCACTGCTTTCCTGCTCCTGTCATGGAAGATTCCTCACTCTCCCTTTGCCTTCTGCCATGATTGGAAGCTTCCTGAGGACTCCCCAGACGCAGAAGTTACTATGCTTCCTATGCAGCCTGCAGAACCATGAGCCAATTAAACTTCTTTGCTTTATAAATTACCCAGTCTCAGATGTTTCTTTATAGCAATGTGAGAATAGACTAATACAAATCCCAACCTTGGGATGCAATTAACCAGGAAGCCTAGTAATCCAACCTCAGATAGGGGCAGGGGTGGAAATGCACCATCCTTAACCTGAAAAGACAACTTTTCCTCTGTTTTGTGTCTTTTTAAATAAAATACACATTCAGATAACATGTATGAGAACTTTAATTCATCATCAACTGTGTATAAAGAATTGCTTCTCCTGGCCAGGTGCAGTGGCTCATGCCTATAATTCCAGCACTTTGGCAGGCCAAGGCAGGAAGATCACTGCAGGCCAGGAGTTTGAGATCAGCCTTGGCAACATAGAGAGACCCCATCTTTAAAAAAAAAATTAGCCAGGTATATTAGTCTGTTCTTGCATTGCTATAAAGAAATACCTGGGACTGAGCAATTTATAAAGAAAAGAGGTTTAATCGGCTCACAGTTCTGCAGGCTGTGTAGGAAGCATAGTGGCTTCTGGGGAGACCTCAGGAAACTTTCAGTCATGATGGAAGGTGAAGGGGAAGCAGGCACGTCTTACATGGCTGGAGCAGGAGGAAGAGAAGAGAGAGGGGAGGTGTTACACAGTTTTAGACAACCAGATCTCGTGAGAACTCACTCACTATACAGTACCAAGGGGGGATGATGATAAACTATTCATGAGAACTCTGCCCCTAGGATCCAATCACCTCCCACCAGGCCCCGAGTCCAACACAGTCCAACACTGGGGATTACAATTTGACATGAGATTTGGGCAGAGATACAGATCCAAACCATATCACCAGCCATGGTGGCTCAGATCTGTATTCTCAGCGACTCCAGAGGCTGAGACAGGAGAGCTGCTTGAGCCCAGGAGTTCAAGACCAGTCTGGGTAACACAGCAAATCCCAGTCTCTAAAAAAAAAAAAATTAAAAATTAGTTAGGTGTGGTGGTGTGCACCTGTAGTCCCAGCTACTCAGGAGGCTGAGGTTGGAGGATCGCTTAAGCCCAGGAGTTAGAGGCTGCCGTAAGCTATGATTGCATCGCTGCATACTTCAGCCTTGGCAACAGAGTGAGACTCTGTCTCTCAAAAAAAAAAAAAAAAGAAAAGAAAAGAAAAAAATAAGAATTGCTGCTCCTTCTCCTTCAGCTGAGTCTTTGGCATTCATTAAAGCATCCAGCCTTGCCAGCACACAGAAAACACAACAGGTCAGCAGAGGTCCCTAGGCAAAAGAGTGAGGCCAAATGCCTGGGTTCTGCTGGAAGAAGCAAGGGTTAAAAGATTGCCACCTGCTTCTGTTGCTTTACCTCTAGCCCCCGCTGTGGAGTAATAACCCCTGAGAGAGAAGAGGGAAGGCTGGACAGAGTGCAGAGGGGGAAATGTAGATGAAAAGAAATCAGAAGGCTTTTACTTTCATGTTTCAAGTACCAAATTATGCTTGACATTTGAATTTTCCCCAAGGCTCACTTCCATAAAATCATGCCAAATTACCCTGAAAGGGTTAGAGCTTCCCGGAGAGACTTTTGACTGTAATCAAACAGGTTTCCTCCATGGTTGCAGACATTCTGAAAGGGTCTGGGGGAGAAGAGGGCAGAAGGGCCGGTGAGGGAAAGCTAGCGAAGGAACGGCAGGCGTGGAAGGTGCGTTTCCGAGCAGAGACTCATCGTGAACCAGAGCATAGGAACAGCTCTTTCAATTGCAGACATCCCAATGAGCTAGAAGGCTATGGAGAGGCCAGAACATTCTGGCACACAGGGACGTGTAATAATACTCATATTGGCTAACATTTATGGAGGTTTATTGCAAGCCGGGCGCTGTGCTGAGAACATTACTCATTTGAACTTCACAACAGCCATAGAAAAGCAGGTGCTATTACTATTATCCTCGGTTTGCAGATGTGAAAGCTGAGACCGGGAAAGATGAAGTCATTTATCCAGGTCTTTTAAATGCCAAAGCCCAAGCTAGAATCACTACTGTGCTGCCTGAATGAACAGGTACAATGCCATTGCAATGGGAAGAAGAAAGGTAAGACATGATGCCAAAATATCACTGGATATTTTATGAATTGTTTGATTGAATCAACCAAATCACCTAGCTCCTTTTTTTTTAAGCAACTTTTGCTGGCATATTTTTTATTTTTTATTTTATTTTATCTTATTTTTTTTTTGAGATGGAGTCTTGTTCTGTTGCTAGGCTAGAGTGCAGTGGCGAAATCTCAGCTCACTGCAACCTCCGCCTCCCAGGTTCAAGTGATTCTCCTGCCTCAGCCTCCTTGAGTAGCTGGGACTACAGGCCTGTGCCACCATGCCCAGCTAATTTCTGTATTTTTAGTAGAGACGGGGTTTCACCATGTTGGCCAGGATGGTCTTGATCTCCTGACCTTGTAATCCACCTGCCTCGGCCTCCCAAAGTACTGGGATTACAGGCATGAGCCACTGCTCCCAGCCTTGCTGGCATTTTTTTTTTTTTTTAATTTCAGCTTCTATTTTGGATTCAGGGGGTACCTGTGCAGGTTTGTTACATGGGTATATTGCATGATGCTGAGATTTGGGGTATGAATGATCCCATCACCCAGATAATGAGCGTAGTACCAAATAGGTAGTTTTTCAGTCTTTTGCCCTCTTCCTCTCTCCCTCCTCTAGTAGTCCCCAATGTCTATTGTTTCCGTTTTTATGTCCATGTGTACCCAGTGTTTAGCTTCCTGCTTATAAGTGAGAACATGCAATATCTGGTTTTCTGTCTTGCACTAATTCACCTAGGATAATAGCTTTTAGCTGCATCCATCTTGCTGCGAAAGTCATGATTTCATCCTTTTTTATGGCTGTGTAGTATTCCACGGATGTCATTCAGTTTCAAGGGCCTCATCTAGACTAGCTTATATTCACTGGCTAATCAGAAAACACTAATTTCATCATGGCATTCACCTTCTGGACATGCCAATATTAATGCTTGATAGGAGTGGATGCCAAGTTGGAAAAGAATCGCCAAGACAAGTATGAGTTCCCTGTTGCAAGAAACCTTGGCCTTCCCAAAAAGATCCCATCACTTCCTCAAAAAATTAAATGTAGAACTACTATAGGATCTGGCAATATTTCTTCTGGGTATACATACGAAGGAAGCAAAGTTAGTATCTCAAAGAGATATCCACACCCACGTGTTTATTGTTGCATTATTTACAATAGACAAGATATGAAAGTAACCTAAGTGTCCATCAATGGATGAATGGATACAATCATGGTCTTAGATATGCAATGGAATACCATTCATCCATGAGTGAAATCTGCCTTTTGAGAAAACATGATGAGTCTGGAGGGCATTATACTAAGTGAAATAAGCCAGACACAAAAAGACAAATACTGCCTGATCACACTGATACGTGGAATCCAAAAAAGTCAAACTCACAGAAGCCAAGAGTGGAACAGTGGTTGCCAGGGGCTAGGGTATGGAGAAAATGAGAAGATGTTGGTCAAAGAGTACAAACTTTCAGTTACAAGATGAACAAGTTCTGAGGACCTAATATATAGCTTGGGTGGTGATGAATGTGTTCATTAATTTGATTGTAGTATTCATAACACAATGTATGCATATAAGAAATCATTGGCCGGATGCGGTGGCTCAGGCCTCTAATTCCAGAACCTTGGGAAGCTGAGGCGGGCAGATCACCTGAGGTCGAGAGTTCGAGACCAACCTGACCAACATGGAGAAACCCCGTCTGTACTAAAAATACAAAGTTAGCCAGACATGGTGGTGCATGCCTGTAATCCCAGCTACTGGGGAGGCTGAGGCAGAAGAATTGCTTGAACCCAGGAGGCGGAGGTTGCGGTGAGCCAAGATCGCGCCTTTGCACTCCAGCCTGAACAACAAGAGCGAAACTCTGTCTCAAAAAAAAAAAGAAAAGAAAAGAAAAAAACATCTTCATATTGTATACCTTGAATATATTCTGTAAGGGAAGAGGGGAAGCTTCTCTCTCAGCCTTGGAGGGTTCACTGAAAAATCAACTCACAATTAGGCAGACTAATAAGAAAAAAAAGCATACAAATTTATTTAACCATGCATGTGAGTCACAGGATGATAATCAAATTTCCCAATGGGGCTCAAACACTTACAGAACTGAAACCACTTTTGCAAAATTATGACTGAGACAGTGAAAGAGGTCTAAACTAACCAACTCCATCTTGCCTCTAGCCTCCAAGCTGTCCTTGTTCATTCTTGGGTGTAGGCTGAACTAATTTTGAGAGGAACTTAGTTTATAGTTTAAAACGAAGACAATAACAGCCCCTTCCCAAAACAAATCTCCTTCTTACCTGGGGACTAGACTGCATTTGTAGGACTAACATTAGCCACAACATTAGAAATTATGGTTTGGGAGTCATGCAGCTGGAGGCTACAAGATTCTGACTCTCCCTAAACTGCTCCTAAGATCAGTGCCTGAGATATTTTACAGACCCTGCACTTGATGGATCAGCTGGCACCACCCAGATAAATTAACTGGCTCATCTGATCTTGCGGCCCCCACCCAGGAACTGACTCAGCACAAGAAGACAGCTTCGACTCCCTATGACTTCATCCCTGACTAATCAGCACTCCTGGCTCACTGGCTTCCCATGATCCACTAAACACTCCTTGAAAACTCTAATCCCCAGAGTTTTTGGGGAGACTGATTTAAGTAATAACAAAACTCTGGTCTCCCACACAGCTGGCTCTGCATGAATTACTCTTTCTCTGTTGCAATTCCTGTCTTTATAAATTGCCTCTGTCTAGGCAGCAGGCAAGGTGAACCCACTGGGCAGTTACAGAACCTCCGTTCAAAAGGGTTATTCTGTTGAGGGGCATTAAATGATTAATTAATCATTAAACGTTATAACAGATGGGGAATATAGGTAATTCTGTTGAGGGGCATGAAATGGTTACCAAGATAAAAATGAATGGGTATTTGGGAGAATGAATGGAAATTGGGAAGAGAGATTGATTTGTAAATGGTTCTCTTTGGAAGCTGAATGAACCAGGGAGACAGGCATTATTTTGTAAAATGGTTAGGCCAGGTCTGGCTACATTCTTCCTTTCCTTTTCTGAAATGGATAATGAGATAGCAGAGAAGAGAAGGATAAAGCAATTGTTCTTCTTGGTGGGCCCATCTGATCTTTACGAGGATAAGGGAAAAGTATTTTCCAAGTCCTGTGGATTTCATAGGGTTTTTCAAAATATTCATTATACCAGGGAGTCATATTTGGGGGTGAAATTCTCTATGCTCCTTCAATTCCATCCTTGTCAATTAAATATTTGAAAAGAAAATTTTTAAAGAGATTCTATCACAACAGGTCGTTGTGAGTCTTGCCTCAGAATCTGAGCCTGTTTCCTTGCAAACCCCTTGCTGGCTTTGCCCACAGCTGTGATTCACACTCTTGTTCCTACCGTATTTTGTTTCTTTGCTCTCAAAGCGTGAACTTGCCTCCCTGTCCAGTGACACCACCTTAATTGAGGTCACCATCATTCTCTCACCTGGATTATTTCTAAAACCCTCTAACAGTTTTCCACTCCAACTCTTGACCTCTCCATGTTTCTGCCAGTGATCTTTCTATAAGCAAAGCTGATGGTGTCATTGCCTGCTTGAAGCCCTGCAGAGCTTCCCATTCTTCCCAAAACTGAGCCCAGGCTCCTCACCGGCTGCGCAAAGACCTCCTGGCTCTGTTCATTCTGGGTATATGTCTCCCCAAGCCTTGTGCTCCATCCACTGTGAGTCATTATCATTTCTACAAATGCACTGTAATTTCTTCAGCCACTGGACCTTGTGTATTCTATCCTCATATCTTCAGCCAGATCAAAGTGCCGTGATGGGAGGAAACGTGTTCTAAGTGTAAAAAGTAAAGTAGAGGTTCCTCTTCAAAGACTTTCCTTCCCATCTAATTAGGAATAAATAGTAACTTCTCTTAGAAAGCAAAATTTATTCAAAGACCTGTGCTAACATTATTAAATATCTGCTAGCTGTAATAAAGAAATCAATATACTTTATATTCTTAGCTCCCACAATTTAGCCTAAATATTTACCCTACATGCTTAAACTGGTCCAAGTAAGCATTAGGTCATAGCCTGTTCCTCTTCCTTATTTGAAGGTGTTTTTACCTTTCTCAGCATTCTGCAAGTTCCTTCCTCTTTCCTTTGTTCTCCTCTGCCTTTGCCTCTTTTAAAAAGTTCTAAGTTGCTAGCCAATCAGGACAAATACAGAATGTGAGGTCTCATTCCAGCCAATGGAAAGCGGACACAGCAGTAAGGTGGACGCATCAAGTTATAAATGACTCTGTCTCCTTTGTTCAGTGTACTCGTGTTGCAAAACTGCTGGCGAGTGTACCTTTTCTGCAGAAAGTGAAAATGGCCTTGCTGAGGAAATTAAATTTGTGTTCAAGTGCTATTTCTTTATGGTACCAAGGAACAATCATTTCTAACATAAGCAAACTCATATTCATTCTCCAGCTCCCAAATCCTCGTGTAGACACAAGGCCAACTTATTTATTTATTGTGTTAAGAGACAGGATCTCACTATATTGTCCAGGCTGGACTCAAACTCCCAGGCTCAAGTGATCCTCCTCCTGCCTCAGCCTCTCAAGAAGTTGGAGCGACAGGTGCATGATGTCACGCCCTGCTAATCAACTTATTTATCTGAGCAATAAACTATGTAAAACAACTGCCTCTACCTTATGACTGCATAGGAGTTTCAGATGCATATGACTATCGAAGTCCACACAGCCACAAACACATGGAAACAGCTAGTTATCCAAGGGTAAAGTTCACTACCAGGAAACTGTTCACTAACAACATGGAAACCACAGTTACAGTTGAAAGAAATGCTAATGTTGAGTCCCAAGTTGAGGCACTCTGGAACAGTTAACTTGGAATATATTTTATTCATTACCGAAGTTTAGCTTCATTTGCCTTTTTTTTTCCTGTTTTTACCTTTAAACTTAGCTCAACCTCACTGAAACTGCCTTTGCACAAATTGTATCAGTTAGAAAATTAAGGCAATGAAGGAGGTCTGGTCTGGCCAACCCTCACCTTGCCTTTGGCCTTCAAGCTGCTCTTAATCATTCCTGGATTTAGACCAAGCTAACTTTGGAAGACATTAAGTTTATAGTTTAAATGATAACAGCCCTTGCCCAAAACTCAACCATCTTCATAAAGCCAGTGAGAGACCACCAGGCTAGGAAGATGAGTGGAGGCTGATTTCTGCTAAGGTGTAGACATAAACGATTGCCAGCCATTATTCCAGAGGTCACAAGATATGCAACCTCCCCAATTAGTCCTTCAGATAACGTCACTATTGCAGAACCTAAGATTGGCCTTTTGAGATATCTTCTCAGATTTTTTTACATTTCTGACTACAGATGGCCCCACCTGGACCCACCAACTCCAACCACTCCCGTGTCCCCTCCCAGAAGTGACTCTGTGTGTAGGAGGACCATTTCCTACACCTTTATGATGACACCTCCAACCAATCAACAGCAAGCACACATTGCCTAGTCACCCCCAACCCTTCCCCCAAACTACCTTGGAAAAACCCTAGCCCCCAAATGCTCAGAAAGATGGATTTGAGTAATAACTCAATTTTTCACATGGAGTAGCCAGCCTTGCATCAATCAAACTCTTTCTTTCCTGCAATGCTATTGTCAGAGGCATTTGAACCAGAGCAACTCCATCTTGAATAGAAGCTGGGTAACATGAGGCTGTGACCTACTGGGCTGCATTTCCAGACAGTTAAGGAATTCTAAGTCACAGATAAGATAGGAGGTCAGCACAAGATACAGGTCATAAAGACCTTGCTGATAAAACAGGTTGCAGTAAAGAAGCCGGCCAAAACCCACCAAAACCAAGATGGCCACAAGAGTAACTTCTGGTCGTTTTTGCTGCTACACTCCCATCAGAGCCATGACAGCTTACAAATGCCATGGCAACGTCAGAAAGTTACCCTATATGGTCTAAAAGGGGGAGGCATGAATAATCCACCCCTTGTTTAGCATATCATCAAGAAATAACCATAAAAATGGGTAACCAGCAGCCCTCTGGTCTGCTCTGTCTATGGAATAGCCATTCTTTTATTCCTTTACTTTCCTAATAAACTTGCTTTCACTTTACATACTTGCCCTGAATTCTTTCTTGCATGAGATCCAAGAACCCTCTCTTGGTGTCTGGATTGGTACCCCTTTGCTGTAACATTTTGGCTCAGGGACCACGCAGCCTCTTCCTAAACCCCATCTTCAAAGGCACCAGCTTTAAAAAAAATGAAAGCAAGATGTGTTTTCTTACATCTAATTTCCTAAAACCTAAATGGCAAGTCAGGAAACAGTGAGGATCTTAAGACGTCCTCGACTGTTGGACCTGGATAGGAGCCCAGAGAGGATTGACGAGGCGGGTGTGAGGCCCTTCCTGGGAAGTGAGAAGCACCCACTCACCAGCTTCTCCCTGGAGCTCCAGTTTCTCCTCAGGTGGCAGGCAGCTCAGAGCTCACTCTCCATCTGTGTGTGTCCAGAGCTTTCCTGGGTCTCGTCATGGGTCTCTGATTTTGCCAACTCATAGTGGCACGTAGGCCCAGGACACCAACCCTGGTGAAATGCATTAAGATGTTGACGGGAAGCATGTCTTAGCTTCAATGAAACACACTTCTTTATGCCCATGCTTGAAATGTTCACACAATTAAAATGCTTATGAAGAGAGATACATGAAGCTTGCATTCAAACATTAGAGATGGCTTTACCCTGGTTCTTTTCTTTTTTCTTTTTTAAATTTACATATATTTTTTATTTTTTATAGAGTTCTGGTCTCCCTACATTGCCCAGGCTGGTCTCAAACTCCTGGGCTCAAGGGAGCCTCCTGCCTCCGCCTCCCAAATTGCTAGGATTACAGGTGTGAGCCACCACACCTGGTCCTACCCTGGTTGTTTTCTTTTATTTTCTTTCTTTATTTATTTTTATTTTTATTTTGAGACAGGGTCTTGCTCTGTCACTCAGGCTAGAGTGCAGTGCTGCAATCATAGCTCACTGCAGCTTCAGACTCCTGGGCTCAAGGGATCCTCCTGCCTTGGCCTCCCAAAGTGCTAGGATTACAGGCATGAGCCACTGCACCTGGCCCTACCCTGGTTCTTTTTTATTATTTTCTTTCTTTCTTTCTCTTTTTCTTTCTTTCTTTCTTTTTCTTTCTTTCTTTTTTTTTCTTGATAGGGTCTTGCTCTGTTGCCCAAGATGGAGTGCAGTGCTGTGATCATAGCTCACTGCACCCTCAAACTCCTGAGCTCAAGAGATCCTCCCTCCTCAGCTTCCCAAATAGAAGGACTAAAGACGGCCATCAACATGCTGGGCTATTTTTTATTTTTTGTAGAGATGTGTTGGTTATGTTGCCTATGCTGGTCTCAAACTCCTGGTCTCAAGCCATCCTCCCTCCTTGACTTCCCAAAGTGCTGATATTATAGATGTGAGCCACCATGCCCAGCCGTGGCTCTTCATTAAAAAAAAAAAAAGAAAGAAAGAAAAGAAAAGAAGCCATGCAGATATGCCTCTCAGATCTCTTTCCAAGAATGAATTTGGGCTGGGCGCAGTGGCTCTCACCTATAATCCCAGCACTTTGGGAGGCCGAAGCAGGCAGATCACGAGGCCAAGAGATGGAGACCATCTCATGAAACCCCATCTCTACTAAAAATACAAAAATTAGCTGGGTGTGGTGATGCATGCCTGTAATCCCAGCTACTCAGGAGGCTGAGGCAGGAGAATCACTTGAACCCGGGAGGCGGAGGTTGTAGTGAGCCGAGATCACACCACTGCACTCCAGCCTGGTGACAGAGTGAGACTCCATCTCCAAAAAAAAAAAAAAAGAGAGAGAAAGAATGAACGAATTTGCCATTCAACTACAAAGAGTGCAGTTAGACATCGGCCTTCAGCTGCAGCAGTTGAGCTGAGGCCAGTCTTCCCAGACAGTGCCCAGTCAGTGACTGAGCTTGGAAAGGGCACCAGGGCCTGGCCAGTCCCACTCAACATGGGACACCTCTCTGGGATGTCTCTCTGCACTAGAGGTCCCCATTCAGCTTGCTTAGATATTCTCATAGTATTACCACTATCTCAGACTCTTGCTACCCCGTCTCCCTTCCTTCTCCTTCTCCTTTCACAGGTACCAGGCCTGTACAATGATCTCAGGGCATTCCCTGCCCTGACAAAGACTCTTTGCTTAGTCAAACCTCAGTTAGGCCTTTGAATCTTCTACTAGGCCTGTCTGTGCACTTTCTTATACAATCCAGTTTTAACAAGAACCCTGCTAAGTCAGTTTAGCAAGAACCCCTCTGACATAGTTTGGATATTTGTCCCCTCCAAATCTCATGTTGAAATGTGATCCCCAACGTTGGAGATGGGGCCTGATGGGAGATGTTTTGGTCATGGCGGTTGGATCCCTGATGAACCTCTTGGTGCTGTCCCAGTAGTAATGAGTAAGTTCTCACTCTGCCAGTCCCTGTGAATTCTGATTGTTAAAAATAATCGGGCACCTCCTCCCTTCTCTCTTCCTTTCTCTCTCACCATGTAGTGCTAGGGTTGGTTCTCCTTCACCTTCTGCCATGAGTGGAAGCTTCCTGTGGCCCTCACCAGAAGCAGATGCTGGCACCATGCTTCTTGTACACCCTGCAATAAGCTATGATGATTGCACCACTGCATTCCAGCCTGAGAAACTCCAGCCTGCAGAACTGTGAGCCAAATAAACCTCTTTTCTTTATAAATTACCCAGCCTCAATATTCCTTTGTAGCAACACAAACAGACTAAGACACCTTCCATCCTTGATATCTGATAATCTTTGATATGTGACCAGGTTTCTCATCCTCCACCATTCCTCAGGTGTGTCTGATCCTCCTGTCCTGTCTTCAGCAAAAATCCTATTAGATCAGTTTAGCCAAAACTCCCCTTACCCCTGATGTCTTCTCTTAGTGAGTTTCCATCTACTAACTCACACCTTGTTCCATGGCTATAAATGTCCACCTGCCCCTGCTGGATTTGGAGTTGAGCCCAGTCCCTCTTTTCCACTGCAAGTCCCTGTTGCAGTGGTCTTCATTGCAGGGGACACCATGGTGCCAATTGTTCAGTGTTGAATGAGAGCCAAGAAACAGGTGGGGGCCCAGCCATATTGCAATGGTCCTAAATAAAGTCTTTCTTATTGTGCTTTAACAAGTAATATTGAATAATTTTTCTTTAACAGCTCATACCATAACGGTCTGAAGACTTCACTGCCTCCTTCTCCTATTTACCTTTCACATCACAGATAAAGTTCTTGCATTTCTTTTCTTTTTCTTTCTTTCTTTTTTTTTTTTGAGACAGAGTCTCACTCTGTCACCCAGGCTGTAGTACAGTGGTGTGATTTTGGTTCACTGCAACCTCCGCCTCCCAGGTTCAAGTGATTCTCGTGCCTCAGCCTCCCAAGTAACTGGGATTACAGATGTGTGCCATCACCCCTGGCTAATTTCTGTATTTTGAGTAGAGACAGGGTTTCTCTATGTTGGCCAGTCTGCTCTCAAACTCCCGACCTCGGGTCATCCACCTGCCTCAGTGTCCCAAAGTGCTGGGATTATAGGCGTGAGCCACCATGCCCGGCCCAAAGCTCTTGCATTTCTAACTACATCTTGGCACCTGCTTCCCAGAGGACCTGAGCTGATACAATATCATTCTACAGATTAGGATACTGAGATCCAGAGAGACTAAAGAACGTGCCATAAGTTGCCATCCAAGATAATAGAGAACAGATAGGATTTATGTCTTGAGAGATGAATATCATGGTCTAGTGCACAACAGCTCCTTCCCTGCTAGAGGATGAATTCTTTAAGATTCCAGATAAGGACAGTGGATACTGGACCTGGTGTAGTTTGGGCTGAAAAGACATGAAAACCCGAAATATTCAGGCCAACGCCAGAAATCCACAAGCAGGCAGAAGGCCCAGTCTGTCACCCTGGGATGAGAGAGTCAGCACAGGTATTAGGAGACCATTGGGACTCATCAAGAATTGGGCAAGGAATGGTCTGAAAATCCTCATCTGTAGTGACAGTCTACAAATGAGAAGAAGGAAATAACAAAATAAGAAAAAGGGGCTAATTATATGTATGCTTCTAACTGGGAATACTGGCCAGGGTCTTTCTCATCTCAGGCTGCTTTTGAGAGGCATCCCGCCTGAGCCAGTTCCTGCCCCCTGATAAAACAAAGGCAAACCTGACAGATGGGACCTGAGAAAAGCCAATTTCCCTCTACCTTAGTCCCTCCCAGTTAGAGCAGCAGTATTCAAAAGCACAATGTGGGTTATCATTGCTGGGCAGACATTTCTTGGACATTTTCCAAGTTGAAGAGACTCTCAGAGAAGTGTATCATTTATATGCTCCTGGACCATGCAGAGCAGAAAACAGAGACTGGCTTTATTGTTTAAAGAATCTTCAATGTTTCCCAATGTTTCAGAGTATGGTGTGCCCTTCTGATATGGTTTGGCTGTGTCCCCACCCAAATCTTGCCTTGAATTGTAGCTCCCATAATCCCCACATATTGTGGGAGGGACCCAGGGTGAGGTAATTGAGTCATGGGGGCAGTTTCCACCATACAGTTCTTGGTAGTGAATAAGTCTCAAGAGATCTGATGGTTTCATAAGGGGTTTCCCCTTTTGCTTGGCTCTCATTCTTTCTTGCCTGCCACCATGTAAGATGTGCCTTTCACCTACCACCATGATGGTGAGGCCTCCCCAGCCACGTGGAACTGTGAGTCCATTAAAACTGTTTTTCTTAATAAATTACGCAGTCTCGGTTATGTCTTTATCAGCAGCATGAAAATGGACTAATATACCTTTCTATCGTCAAATGAATCCAAAAGACCTTCTCCCCCAAAATAGTAGCAATTATACTTCTCAATCCATTTTTGGAGGAAGTGAATAACAACTGCTATAAAAAGATACAATCAATGAGGCAATTCCTTAAAATAAAAATGTATGTTATTAATCTCAACATTTTCAAATATTAGAAAATTATAATACATAGATGTACAATATGGACAAGGCTTTTCTAAATGTGATCTTTACACACGTGGTGTCAAGTGTGATACTGAGAATCCCCATTTTACAGAAGGGTTCTGATATTCCCCAATTTCAAAGTTCTTTTCACTCTGCCAGACTGGTACAATGTGATATTTTTAACTCCTTTCTGATCTCATGTGTAGAAAGAAATAGAATTTCTATTGCCTTAAATTATATTTTCTGAATTCCTTTTTCTTTTCTCTTCTTTCTTTCCTGTTTTTTTTTTTTTTTTGACAGGGTTTTACTCTGTCACCTAGGCTGGAGTGCAATGGTGCAATCATAGCTCACTGCAGCCTCAATCTCCTGGCCTCAAGTTATCAGAGTTCCTACCTTGGCCTCCTGAGTAGCTGGGACTACAGGTGCACACCAGAACACCCAGCCAATTTTTTTTGTTTGTTTTTTTGTAGAGATGGGATCTTATTATGTTGCCCAGATGGTCTCAAACTCTTGGCCTCAATCATTCCTCCCACTTTGACCTCCCAAACTGCCAGGATTGCAGGCGAAAGATACCGTGCCTGACCAACATTGTCTAAATTCGAAATCAGAAAGTGGTCAATTTCCAAAAAGTAAAATATCCCAAAGCCTCCCCATCAACCTCTCCTACCACCCAAGCTGTGTTGGCCGCCTGCTGCTGACTGCCTTCTTCCATCTGTGTCTCCATGCAGCTCCGGCTTCTGTGTAAGCCCCAGTGTGAGCTCCCAAAGGTTAGCAGTGGTGGCCTGTTTCTCTCCATACCTTAAGTATCTAGCACAGAACAAGAACTTAACACAAGCATCCTTACTGTGGAATAAATAAGTCTGAGGAATAAAGTCAGGAGAGAATTTCCATGGAAGGGGACAAATATACAAACTTCCAAGAGGACAAATATGTTCCAAGGGGACAAATATGTGGAGTAAATCTTAGACGTTAATTAAAGGAACCAAGGCAGAAACTCCTGCATTTTGCTAAGACAGAAACCAGACCAAGCAAAAGAATCCAGTCCCAGCCAGGCGCAGTGGCTCAAGCCTATAACTCTAGAACTTTGGGAGGTCAAGGTGGGTGGATCACCCGAGGTCAGGAGTTCAAGACCAGCCTGACCAACATGGAGAAACCCCATCTCTACTAAAAATACATAATTAGCCAGGTATGGTGGTGCATGCCTGTAATCTCAGCTACTCAGGAGGCTGAGGCAGGAGAATCACTTGAACCCGGGAGGCGGAGATTGCCATGAGCCGAGATCACACCATTGCACTCCAGCCTGGGCAACAAGAGCAAAACTCCATCTCAAAAAAAAAAAAAAGAATCCAGTCCCTGGCTCTGTGAGTTGATCAGTGACAGTAAGACAACAAGAACTCGATCTCATTGTGGTCAAAACCGCAGCAGATTTTGTTCTGCATACAACAGCGGCACCAATTTTTTAAAAATGATTTCCAAACCCCCTGCAATACTGGGTTATGCCTACCAAATGCCAAGCAATAAATAGCAAAATAGGGGGGGAGAAATATCAAACAAATGGGTGTTTGAGCATCATAGAGAAAAAGTAATTAGATCCAGCCATATCCATCTGTGTGTCGAGACACACCAACCCGTCCTGTGCTTTCATTCTGAGCAGAGAGTACTGATTAATTGCCAGGTTCTCAAGCTCTTTAAAGTCTGTTTTTAAACTCAAAGGTCTCACATTTTGAAACACAAATGTTGTGGGTTTTACACATCGTGGCCTGGTGTGTTTGTCGTGCACCAATTCCAGACATATCAGCAGTCCCCCACAAAAGGCAAAAATGGAAGGGATGGCGTTCTAGCCAAATGATTCCTCATTCATGTACTCGCCTTTGGATTGAATATACTCTTTGCTGGAGGGTTTGGGGAAGGTAAAGCCGCATGATCCCCTGTTTAGGAGGACACAGAGGCAGGGCTGCCCCCTTGTCCCTGAAAAAACATGGCAGCTGGGTTCACTTCTCTTTACATTGTCCTCCTGGGAGCTGAGTCCTAGGCGGGGGACTCTGGGCCCAGCAAGACAGAAGCTACAGTTCCCTCAAGACAAGTTGTCAGGAGGAAAGATGTTCATGTGTCAACACCACAAAGAGATTTTCATGGGGATTACAATGAAAAGATTCCATCCAGTGTGGATCTGCTTCCCTTTAGCTATAAAGCTTGCATGCCCACTCTGTAACTGACACGCAAATTCGAGTGACTGTAACTTTATAGAAATAGAGCAGCCAGTTATATTGATAATAAAAATAGCTGACATTTATTGGGCACTTACCAACTACTGAATCCCTTCTGCGATCTCTCAGCTGCGTGCAGTCCAGAAAACAGAGTCCATGTCAGGGAGTGCGATCGTGGAAATTAAATAAGGGGAAACTAGATATGAACATGTGGAAACAGGGAGATGAACTGTCCCAGAGACTAGAGAGAGCAGGAAGATGCTGCTCCCTCTGACTTTTTCATTCAACCCCTCCAGCCACACTCAGAGTAACACAGGCCAATGGTGATATTGCCAGCTATGATCTTTGTGCTGTTTGCTGTTCATTACCTTTGTAGTCCTGGCCGCCCCTTCTCTGGAGAAATTCCACTGATTTGGGTTCCCCATCTCCTGCTTTCTTACATTGACTTAATTTGTTTTCTCTCTGTGCTACCAAAATTCCCAGAGAGGCAAAACTAAGTTAAAATTCGGCATGTGGTCTTCCCACCAGAATAGAAGCTCCTTGAAGGTAAGAACCTTGAATAAGTTATCCCTAGTTCCTTGAAGAGTGTTGCTTTGTTCAAATCAGGTGCTCAGTAAATACTAGTTAAATGAATTGATGAACTAATGGTTACGGTATGTGACTTTCCTGACTATTTTAGATGTAGAAAAAAACATTCCTCTGACATTTCTTAAGCTCCAAAGCATTGCATAATTACAGGCTAATAAAAATTTAAATTAATGCAATAATGCCATATTAAATAATTCATTCTTTTTTGTGCCCTTCATCTATTTATTTTATTTTATTTTATTTTATTTTATTTTATTTTATTTTATTTTGAGGTGAAGTCTCACTCTGTCACCCAGGCTAGAGTGCAGTGGCATGATCTCAGCTCACTGCAACCTCCGCCTCCCGGGTTCAAGCAATTCTACTGCCTCAGCCTCCTGAGTAGCTGGGACTACAGGTGCACACTGCCACACCCAGCTAATTTTTTGTATTTGAGTAGAGACAGGGTTTCACCGTGTTGCCCAGGCTGGTCTCGAACTGCTGAGCTCAGGCAATCTGCCCTCCTTGGCCTCCCAGAGTGCTAGGATTACAGGCATGAGCCACGGCACCTGGCCTCTCTTCCTCTTTAGGGTATGAAAAAATGCAACTCAACAACTACTTAATATATCATATTGCTCCTTGGTATTCTTTTTCTTACCTTTGCTAATATCCTGGCTATTCATCCACATAAATTTATTTGAACATTCTAGAATTCATTAAAATAGGCTAACAGCAAATAACCAGATAATAATGGCTGTTAGTAGTCATTGAAAAAGAAGCTATATTTTTGGGGGGCTATTTGAAACTATGATTTGGCTTTTCGGGTTTTTAAAATTTTTTTACTTTTTTAGAGAATGGTCTCATTATGTTGCCCAGGCTGGTCTCAAACTCCTGGGCTCAAGTGATCCTTCTGCCTCAGCTCCGCAAAGCGCTGGGATTGCACACATGAGCCACCATGCCCACAAAAGGAAGCCATTGTTAAGCCAGTTTTAGTTCAGATTTTTTGGGTTTCCTTGTTGTTTGGGGAGGTGGTCTGTACATATGCATGTCCTCTATAATTATTCTCAAATGCAATTACATTTCCAAAGGGAAATTCTTCTCTAGCCTCAGCATCTGGACCAGCAAGTTCATGGAACACTGGATGAGAAGGTCAAGAACTGGTTTCCATCACACTGATGACTGTGCAGTGAACATATGTTCCAAAATGTTAATTGTAGCGGGATTAGAGCTGAGCGTTTTTGTGTATTTGTCTAAATTTTCCACTTTGCATACTGTACTATCTTGATTACAGATTTGATCATAGATTATACTATAGATACAGTATCCTTTAGTATATTACAGATACACTATGTACATAGATTCGGTTACAGATTTCACTATACTATGAGTTATACTATGTACTTTATAATTTAAAACATTCTTTGTAGCTGGGTGCAGTGACTCATGCCCATAATCCCAGCACCTTGGGAGGCCAAGGTGGGAGGATTGCTTGAGACCAGGAGGTAGAGGATGCAGTGAGTTATGATCACACCACTGCACTCCAATCTGGGCAACAGAGTGAGACCCTGTCTCAAAACAAATTAAAATTAAAATTAAATTAAAAATTATTTGTAAAATGAAGAAGTACACTTAAAAACATCATTTTTCTTTTTGTCAGAAGTAAGCATTTTTCAAGTGTAGATAAGAAAGTCAAACCAGAGTCAAAACATAAAATAAATCCAGGACTGAATCTTAAACAAGCACACAGACCCCCAGAGACCATGGATATGCTCTGAGTGGGCCATATATTTGGCTCTAAGGTTTCAGCAGCCAAGTGAAAAAAAAGATACCTGAGAGGTTCCACAGCTCCAACCATCAGACAGAAACAGACCAATTATCCCAGAGAGGTATAATATTTCTTGACTCTGGGCCCAGACAGAAACTTATCTTATAAACTCTCAGAAGAAGGCAGATTCTGCTAGTAGCAAGTTACGTTGTTCAAATCGGCTGAGCTTACGGGCCAAGTTGCTCAGACATCATCTCACCATTGCCTCTTGAGTTTGCCAAACCAACGCAGAGCTGCTACGGGGGCCACCTTCTCCATCACTTGTACCCCACTCTGTTTTTCTGCTGTCCATATGCTGACACTTGATCCTCCTCCTGGCTCTCTCCTGCCCAGTCCTCCCAGTTCCATCCAATATTTAGCTACTTTCCCAGCTCCACATGGTAGATTTGGTTCTCTGAACTCAGTGGAGCTTTTTCCCATCACAGAAGCAGCTCTGAAAACAACCAGCCTTCAAACTCCCTGTACCTGTTTATGGCCTTCATGCCGGCTCACCCCAGGCATGGCCCTGTTCACTCTGCCCTCTTGGCCTTCTAACCAGTCACCCATGGGAGAAATCAGAGACAGCAAACAGCTACTGCCCGGCATGATCAGATGGCATCCAGACCAGTGCCCCTCGCAGCTGGTGCAAGTCCACAATTGCTTGTTACTGGCCCACAAAGAAAAGAGCAGAAACTGATGGCAAGCATGTCAAACTGTGATGGCATTGCCACCATAGCCGAGTGCAGAAACACCAGACTTGTGTTGTTGTGCAAGGTATTGACAATTTCAGGTATGGCTGACTCCAAGTGAGTCATGTGTAGGCTGAGCTACCTACCAGTCATATCCAGGAGGATACTTATCAGTGACTGATGGATTGGAGATCTTTCTCCAAGTTGGCTTGGGAAATGCCATCTAGAGCCCTGCAATCACAGACAATCTCTTGTCTCACCATAATAGCTCTATTAATTATTGCCTTCTCATTGCTCTGCAGGTATTGTGCTAGACAAATTGCATATGTCCTCTCATGTAATTACACCAACTCTCGAAGATAAATACTGTTGAAAACCCCATTTCGTGATTAACGCAATGGAGTCCCAGGGAAGTTCCATAGGTCACCCTAGATCTTGTAGATGGCAATGTTGGTAAATCAGGAATTCAGACCCAAGAGTCTGTTTGAATCCAAAACTCATGCATTTACTATTGTCCTTCACAGAGTGGCACAGCAGCATCTGCTGAATATAAGGAATTGGTAGGAAACCCTAGGCTGTTTTCTCCTAATGGGGAGGAAGTGAGGGGTAGCTGTCTCTCCTACCTTCTCCACCTTAGCTCTTAACAGTTAGAGCCTGTTATTCCTGATTTTAAAACAATTGTTCCCATGGCAACACCCTAGCAGCTTCTCTTAGCAACCATGGCTATCTTTCGCAATTTTAACAAAGTTGGTTCAAATAGAAAATTGCGTTTAGAAAGAATTGGCAGAGGCAAAACCTAAATGACCAGTTAAACAGCGCTTAACTTTTCATACCTCTTAAGAAATTCATAGCAAAGTTTGAAAACAACTAGAAAGCAGTTATGCCAACCTGTATGAGGCATGAAAAGGGAAAAGTCCAGGCTTTCAGAGGCTGGGAGAGTTTTGAATCTAAAATGCAATAATATGGAAGCTTTAAAATACGAATTGACAAAAGATTCATGAATAGAGCATATTTAAGGTTTGTTTGTTTGTTTTTGTTTGTTTTGAGACAGAGTCTGTCTCTGTCGCCCAGGCTGGAGTGTAGTGGCGTGATCTTGACTCACTGTAACCTCTGCCTCCCGGGTTCTAGCAATTCTCCTGCCTCAGCCTCCCGAGTAGCTGGGATTACAGGCACCTGCCACCACGCCCGGCTAATTTTTTGTATTTTTAGTAGAGACAGGGTTTGATCATGTTGGCTAGGCTGGTCTCAAACTCCTGACCTCAGGTGATGCACCGGCCTCAGCCTCCCAAAGTGCTGGGATTACAGGCGTGAACCACCTCACCCAGCCAATTGTGTTGGTTTTCTATTGCTGTTGTGACAAATTGTCACCTACTTAGCGGCTTAAAAAAATACCAATTTATCATACAATTCTGTAGATCAAAAAGTCTGCCTTGCAACTCACTAGGCTAAGATCAAGGTGTTGGCAGGGTGCAGTGATTTCTGGAAGCTCTAAGGAAGAGTACTTTTTCTTGTCTTTTCAAGTTTCTAGAAGCAGCCAGCTTTCCTTACCTCATGGCCTCCTCCTCCTTCTTCAAAGCAAGCAACGTTTAGCTGAGTCCTCAAACTGCCACCTCTTTGATGTCTCTTCTGATTCCCTCTTCTAATGTTAAGGATAATCTATTTTGAAGTCAGCTGATTGGCAATCTGAAGCCCATCTGCACTCTTACTGCACTCTTAATTCCTCTTGGCCATGTAACCTATCATAATCCCAAGTTCCAGAAGATGTTCAGATGTTTTTTTTTTTTTTTGAGATAGTCTTGCTTTGTCACCTAGGCTGCAGTGCAGTGGCATGATCTCGGGTCCCTGCAATCTCTGCCTCCTGGGTTCAAGCGATTCTTCTGCCTCAGCCTCCCAAGTAGCTGGGACTACAGGCTTGCACCACCACACCTGGCTAATTTTTGTATTTGTAGTAGAGATAGGGTTTCGCCATGTTGGCCAGGCTGGTCTTGAACTCCTGACCTCAGGTGATCCACCTGCCTCGACCTCCCAAAGTGCTGAGATTACAAACGTGAGCCACCGTGCCCGGACAATGTGCAATTACTTTTAATGCAAAAAATTGTAATTCCTTTTGCACCAACCTAATAGAGTGTGTCTGTCTTGGTGGAGCTGTTATTCCCCCGACCACAGTAGATACAACAGCATAGGTAGGTTTTTCCAATGAGGAAGAGAATAGTGAGGCTTCTCCTGTCATTTCTCTAGCTCGTGTCCAGGAGCATAGCATGTCCTCACCCTCAGGTACCATGTCTTTTTGGTGTCTTCCTCTTGCCTATTCTGGCTATTGGCTAAAGTCCACCCTTATGAAGAAAAACAAACAAACAAACATGTAACCCAGAATCTTTTCCCCAATCTTTGCCCCAAATTAGTGCAGAGGAGGGTCTGTAGTACAAGGCTCAGCCACGTGAGGGATTGTTACAAGGAGACAGGGGGGTTCTGATGTTAGGGAGACTGGCCTAGACAATCACATTCTTGTGGAAGAACAAGGACAAGGTTGTCTGCCAGTGTGGGATGAGCCCGGGTGGATCACGATGGACTCAGAGCTGCTGATGTTTAACTGAAGAAAAGGGAGATGGAGGCCAAACAAAACAAAGGGGGCTTTCTCCAAGAAGTGCCAACCTTCTCTGTAACACTGCCCCAATGATCCCACAAAGACTTATATAGGAGGACAGGAAACAAATCCCCACGGTAACCGATAAAAAGAAACCCAGGCCGGGCGCGGTGGCTCACGCCTCTAATCCCAGCACTTTGGGAGGCCGAGGCGGGCGGATCACGAGGTCAGGAGATCGAGACCATCCCGGCTAAAACGGTGAAACCCCGTCTCTACTAAAAATACAAAAAAAAATTAGCCGGGCGTAGTGGCGGGCGCCTGTAGTCCCAGCTACTTGGGAGGCTGAGGCAGGAGAATGGCGTGAACCCGGGAGGCGGAGCTTGCAGTGAGCCGAGATCCCGCCACTGCACTCCAGCCTGGGCGACAGAGCGAGACTCCGTCTCAAAAAAAAAAAAAAAAAAAAAAAAAAAGAAACCCAAAGCCATCACTTACCGGGGGAAATGGCTTCCAATGCTGGTTCCTTAAAGAATGAACAAGAACATCCTTGAATCCTGTAGCCAGCTATCTATGGGAACACCCTGGAGGGCATGATGAGAAGAAGAACCCTTATGAGCCTCATGCCCTAGCTGGAGAGGAGAGAAATGCACTCACCAACAAAGTGAATTTACAATTGCAGACACACTCTGTTACAGGCCAAATAATTGTGAGCTCCTTTCTTTTTCTTTCCTTTTCTTTTTTTTTTTTTTTTTTTTTTTTTTGAGATGGAGTCCCCTGTTGTCCAGTCTGGAGCACAGCGGCATGATCTCAGCTCACTGCAACCTCTGCCTCCTGGGTTCTGCCTCAAGCTATTCTGCCTCAGCCTCCCGAGTAGCTGGGATTACAGGCACCTGTCACCACGCCTGGCTGATTTTTGTATTTTTAGTAGAGACGGGGTTTCCCCATGTTGGCCAGGCTGGTCTTGAACTCCTGACCTGAAGTGATCCACTCGCCTTGGACTCCCAAACTTTTTTTGTTGTTTTTCATTTTATTTTATTTTTGAGACAAAGTTTGCTCTGTCAGCCAGGCCAGAGTACAGTGACATGATTACAGCTCACTGCAGCCTTGAACTCCTGGGCCCAAGCCATCTTCCTGCCTTAGACTCCCAGGTAGCTGGGACTAGAGGCATGTACCATCATGCTTGGCTAATTTTCAAATATTTTTGTTAGAGATGGGGGTCTTACTATGTTGCCCTGCCCATGCTGGAGTGCAGTGGTGCAATCAGAGCTCACTGCAGCCTTAAACTCCTGGGCTCAAGCCATCTTCCTGCCTCAGCCTCCCAAGCAGCTGGGACCACAAGCATGTGCCATCAAGCTGGGCTAATTTTTAAATATTTTTGTTAGAAATGGCGATCTCACTATGTTGCCTATGCTGGAATGCAATGGTATGATCGTAGTTCACTGCAGCCTTGAATTCCTGGGCTGAAGCAATCCTGCCTCAGCCTCCCAATGCGAGATGCTTTTTAAAAAGCTAGAGGAGTTTGGAAGAAGGCAGGGGTCCCTGTGGCCTGGGGAGAGAGGGAGAGAGGTCAGCAGAGACAGGTGAGAAAGCAATAAGGCATTGGGGGTAGGCTCTGTACTCACCAGCTGTGTGACTCAGGACAAGTGACTTAACCTCTCGTGCCTCAGTTTCCCTCTCTGTGGAAAGGCAATGATGTTAGGACTCGCAGATGATAGCTGTGATGCAAGCCCTGTGCACAGTGCCAGGAACGTGTTAAGCATACTCCATGTCAGCTTTTAGGCTGCTGTTGTCACTCTGAGGACGCTGAAGGCTTTGTGGAAAGAGTGGCCTTGAAGCTAGGACTTAAAGGGTTGGCCAGGCAGGGACGAAAGCAAAGGTCACGACAAGGCGTGAGGTGCATTTAGGTGCAAGAACAGCCCAGCTGGCATATGTGGAGGAGCCTCAGGGCTTCTGTTGAACCAGGAGGCTGGGGTCAGATTATACAGTGGTTCTAACGGCTGCCTAAAAATCCCCCAGAGAGTCTCCAAATGAATGGGATCAAAAGAGAGACCACAGGCCATTTGCAGCTTGCAGGTATATTCTGGAATGTGTTGTTTTCTAGAAACAGGTTAGAGATCCTGGGCCCCAATCATGCCTTGACGACCCTCTGAGCCTATTTCCTCACTTTTTAAAGAGAAGGGTGACAGTCACCTTCCTCCAAGAGGAGGAGTGAGGATCAAATAAGGGAATGACTTTGAAGTGCTCGGCACAGTGTCTGGGTACAGTAAGTGCTCAAAAGGTATTGCTATTATTATTCCAAAGAATGCATCTCATCTTTCTAGTGGTTTTCCAAATGTGTTTCTGGTGATTTTAACAGAGAAACATTTTTTTTCTTAAAGAAACCTCATATGGTAAAAGAGGCAGGTCTGGTGGACTTGAGGGTTCAAATCCCAGAATCCTTTTTTCTTAGGCGTCTCTCTCCTCTGTGTTAAAAGAAAAAACTTAGCCAAATTAAATGCAACAGAGTTTAGTTGAGCAAAGAATGACTCAGGAATCAGGCAGAATCTCAAGCCAGAGTAGGCTGAGAGAGGCTCCAATGCAGCCACGTGGTGGGAGATTTATGGACAGAAAAGGGAAAATAATGTAGAGAAAACAGAAGTGAGGTACAGAAACAGCTGGATTGGTTACAGCTTGGTGTTTGCCAACACCGTTTGAGCCATTGGCTGCATTTGATTGGCCAAAACTCATTGATTGGCACAAGAGTAAGTTACAGTCTGTTTACACCTCCATCTAGGTGGTAGTTCACTATGTACAGAGAAACCTTTAGGCCAAACTTAAAATATGTAAGGATGCAGCTTTAGGCTAAACTTGACTTAATGTCTGTAAACCAAAAACAATATTCTAAGCACCCCCTGGCTGACTGAACAGACCCCTTCTTGGCCAAGGGGACTGCAGATAAACCTGAAAAACTGAATCCCCAGCCATGATGGGGAAATTGGACACAACTCATTACACCCCCTCCCTTTGGAGTTTAGGTACAACTGTCCAGCATTAACATTAAAATAGAGATCATAAGACTGACAAAATTGACTCTTTGTGGCAATAAGATACCAAACTCCAACTTGATTCCAGTATAGCATCACATGTCAGATAGCAGACCCTAAAGGAAATAAAACTATTTTACCCCAAAATATATTTCTTTGACATATTTTGAAATAGCCATGCAAAGCTGTCTTTGGTGGGGGAAATTTGCACTTGTAGAGAATCTCCATTAATGCAACCAGGACTTTCCTGGGTCTAGGAGACATTAACTAAGATCCTGACACCTTTTTAACTCCAAAAATAGGCATTTACCATCCATTCTCTCTGAAGCCTGCTACCTGGAGGCTTCATCCACATAACAAGAACCTTGGTCTCCACAACCTCCCTTATCTTAATGCAAACATTTCTTTCCACCAACTTCAAGTCTTTAGATAAAGCGTAACTCATCAAACAATATCTTGGAATCTACCTATAACCTGCAAGCCTCTGCTTCGAGATGTCCTGCCTTTTCAGGCCTGAACCAATGTAAACCTTCCATGTATTGATTTATGTATTTTCCTGTAACTTCTGTCTCCCTAAAACTTCTGTCTCCCAACTGCCTTGGACACACTTTCTCAGGACCTTTTGAGACTCTTCCCTGGAGCCATGGTCACTCATATTGGCTCAGAATAAACCTCTTTAAATGTTTCATGGAGTTTAGATTCTCCATCAACACCCTCAAGGAGCCTCCCTGGAGAAGGGCCTTTCAGTGGTCTTCTGACCTGGTCTAGCTCCTCCACTGGGGAGGCCCATAGAGGAGGATGACTTGGCTAGAGCCACATCTTGTAGCCTCTTCTTCTGGGACTAAGTCTGGTTTCTGAACCACCAGTTCAACAAAAAACCACTTCACTAAGTCAGTTCGATGAAAATCAATGCACTTTACATTAGTCCACCAAATGCCAAGTCACCAAATGACTAATTTCTGAGTTTCCAAATCATCAATAAATTGCTATTTAAACTCTTGATTAGGTTTGCCACAATTCACGTTGGATCCATGGGCAGAAATGTGGGGACCCTGGACGCAATCCAGATACCTATAATCACCCAATGGGTTCATTTGCCTGCTGCCCACATAAAGCCAATTTATCATGACAGGAGAATTGCAATAGAGAAAGAGTTTGATTCATGCAGAGGGGGCTGAACAGGAGCCTGGAGTTTTATTACTCAAATCAGTTGCCTTGAAAATTTGGAGACTAGGGTCTCTCAAAGATAGTTTGGTGGGCAGGGAGCCAGGCAGTGGGGCATGCTGATTTGTTGGGTCAGAGATGAAATCATAGGCAGCCAAATCTGTCCTCTTGCACTGAGTTGGTACCTGGGTGGGAGCCACAGTACTGGTTGGTGAGTCCAGGTGGAGCCATCAGTCATCAGAAATGCAAAAACCTGAAAAGTCATCTCAAAAGGCCAATCTTGGTTTCTACAATAGTGATGTTATCTGCAGGAATAACTGGGCAAGTTGCAATATCTTGTGATTTCTGGAATAATGGCTGGTAATCATTGAACTGTACTTACACCTTAGAGAATAGAGGCCCTTCTCATCCTCCTAACTTAGTGGCCTTTCATTAGTTTTACAAGGGCAGTTTAGTTTAGGGGAAGGGCTATTTTATAAACTATAAACTAAATTTACCACAAAGTTAGCTTGGCCCATGCCCAGGAATGAGGAAACATAGCCAACATGTGAGACTAGAAGCAAGATGAAGTCAGCCATGTCAGATTTCACTTACTGTCATAATTTTGCAAAGATGGTTTCATACCTTCACATCCCCAGCATATCCCTTGGGTCTCCCTCTTACTGCCCCCAGTTCCCACCCACTCTACCATTAGTCTGCACCCCCACCACCCTGAGTATCTTCCTCTACCTCTCAAAGTGCTGGGCTCCTCATTCTATCCTCCAGCCTCCGTCCTCTCCATTTACCCTGCCCCAGCCTGTGATACTGTGTTATAATCAAAAATAGATATTTGGTCTTTGTCTCTGGTTCTTGGCACAGATCTTCTAAAACCCTTAGAATTTTCTGAGTGATGAAGGTGGGAGGAGCATCTTTTGTTATTCTTAGCAAGTTCTTTAGTCATACCTGAGTTTCTGCTAATGAGGTGACTGTCAGATGATGGGAGCTGGTTGTCAGAGAAACCACCTATGTAATTAGAAGATTGGAACTTTTAGCCCCACTCTCCCATATTCCCCCAAATCATCAATAACTTGTTATTGGAAGTGGAGAGTGGATGGAGATTGAGTTCAATCACCAATGGCCAATGACTTCAGCAATCATGCCCACATAATGAAACTGTAACAGGACCACCAGATTCGTATGCACACTGCACAGTAACAGACCAATACACTGAGACAACAGGGTTTGCAGCAGAGAAACAGTCTAATGATCACAGGGAAGCCAAATGAGGAGACAGGAGGAACGCTCAAAACCATCTCTCCAAGGAGTTCTGGGCTGGGAATTTTGAGGGGACCATGGCAGGCAAGGGACTGGAAAATTGGGATCATTGACTGGTTGAGGAAAGGGGGATGAAATCATCAGGAAGTGGAAACTGCATTCTTTGGTGAGTCAGCTCCTTGTGGGATCCTTCAGACCAGCTGATGTCAGTAGTTTCATTGGTATGCAAGACCTGAAAGAATATCTCAAAGAGAAAATGCAGTGTTTCAGAATACTTAAGTTGTTATCTATAGAGCTGTTAAGAGGACAGGGTCTGTGTGATTCTGGGGCAAGAGTCACCAAGCAACTATGAGGAAGCAGGTCAGAGAGCAAGGTGACCTAATGTGTAGGGATGGTTTCAGAACTTCCATAAAAAACCCCAATGAACAGGATTCAGGGAGCTTCTGGGCTGGTGAACTCATTGTGGTGCTGGGAGGGTGGTGTGCCCAGAGAGGGTATCGAAGCTCTGCAAACCTTCCCCACACCTTCCTCTATGCACGACTGCATCTGCCTGTTTATTGATATCCTTTATAATAAACCATTATATGTAAGCAAAGTGTTTTCCTGAGGTCTGTGAGCCTTTATAGCAAAGTATCAAAACTGAGGAGAGGGCTGTAGGAGCCCTGATTTGTAGCCAGGTCAGACTGGAAACCCATTACTTACCATTGGCATCTGAAGTAGGGGCAATCTTGTGGGACTGAGCCCTTAACCTGTGGGGTCTGCACTAACTAAAGGTAGTTAGTGTCAGAATTAAATTAACTGTAGGATACCAGTTGGTGTCTGGAGAGTTGGAGGCTTAGCTAGTACGGGAGGGAAAATCTACACATTTGGTGTCAGATGTATGTGCAGGCATGGTGGCTGATGCCTGTAATCCCAGCACTTTGGGAGGTCAAGGCAGGTGGATCACCTGAGGCCAGGAGTTCGAGACCAGACTAGCCAACATGATGAAACCCCATTTCTACTAAAAATACAAAAATTAGCCAGGCAGGGTGGAGCACGCCTATAATCCTAGCTACTTGGGAAGCTGAGGCAGGAGAATCACTTGAATCTGCGAAGTGGAGGTGGCAGGAAGCCGAGATCATGCCACAAAACTCCAGCCTGGGCAACAGGGTGAGATTCTATCAAAAAAAAAAGAAGAAATATGTGCAAAGAAAAAGTTTTCTTTGGAAGCTTTGTTTCTGCTTACTCTCTGCTTTCTGCTCTTTAGTGACTTCCTTACTGGATCAGCAGCCAGGCTGTGTTCTCAGCTGACCTTTTTCTCTGTCTTCCTCCATCAGAGGGTCCCCTCTCTGATCCTGGCTCACTAAGCTCCAGCCATGGGGAGGTAGGATGAAGGCAAGATGAATAGTTCTTAAAAGCTTATTCCGAAGGCTAAATGAATGCTGATCACCTAAAATGTCACTGAAATTTTCTAAAGCGTAAGAAAGAAAGGAAGAAAAAAAAACTTTTGGCCAGGCACGGTGGCTCACGCCTGTAATCCCAGCACTTTGGGAGGCCGAGGCGGGCGGATCACAAGGTCAGGAGATCGAGACCATCCTGGCTAACACTGTGAAACCCTGTCCCTACTAAAAATACAAAAAATTAGCCAGGCGTGGTGGTGGGCACCTGTAGTCCCAGCTACTCTACTCGGGAGGCTGAGGCAGGAGAATGGCATGAACCTGGGAGGCGGAGCTTGCAGTGAGCCGAGATCAGGTCACTGCCCTCTAGCCTGGGTGACAGAGTGAGACTCCGTCTCCAAAAAAAAAAACAAACAAACAAAAAACCATTTTATCCAACAGTTTAAAATAAATACTTTTTTTTTGTAAATTTAATAAATACTTTAAATTTATTTGGCAAATTGATCATATAGTGACTCACCTGACAGCAAATTGATTTATGGAAAACTGACCTAGAACTGGAACTCAGACCCCAGATTTCCAGTCCAATTTACTTTCTTTGAAATATTTCTCAGTATTTTATTGTAAACCAAGTATGTCTTTCATAGGATGGTTACATTTGGTTTCTCTTCTCTCTTTATTTTTGGCAACTTTTTTTTTCCAAAAATTTTGAAAAAAAATTGCACTCTCCCAATTTTTTGCAAACTTGCTTTCTTTTTAAAAATGCAATGTATTTAAGATGTTAATGGCCTCATTTTAATTTGCATATATTCTTGTTAACGATGAAATCTACTTAATGTGAGTTGAAACTAAAAGCTTGTCAGGGTAATTCACAAACATTTAAAAACTCTGTGGCAATTCTAGGAGGATTCCCTGTGAATATTCTTAAGGACTTTCAATGGATATATTAAGTAGGCCTTGGTATTAACAGAAATAGCAAACAAATTAAAATTGGACTCTCGGTAACAATTGGGAGAAATGAATATTCACACACTTCAGCATGAAATTGAATCTAGTTGTCCTGGTGCCTCTTGCTCATTCAAGGAGAACATGTTTATTGAAGAACCATCATGTTAAGTGTCACTTAAGACTAGTATGGAGTCACCTGGCTTCAGTACATTTCTTTCAGAAATGCGCAAGAGGACAACATCAATCAAATTTAAAATAATTCAGCAAGGCGTGGTGGCTCACGCCTGTAATCCCAGCACTTTGGGAGGCCAAGGCAGGCAGATCACCTGAGGTCAGGAGTTCGAAACTAGCCTGGCCAACATGGTGAAACCCCATCTCTACTAAAAACACAAAAAAATTAGCTAAGTGTGGTGGCGTGCACTGTAATCCCAGCTACTCGGAGGCTGAGGCAAGAGAATCGCTTGAACCCGGGAGGCGGAGGTTGCAGCGAGCCAAGATCGCACCACTGTACTCCAGCCTGGGCAACAGAGCAGGACTTTGTCTCAAAATAAAATAAAATAATGCAACCCTCATTTGCCATTGATGTTAACCAGCAATCTCTATTTGGAGTATGCAGCACATTTTCATGTGGGCAACATAACTTACAGGAATATACATTTTATTATAATTCCAGCCCCAGAGACATCTCAAAATCCATTCTCAGGCCTTTGAGACTGTCCTGATGATCTATGAGTAATGTCTAAATGATCCCCCATTTCCACAGTAGATTACAACTTCAAGAACAGTGCCCATTGCTGTAAGGATGAATCCCTCTTCAGGTTTAATCTCTTTGAGAATTCAGTTTGTAGCAAAAGAAAAATACTTTCTTATGTATTTATACATTAAAAAATAAGGCTTAAAGTGGAGCTTTAATATGTGATCCCATTTAATCTTAACAATCTTTGGCAGTAGGTATCATCATCTCCACTCAGAGATAAGGGATCTGAAAGCTCAGAGAGGAAAAGTGATGTTTCTAAGTCCACACAGCTAATGAAAGGGAGACAGGCATTACATTCGTCTCCAGGCTGTAAGACAATAATCAATAAGTTAAAGCAACAAACATACATCACTCATCATATACAGAGACTCTTCCTGATTGGAATTTCTGTGGGGAAAATGGGAGCTACACTGACTGACACTGATTTGACACCTCATCTATTACCTGAGTCATTTCAAATACTCCCTAATATGTCACCTTCCCTAAACCATTCTATTCACCCCTTGGTGCCACATCAATCTCTATGAAATGCTCATGTCACCTCCCTGCTTAAAATCCCTTAAAAGAATCCCAGTCATCCTTAAGAATAAAGTCAGTTTTCCCAACAAGACGTCCAAAGCCATTTGCAGTCTACCCCCAGCCTCTCACCCTTCCTACTCCTAAACCCCCTAGAGTTCTGCCAGGTCTGGTTTCCTCTACCTGAGATGGTCTTTCACCCAAGGCCAACTCACAGTTGTTTCTGCAAAGCACCCAAGGCCAACCCACAACACCCAAGGCCGACTCACAGTTCTATCTGTGAAGCTTTCCCAGATATCCCTCATGGTCTCAGGCAGAATGTGTCCTCCCCTTCCTGAGTGACCATCTGTTACAGCACAGTCACATTGCTTTATAACGAGGTCTGTTGCCCATCTCTCTAACAGCACCCTGAGTTTCCAAGTAAATAAATCAATAATTTAATTCATTTTTAGCATGTATGAGTATGCTCTCTTCCGACCAACCCATAACCCACTTGTTTCTTGGTATGCTAGAACAGAGATCAATAAACTACACTCCATGTGCCAAATCTGGCCTGATGCCCGTTTTTGCAAAGTATTTTGTGTTGGAACACAGCCATGCTTACCTGTTTACATATTGTCTACGGCTGCTTTGCACCACAAGCCCAGAATTGGATAATTGCAACAGAAACTACAGAGCCTGAAAAACTGAATGTATTTATGATCTAGGTCTTTACAGAAAAAGTTTACCAATGCCCATGATGGAAATAAGGTCAAGAATTAAAGTCAACGTGTAGCACTCTTGAGTGGAGGAAAATAAAGACACAATGGGATACTGGGGACTTGAGTTCTAATCTACATTCTGGGACAGGTTTACCCTTTCATATTGGATAAATCATTTCCCCTATCTGGATCTCAGTTTCCCCATCTGTAAGGTAAGAAAGTTAGATGAGACCAGCGGTTTTCAAACTTTGTTTTGTTTTGTTTTGTTTTGTTTTTAGCCCAGGACTTTTTCCCCAAAAGTAGACTATGGCAAACTCTATGCGTAAAGCAGATAAAGAAAGAGCTATTCTGATAAGGGATGGGTGGGAGGTGTATTAATCTGTTCTTATGCTGCTAATAAAGACATACCCAAGACTGGGCAATTTATAAAGCAAAAGGGTTTAATAGACTCAGAGTTTCATATGGCTGGGGAGACCTCACAATCATGGCTGAAGGCGAATTAGGAGCAAAGTCACGTCTTACATGACAGCAGGCAAGAGAGCTTGTGCAGGGGAATTCCCCTTTATCAAACTATCGGATCTCATGAGACTTATTCACTATCATGAGAACGGCACAGGAAAAACCCGTCCCCATGATTCAATTACCTCCTGCTGGGTCCCTCCCAGGACATGTGGGAATTATAGAAGCTACAATGCAAGATGAGATTTGGGTGGGGACACGGCCAAACCATATCAAGAGGCAAGCGCCCTGCCCCACCATCTCTCACCCTTTTCCTTGCCACACAGGGGATCTTGGAGGAGTCCCTTAGATTCCCTGACAGTTTCAAGTATAAAAGCCGTTGATCTAACCCCTCCCTGTAGTCCCTTCCACAGCATGGTCCACGATTCTGTCTAAAGCACCATGTAAACTTCCAAGATTCAAAACCATCCAAAATCAAATCCCTCTTTTAGAATTGTTTTTTCATACCAGCTGAGACCAATCGACCTGGAAAAAATTAAATATTATCAGACATTTCCTCCATGTATTCACAGGAGAGCCTAAAGTACAGCAGAAGGTTGCTGGAATGAACTGGCGCTTTCTGTGGTCTATCCTGGGAGTTTTAAAACACAAAAACAGAGTGTCAGCTTCTGGGAGATGTACAACATGAGGGACTGTCACTCCAGTGACGGAGTACTCCTGGGAACAGTGCTGCTTCAAAAGGCATCAGGCAGGTAATGATATTGTGAGTTATTTGTTGCCAGACCAGGGAATATTTTGAGTGACTCAGGAGTGCTTTGGGGCAGCATCAAAGAAGATTTGGGTCCCTAGGTGGGAGGCTTCCAAAAAAAGACAGCTGGTCAGAGGTCCTCAGCGTTTTGTACTCTGGGCCAGGAGTCATGGCCTTTGGATAGTCTTCCCTCTGACACCCTGTGTACCTGTGACTAGTTCCCTGGGTTCTCTGGGGCCTGGTTTTCTAGTCAGTAAAATGATTAGGTTGTACTAGATAATGAATGAGCACTTACTATGTGTCAGGCTCTGTGCCTAGGGGCTTTGCAGACAATAAGTCAGTTGATACTTACACACTCTACACATAGAGTCTCCATTTTATGAAAAATGTAGATGCTAAGTCTCAGAGACATTGAGTTACTTACCCAGAATCACACAGCTAGTTAATAGGATGGCAAGGCTTTAAACTAGCTGTAGAAAGAGTCTTCCAAAATGATTAAGGTATGGCTCTTTATTTTATTTTATTTTATTATTATTTTTTGAAACAGAGTCTCACTCTGTTGCCCAGGCTGGAGTGCAGTGACTGCGATCTCGGCTCACTGCAAGCTCCATCTCCTGGGTTCATGCCATTCTCCTGCCTCAGCCTCCCGAGCAGCTGGGACTATAGGTGCCTGCCACCATGCCCAGCTAATTTTTTTTTATTTTTAGTAGAGACAGGGTTTCACCATATTAGCAAGGATAGTCTCAATCTCCTGACCTCCTGATCTGCCCATCTCAGCCTCCCAAAGTGAGTTATGGCTCTTAAGTGAAATAGCTTCTGTTTAAATCTTGGTTCTGCCACTGATAGGGTATGACAGCAGTCTATTTGTTTCAATGCTTTGAGTTCAATTTCTTTATCTATAAAATGGGTATGATGGCACTGCCTCTACTCACTTCATAGAGTTGTTTGCAATCTACCCCCCTCATAGATGAGAGAGTTTTCGTAAAACACCTGGTAGATTCTAAGTCATAATTAAGGGTAACTATTATTCTCAACTGGCTAAATCCAAAACCCATGTTATTAGCCACTCTGTAAAAACCAGGCTTTCCCCCGACCTTTACTGTGCTAGAATTCCTGTCAATGTCAATGATGACCTATGTCAGACCAAAGCCAGTGGTTGTTTTTTGTTTGTTTGTTTGTTTTCTTTTTTCGTCTTTATCACATCCCTTAATCCGTCAGTAGCATTTAACAGTGCTGAGCACCTCTCCTTGAAATATTTTCTTCTCCAAGCTTTGGGACACCACATTTTCCTTGTTTTCTCCTCTGTTCCTTTGCTAGGTTCTCCTCCTTCCCTAGACTCCTAAAAGTAGGCAATCCCAAGGTTCTATTCTCATGCCCTTCTCTTCCCCATCAATACTCTTTTCTTACATCATATGTGTGGTCTTACAACTTCCAATGAACTAGCAACTCTCAAATTTTTTTCCCCACGTTTAACTTGCCTCTGAGCTTCAGATGTCCTAATGTAAAAACATGAAGGACTCAAAGGTTTTTCAAATGTAACACACCCCAGACAGAATGACTGGCTCCCTCTCTATGCATATTGCTCTCTTCTTTCCAAGTCTTGTCCATAAATATCACAACCATTTACCCAGTTACTCAGGCCACAAACCTAGGTGTCATCTCTTATTTCACACTCCATTTCAAATTCGTTAATAAGTTATTTCTTCTCTGTGCTTCTTTTTTTTTTTTTAAGACAGGGTCTCAATCTATTGCCCAGGCTGGAGTGCAATGGCATGATCATAGCTTACTGCAGCCTCGAACTCCCAGGCTCAAGTGATTCTCCTGAGTAGCTGGAACTACAGGTATGTGCCATCATGACTGCCTAATTATTTTATATTTTTGCAGAGATGGGGACTCGTCTTGTTGCCCAGGCTGCTCTCAAATTCGTGGGCTCAAGCAATCCTCCCACCTAGGCCTCCCAAAGTGCTGGGATTTACAGGCATGAGCCATCACACTCAGCCTGTAAAATATATATTGACTCTAAAATATGTATTGACCCTGACATTTTTCACCATGCTCACTGCTACAAGCCTAGTTCAAGTCACTATCCCCTACTGCCTGGATGACTCTAGCAGTCTATTCCCAACCCAGCTGTGCCTACTTTTAAGTATTTAAGTACAATTTTGTTTGTTTCCAAAAAGTGTACTGGATTTTAACCCTAAGTTTCTTTAAGGGCTCAAGAACTCTTGAATCAATACAGTCAAGCTGCCGCTTTCTTTTTCTTTTTCTTTTTCTTTTTTTTTTTCTTTTTTTTTTGAGATGGAGCCTCACTCTGTTGCCCAGGATGGAGTGCAGTGACGCGATCTTGGTTCACCACAACCTCGGCCCCCCTGATTCAAGCGATTCTCCTGCCTCAGCCTTTCTAGTATCTGGGACTACAGGCGCAAGACACCATGCCAGACTAATTTTTGTATTTTTAGTAGAGACAGGGTTTCACTATGTTGGCCAGGCTGGTCTCAAACTCCTGACCTCATGATCCACCCACCTCAGCCTCCCAAAGTGCTGGGATTACAGGCGTGAGCCACCGTGCCCGGCCACTTTATTTTTCTATATTAAGAATGGAACAAGTCATGGATGAGGTCATATTTTTCTCAAACTAGAGGAGAATTTGAGTTCAGCTGCAATTCTATCTACCTCTTCCTCACTCTGCCTTAACTGCCTGACCCTAATGAACCAAGTTACATGTTGAGCTTTCCTAGACTTGTTGGCATTTGGCTGGTCCAAAATGATGCAATCATGATAGGCCATGATAGAGGTTGTGGCCCAGAAAAAAATATGAGTGAATTGTATTTGAGCAAAAACTAAGCCAAGACAAAGAAATGGACCCAAGTGGAAGCTAAGCCAACAAAACATCATGTCCAATGAGGTACGACAAACTCAATTATTTTTATTTTTTATTTTTTTTAAGACAGAGTCTTGCTTTGTCGCCCAGGCTGGAGTGCAATGGTGCAATCTCAACTTACTGCAGCCTCTGCCTCCCGGGTTCAAGCAATTCTCAGGCCCCAGGCTCTGGAGTAGCTGGGACTGCAGGTGCATGCCACCACACCCGGCTAATTTTTATATTTGTTATTACAGACAGGGTTTCACTATGTTGGCCAGGCTGGTCTCGAACTCCTGGCCTCAAGTGATTCACCGGCCTCCTAAGGTGCTGGGATTACAGGCATGAGCCACTGCTCCCAGCTAACAAACTCAATTCTAAACTAGGAGTATATGAAGAACCAGGGGTCCTATCAGAAAGACTGGGAGCACGATTCTGGACTTTCAGCAGGTAGTGATTCTCTGTGTTGATGCTCATTCAATAGATATGTTTAGGATTTACTGTGGTTCTTTTGAAATGAAACTGTGAACTTAAAATATCTGAGACAGGTCTCAACCAATTTAAAAAGTTCATTTTGCCAAAGTTAAGGACATATCCATGACAGAGCCTCAGGAGCTCCTGGTGACATGTGCCCAAGGTGGTCGGGGTACAATGTGCTTGTATACATTTTAGGGAGACATGAGACATCAATAAATATGTGTAAGATGTATATTTGTTCAGTATGGTAAAGCAAGACAACTTGAATTGGGAGCTTCCAGGTCATAGGTAGATAAGAGAAAAAAAGTTGCATTCTTTTGAGTCCTTGATCAGCCTTTCACTGAATACACACCATTTAGTCTGGCTCAGTGAATCTGCATTTTTACATAAACAATAAGACAGAGGAAGCAATCAGATACTTGCTTGTCTCAGGTGAGCAGAGGGATGACTTTCTGTTCTGCTCGTGTGAAGATAAGCTATTCGTTTACATTGCCAGGATGAAATTCAACAGTACTGTTTTAGGGTCAAGATCTTGAGGGTCCCAAGGAATTTCCTTGTGGGAAAACTATGAGGGAGGCATGTAGCTCTTCTATCCTTTTAGTTATCTTATTTAGGAATTAAAATGGGAGTCAGGTTTGCCTGATGTAGTTCCCACCTTGACTTTTCCCTCATCTTAGTGATTTAGGGGTCCTGAGATTTGTTTTCCTTTCAAAAAACCGTTTTCATCTCTAGTTGAAACAAGAGCATGCATATTGCAGAATCAAGCCATATCAGGCTGAAAGAAGACTAAGTGTCAAACCACATCAAAGATCTCATTTTGAGGCCCAGATCTCCAGTTGATCTGTCAATTATTTTTTAATACATTTCATAAAAACGTAGCCAAACCCGTGCAATGACTGTTGCAAAAGCTAACTGGTTTAAATTTCTTTATTTTTGTCTGCAATTGCATCAATTCACTTATATATCACTGATCGCATTGAGATCCCTTACTCTATTTCTGAGATTAACAAAAATAAAAGGCAAATATTTGTGTATGTTACAGCATAATTTTCAAAAATGTTAAGTCACAATTCATGCAAATATAAAAGTAAACACTTGTCAACAATTTTTTTCTATTCACTAATTGTTGAGGGCACCAGTAAGATGTTAAAACTGGTTCAAAGAACATTTATGGAACCAAGTATTTATAGGTAACTTAATAAAGCACTGTTAGGATAAAAACTTCTGGACTAGATACAAAACCTTCTAATGTCCAGTAGAGCAATAAACTGTAAACTTCAGAGTTACATATTCCATTGGACAGAAATTATTTACATCTCCACTGGATAAAAATCTATAAAAGTTATATAACTTCACTAAAGCTGGGAAATTTAATCAATTTTGAACAGTGAGTTAACAAGATAAAGGCTTCTAAACTTGAATGTGCCTGTGTTTCTGAAGGACAGTAAAAGAGCGTGTCATCCCTCTTTTGCCTATTTCAAAATTTTGGATAATTCACCAGTTTCTTTACCACACTTCTGGAATCATAATTAATCTACCATAAAGTCTGGTATCAGTGTGTTTGTCCTGATTATGTAGATATGTGTAAAAAAGTGTTTATTAACTATGCTTGCCTCATTAATTTTGCTCTGAAAATTGACAGTCCTACAATATTGAGCAAGTTCTGTGTGGACATTTTCATAAAGAATCTTGGATTGGACTTTTGAAAGCCTGTGTCATTTGCTCTTCCATCCTAAGGCTAGGAAACCAAGCACAAAACACTCTCCTCTAGATTTTACTTGGTGGTGTATGTACCTATATATAGGAATGAATTCTCCTTTTCTTGAGGTCCCCCCAATTTACAAAGGTCTCTGGCCTAGAAGTAGGTGGGCTTCTCTACCAACTCTGACACTGGAATACTGCAAGCCAGATACCAAGCTAGTTTCCTTAGGAGGAATTTGTAGGCATTAGCTTCACATAAATGGTCAGAATTTTATTAGTCAGGATTCTCCAGAAAAACAGAACCAATAGGATATATTATGAGGAATCGGCTCACATGATTAAGGAGGCTGAGAAAGCCCACCATTTGCCATCTGCAAACCGGAGACCAGGGAAAACATAGTGGTCTAATTCAAGCTGAGCTCAAAGCCCTGAGAACTAGGGGAGCTGATGGTGTAAATCCCAGCAGGCAGAAGAATACCAATGTCCAAGTTCAAGCAGGCAGGCAGGAGCATAAGGGGCAAATTCCTTTCTCCACATTTTATTCTATTTAGGCCCTCAAAGAATGGCATGATGTCTACCCACACTGGGGAGGGACATTAGTTTAATGCATCCACAGACCCAAATGTTAATCTCTTCTGGAAATACCTTTCCAGACACATCTAGAAATAATGTTTAATCTGGGCACTGCCTGGGACAGTCGCGTTGACACAAAAAATTAACCTGTACAGTAATTTTCCTTAATAGTGGGTTGATCATACTTAGGTATTAAATGAGAAATCTTCTCTAGTATAATACTTCAGGTATGGCCTTAATTGCACAATGTACTTGTCCAATTATATTTTGGTTAAAAAAAAGAGAGCAGATTCTTATGAACCCATGAAAACTATATTGCCATAAAAAAATAAGGAGGCAGTCAAAATATCTTTGAATTCTGGAGGAACCGATGAGAATCAGGTACCATTAAAAGTTGCACTACAGTTTTTTGGTTTTGTTTTTTTTTTTTTTTTGAGATGGAGTCTTGCTCTGTCACCTAGGCTACGGTGCAGTGGCACAATCTCAGCTCACTGCAACCTCCGCCTCCTAGATTCAAGAGATTCTCATGCCTCAGCCTCCTGAGTAGCTGGGATTACAGGTGCCCGTCACTGTGCTTGGCTAATTTTTGTATTTTTAGTAGAGATGTGGTTTCACCATCTTAGCCAGACTGGTCTCAAACTCCTGACCTCATGATTCACCTTCCTCGGCCTCCCAAAGTGCTGGGATTACAGGCATGAGCCACCGTGCCTGGCCTCACTACAGTTTAAAAGTAGAAGCTACTAAGTTGAGGGTTAGAGAAGAAGAAAGGGAGAAGGCTTCTCTTATTTTCTGTGTCCATAAAAATACAGAGCATTAAAAAAGAGTAACAATATTACAAATGATATAGTTTGGATATTTGTTGCCTTCAAGTCTCATATTGAAAGTTGATCGCCAATGTTGAAGGTGGTGCCTGAAGGATGGTGTTTTGGTCCTGGGGGTAGATCTCTCATGAATGAGTCGGTGCCATCCTCAAGGTAATGAGTGAGTTCTCACTCTATTAGCTCCCTCAAGAGCTGATTGTTGAAAAGAGCCTGGCACCTCTTCCACTCTCTCTCTTGCTTCCTTCCTCTCACCATGTGATGTCAGCTCCCCTCTGTCTCCTGCCTTGATTGGATTCTTCCTGGAGTCCTCACCACAAGCACATGCTGGCGCCATGCTTCTTGTATAGCCTGCAGAACTGTGGGTAAAATAAACCTCTTTTCTTTATAAATTACCCAGCCTCAGGAATCTCTTTATTACAACACAAATGGACTAAGACACCAACAAATAACCAGAAGTAACTGTCCCTCATCAGTCAATTCAGTCCTACATAATTAATTCTCATTCTGCTGGGTTTGGGGAGCCATCTGATTTCATGATGTAGACTAAAAAGAATTATTGAAATGCTGACTCTGTCTACTGATGCAATTTGAAAGTTGTTTAAGCTCTGTCAGCTCAGAAGCCTGTACCCAAGAATTTATTCTTAGACATAGCAATAGTTTAGGGTAGTTGGTACTGATGGGATTATAGGAAACATTACCCTAAAATATGACACTTTGGCATACTGAGTATTGTATGCTGAAGGAAAGATCACTCTGACCTTCTCTTTTTCTGACCTTCTCCCACCTTTCTCCCCTGAGGCCATAAAAAGAATTCTCTGACCTACCTCCCCTGAAAGTCAGTCATAAGAACTTTATTCCTGAGGAGTCTTACTCTATTCTCAGTAAGGATGGGATGTCATAAAGTGACACAGAAAAGAATCTAAACAAACAGGCCTTGCTAAGTTCCCTTCCCCCCCCCACCAAGTTTACTACCATTAAATCATACACCTTTTTGTCTAATCATGTTTCTCCACAGTCACATGCTTCTTTCATCATCCTTAACATAAAAAATACAGTTTTCGCTGTATAGGTATCTATAGGTCTTTATTTCTGAAGGCTCCCGGGTCATGTAAGACATATGAAATAAATTTGTTATGCTTTTCTCTTATTAATCTGTCTTTTGTTATAGGAGTGTCAGCCACGAAGGCTGAGATTGGTGAGAAAAAGGTATTACTTTTCCTACCTTACAGTGCCATCCTTTTCCAAGAGGATCTGAGGCTGACCTTCCTGTTGTAGATGAATTCTAGCCTGTAGGACCTTCAGGCTAACATCAGAAGAAACCAGAAACATATTTTATTATGAAACGGAATGTCTGTGGTTCATTTGTAAAATAATCAATAATATCAGAATGGAGAAGAAAATTTTATATTGGAGTAGAGTGCATGACTACTTCATCAGAGTTTGATCACTGTTCCCCTTGAGGGTAAAAACCTATTATACTAACCTGTGGATAGTATGGCAATGACCAGTCTCCAGAGGCATTTCTGGAACATGTACAATTTCTGAAATATTGAAATTAATAACATTTCAACTATAGAAGCCTAACCTAGGAAAAGCTGAACATCTCTTTTGCTTTGACGATTTTTCCCGTGAAGCTATTATAATAATGCTGGGTTAATTTGGAGACATGAAGAAAAATGAAAGAAAAAAACTAGTTGTTTCTGGCATATGTATTTTTATAAGGTGAAACAGCAAATCTTTATGATATTCAGGGGACCTCTTGAAAATCTAAAATACTGTTTTCGGTGTATGAAATATTCTCAAAAAGTTGTTTTATTTTTCTTAATTTAGCATCCAATCTTGGGCAAAATCAAAAGAGTTATCAAAGGAGATTTGGTCACCTGATTAACAGAGAATCATGAATGCCTGAGGAAAACTAATTTGGTTGTGTATTTCATCAAAGTGACAATAAAATATTACAAAATGTTTTAAAGGCAACATGATTGTAAGAAATCTGTTGTTTACCGTGAAGATCTTTTGTTCTTTGTTGTTATTTTTAAATAATCAAAGATGTGATAAAGTCAACATAAAGACCAGAAAATTATTTTAGTGAGACACAGACCCTACTCTCTAGGTGAGAAGAGCTGTAAACACAATTTATCATTTTAACAGAGAGAAAGCCAAATTCGAGTTATGAGTTAAAATAACTGTTAGTAAAAAAGGTTTTGTGAGATTTTTTCTCTTTTTTTTACGTAATCTTGTGAAAAAGTCCATCAAATCCAGCAAACTTTGCCAAAATGTTAACACATTTTGTATCTTCTTTGCAGACTCTGGTGTTATGAACCCAAACGAATAAGTTTCATTTCCTTCAAAGCCTCTGTATCCTGTTGTACGTACTCGCTAAGCCCTTGTATTTTGGAACAAATACATTTCAGGACAAATCAACTCTATTTTTCTTGAAAAACAAAACCTAATCCCATCATCTTGCATATGTTCTTGTATTTCTTCATCACTATAGCTCCTCATATATCTTTAAAAACCAATATTATTTTATTGAGGTATAATTTACATATGGTTAAATTCACCCATTTTTAGTGTACGGTCCTGGAGTTTTGGCACATGCATTCAATCTGGTAACCACCACCACAATGAAGGCATAAAACATTCTTTAGACTACAACTTCAAAATCCCTTAATTCAGCGGTCCCCAACTTTTTTGGCACCAGGAACCAGTTTGTGGAAGACAATTTTTCCACAAACCACGAGTTGGGGGATGGTTTTGGGACAATTCAAGTGCATTCCATTTATTGTGCACTTTAGTTCTATTATTGTTACATTGTAATATATAAAGAAATAATTATACAACTCACCGTCATGTAGAATTAGTGGGACCCCAGAGCTTGTTTTCCTGCAAATGGACCGTCCCATCTGGGGGTGATGGGAGACAGTGACATATCATCAGGCATTAGATTCTCATAAGGAGTGTGCAACCTAGATCCCTCATATGCACAGTTCACAATAGGGTTCATGGTTCTAAGAGAATCTAATGCGGCCACTGATCTGACAGGAGGTGGAGCTCAGGCAGTAATGTGAGTGATGGAGTGCCGCTGTAAATACAGATGAACCTTCACTCTCTCCTGCTGTTCATCTCCTGCTGTGCAGCCAGCCCAGTTGCTAGTAGGCCACAGACCAATACCAGTCCATAGCCTTAGAGTTGGGGACCCCTCCCCTAATTCCCTTTTTTCAATCAACTCTTTAGCCCACTCCCAGCCCTTGCAACCACTGATCTGTTTTCTATCCTGTATTGGTCTGTTCTTGTGTTACTATAAAGGAATGCCTGAGACTGGGTAACTTATAAAGAAAGGGAGTTTATTTGGCTCACAGTTCTGCAGGCTGCAGGCCATACAGAAAGCATGATGCTGGCATCTGGAAGCTACAATCATGGCAGAAGGGAAGGAGAACTGGTGTACCACTTGGGAGAGCAGGAGCAAGAGAGAGGGGAAGTGCCACACACACTTTTAAACAACCAGATCTCACCAGAACTCACTCACTGTCATGAGGACAGCACCGAGGCATCCGTGAGGGATCTACCCCCATGACCCAAACATCTCTCACCAGGTCCCACTTCCAACACTAGAGATTACATTTCATCATAAGATTTGGAGGGAACACACATCCAAATGATATCATTCTGCCCCTGGCCCCTCACATCTCGTGTTCTTCTTTCATTATAAAATACAATCATCCCTTCTCAATAGCTCCCCAAAGTCTTAACTTGTTCCAGCCCCAACTCAAAAGTCCCAAGTCCAAAGTCTCATCATCACAGACTCAAGGCAAGTTCCTTCTCCTTGTGAGTCTGTATTTACTCTTATGTTATAATGAGTTATTTACGCCTAAGACACAAATAGTAGTGCAGGCATTGAGTAAAACATTACCATTCCAAAAGAAAGAAACTGGCCAAAAGGAAAGGGGCAATAAGCCCCATGCAAGTCTGAAACCCAGCAGGGCAGTCGTTCAATCTTAAACCTCAAAAATAATCTCCTTTGACTCCAGGTCTTGCATCCAGGGCAGTGGTGCAAGCAGTTAGCTCCCAAGACCTTGGGCAGCTCCGCCCTGTGGCTTTGCTGAGTATAGCCCCTGTGGCTGCTGTCGTGGGTTGAAGCTGAGTGCCTGCAGCTTTTCCAGTTGCAAGGTGCAAGCTGCTGCTGGGTCTGCTATTCTGAGGTCTGGAGGGCAGCAGGTCCCTTCCCACAGCTCCACTAGGCAGTGCCCCAGTGAGAATTCTATATGGGGCTCCAACACCACATTTTCCCTTGGCACTACCAGAATAAAGGTTCTCTGTGAGGACTCCACCTCTGCAGCAGGCTTCTGCCTCAGCACCTAGGCTTTTCCATAAACCCTCGGAAATCTAGGTGGAAGCTGCCAAGCCTCCTTCACTCTTGTATTCTATGTGCCCACAGGTTTAATACCAAGTGGAAGCCACCAAATAATTTAGTAGATTTATATCTAAATAGTCCATGGTTTTGGTGCCGTTATCAATGGTACTGGGTTTTTTTCATTTCAAATGTTTCATTTCATTTCAAATGGCTTGTGCCCTCCGAAGCAGCAGCCTGAGTTGTACCTGGGACCGTTTGAGCCGCAGCTACAGCTGGAGCAGCTGAGATGCGGGAGTAATGTCTTGAGGCTGAGAAAGGCAGCAGCATCCCAGGCCTGGCCCCTCAAACAGACTGGCCTGGCTGTCTCTTTGATAGCACCAAGTATGAGGCCTGGCCCCTCCAACACTTCTGAAATGTCTATGGGGCCTTTTTCCCATTGGATGTTAGTATTTGGCTCCTGTTTAGTCATGCAAATCACCTGCAACTTTTTCAACCTTTTATGTTCTGCTTCCCTTTTAAATATAAGTTTCAACTTTAAGTCATTTCTTTGCTGCCATATCTGATCATACGCTGTTATAAGAAGTCAAGTCATCTGTTGAATGCTTTGATGCTTAGAAATTTCCTCTACCAGGTGCCTTTTAAGTCATCACCCTTAAATTCAAACTTCCACAGATCCCTAGGATATGAACACAATGCAGCCAAGTTATGTGCTAGAACATAATAGGACTGACCTTTACTCCAGTTCCCAATAACTTCTTCATTTCCATCTCAGACCTCATCAGCCTAGCCTGTACATATTTCTATTAGTATTTTGGTAACAACCATTTAACCAGTCTTTAAGAAGTTCCAAACTTTCCCTCATCTTCCTGTCTTCTTTCGAGCCTCCAAAGTCTTCCAACCTATGCCTGTTACCTAGTTTCAAAGCCACTTCCACATTTTTGGGTATCTTTATAGCAACACCCTGCTCCTGGTACCAACTTTCTATTTGTTCATTTTTGCATTGCTATAAAGGAATACCTGAGGCTGGATAATTTATAAAGAAAAGAGGTTTAATTGCCTCATGGTTCTGCAGGCAGTATAAGCGTGGTGCTGGCCTCTGCTCGGCTTCTGGTAAGCCCTCAGGGAGCTTTTACCCATGGTGGAAGGCAAAACAGGAGAAGGTATGTTGCATGGTGAGAGTGGGAGCAAAAGAGAGAGTGAGGAGATGCCACGCCCTTTTAAACAACCAGATCTCATGACAACTTGCTTATCACCAGAGGGTGGTGTGAAACCATTCATGAGGAATCCATCCCCTTGATCCAATCACCTTCCACCAGGCCCCACTTCCAACATTGGGAATCACATTTCAACGTGAGATTGGGAGGGTACTGATACCCAAATCATATTATGTCCATCTAGTATTGACTATTCCAGAATGTCATCTAAAAAGAATTGTACTATATGTAGCCTTTTGAGTCTGGCTCCTATCACTTGGCATAATGCATATGAGATTCTTTTGTCTAGTTGAGTCTCAATAGATTGCTTCTTTCTTTTGCTGAGTAGTATTCCATCGTAGGGATGTACACCCTTTTTTATCCATTCGCACGTTGAAGAACATTTGGATTGCTTCCATTTTTGAGCAAATTATGAATGAAGACTCTACAGACATATGTGGATAGGCTTTTGTACAAATATATTTCCATTTCACTTGGGCATATCTAGAAATGAGATTGCTGTCTCTTATGGTAAGTGAGTCTGGTTTACTTCCAAATATCTCCAGTGTGATCGTACTATTTTGCATCATCACTAGCAACATATGAAGGTTCCAGATGCTTCACATCCTCACAGGCACTTGGTATTGTTAGATTTTTGTTAGTGATGGTGGTGGTGGAGGTGGTGGTGGTGGTGGTGGTGGGTTTTAGCTATTCCAGTAAGTATATAGTGATATCTTATTATGGTTTTAATTTACATTTCCTCAATGAATAATGTGATGAGTATATTTTCATATGCTTATTTGCATTCCTCCCCCTTTATTTTTAGAGACAGGGCCTTGCTCTATAACCCATGCCAGAGTGCAGTTGCACAATCCTGGTTCACTGTAATCTTGAGCTCCTAAGCTCAAGCAATCCTCCCGCCTCAGTCTCCCAAAGTGCTGGAAATACAGGCTTGAGTCACCACACCTGGCCCTTGCACTCCATATGCCTTCTTTAGTAAAGTTTCCTCTCGAATCTTGTAACTGTTTTGTAATTGAGCTGTTTGTTTTCCTTTGTTGAGTTTCGGGAGTTCTTTATGTATTCTAGATGCAAGACCTTTATCTGATATGTGTTTTACAAGCGTTTTTTGCCAATCTGTGGCTTGTCTTTTCATTCTTTTAATAGTGTCTTTTGAAAGCAAGAGTCTTTAATTCTGATAAAGTATAATTTATCTTTTTTTTTCCCTTTTAGGAATTGTGGTTTTAGTGCCATACCTAAGAAATTATTGCCTCACTTAAATGACAAAATTATTCCGTGTTTTCTTCTAGAAGTTTTGTAGTTTGGTCTTTACATTTCGTTTTATAATCTATTTTTGTATATGGTATAAGGTATGAATTACAATTCATTCTTTTGCATGTGGATATCCAACTGTTCTAGCATTTATTGGAAGTACTATAATTCATTATTGTCCTTGCATCTTTCTTCAAAATCAACTGGTCATATATGTCAGTCTATACCTGGACCTGCTATCCTGTTCCATTGATCTACAGGTCTATTCTTTTGCCAATACCACACTGTTTTGATTAGTGTGGACTTATAAGGTGTTGAAATTAGGTAGGGCAAGTCCTCCTACTTGGTTCCTTTTAAAAAATGTTTTAACTATTCTATATTTATTTCCTTTTTCTATATCAATTTTAGAATCAGTGTGACAATTTCTACAAAAAACCCACTGGGATTTGATTGGCATTACATTGAATTTATAGATCAGCTTGGGAAGAATTAAAATCTTGACATACTGAGTCCTCCAATCCATGAATATATCTCCATTTACTTAAAACTTATTTTATTTTACTGATCATTTTTGTGCAGTTATCAGCATGCAGATGTTGCAAATAATTTAGTAGATCTATACCTAAATAGTTCATGGTTTTGGTGCCATTATCAATGGTACTGGAATTTTAAGTTTTCATTTCAAATGTTCATTGCATATATATACATACATATAATATATATATTATATATATATATAAAACAATTGATTTTTATACATTGACCTTATATATTCTTTCTTTTTTATTTTTTTGACAGAGTCTTGCTCTGTTGCCCAGGCTGGAGTGCAGTGGCGCAATCTTGGCCCACTGCAACCTCCACCTCCTGGGTTCATTCAAGCGATTCTCCTGCCTCAGCCTCCTGAGTAGCTGGGATTACAGACGCGTGCCGCCACACCCAGATAATTTTTGCATTTTTAGTAGAGACGGGGTTTCACCATATTGGCCAGGCTGGTCTCGAACTCCTGACCTCGTGATCCACCTTCCTCGGCCTCCCAAAGTGCTGGGATTATAGGCATGAGCCACCGTGCCCGGCCTGTATTCCATTATTTCTAAACTTACTTATTAATTCTAGCACTGTCTTTGTATATTCTTTGGGATCTTCTGGGTAGACTCCCATGCCATCTGAGAGTAGGAATACATTTATTTCTAATCCACATGGCTTTTATTTCTTTTTGTTGCTTTTTTTCCTTACTGGGCTGACCAGGACATCCAGGATAATGTCAAGTAGGAATGGCAGAACATCTACCCCAAAGCTACTCATAACTTTTAGCCAGAATAAATCACTTGTATTTCACAGGGAAAACTGGGAAGAAAGTAGATGAAAACCCACTGTCATACACAAACATTTTAGTAGACTACCAAAATTCATGAATACACGCAGCAGAATTTTCTTTTTTTAAATTTTATTTTACTTTAAGTTCTGGGATACATGTGCAGAACGTGCAGGTTTGTTACATAGGTATACATGTGCCGTTGTGGCTTGCTGCACCCATCAACCCATCATCTAGGTTTTAAACCCCACATGCATTAGGTATTTGTCCTAATGCTCTCCCTCCCCTTGCCCCTTACTCCCGGACAGGCCCCGGTGTGTGATGTTCCCCTCCCTGTGTCCATGTGTTCTCATTGTTCAACTCCCACTTATGCAGTGTTTGGTTTTCTGTTCCTGTGTTAGTTTGCTGAGAATGATGGTTTCCAGCTTCATCCATGTCCCTCCAAAGGACAGGAACTCATTCTTTTTTCTGGCCGCATAGTATTCCATAGTGTATATGTGCCACATTTTCTTTATCCAGTCTATCATTGATGGGCATTTGGGTTGGTTCCAAGTCTTTGCTATTATAAATAGTGCTACAGTAAACATGCTTGTGCATGTGTCTTTATAGTAGAATGATTTATAATCCTTTGGGTCTATACCCAGTAATGACCATATAGCTGGGTCAAATGGTATTTATGGTTGTAGATCCTTGAGGAATCACCACACTGACTTCCACAATGGTTGAACTAATTTACACTCCCACCAACAGCGTAAAAGCATTCCTATTTCTCCACAGCTTCGCCAGCATCTTATAACAGAATTTTCTATAACACCACACTTCTTCTCACCTTCTAATGTAGTAAAATGAACACGTTTCCTTAATAGTAACAAGTTCCCAAACGTATAGCCACTATGTAGCATAAAAAAAAATAAATCAAGTATAGTGTTTGGTAATCAATGTTTCATTATTCATTCTTTTTCAGAAATTACCTAGGTCTTCAATAATTAGCAATTAATCAACTCAATTTAATATTAATTCAAGGTTTCAAATTACCTGAGGATGTTGGAAATTACCTACTAACAAAGCTAACATACTACAAGGCATACATACTGCTATAAAACCATTTTTCAGAATTATTCAATTTAGCTGAAATTTACATTTTTCATAATCTCAAATGCTATGTAAGAATGAGTTTATTTGAACCAATATGAAACCAATATGAAAAAGATGAGAAGTTTATGAGAAAAGAAACCAAAATCTTCACACTAACAAACTCAAATGGAAACACATTTAGTAATTACTTATGTTTTAAACCAGAATTATTGACCCAGTTTTTCCAAAGATTTACCTTAACTATGTGAACTTGGATTCTTATATTAATGTTTCTAAGCTAACATTTTTAGTAAGAGGGATTTTTTTAAACCTTCCATTTTAAAGTGTTAGTTTCCTTATTTTCTGTAAATTTGAGAAATATGAGATTTATATAAGTATCAATTTGTGAAAACTCATCAGATCACTGCTCCTTTAAGATATTTAATAATATAATCCGGAGGTAATAAAACATTTCATATTTGTACAATGAGATATCAAGGGGGTTTCTGAATCACAGACACACAGCCCTCCAGACACAGAAAGCTCATAGCTTCAGTCTCAAGTTAAAAATAATCCCAGAAACATTAAAAAAAAATCACTGGTTTAGATCTCAAAGGGCTGTCCTTCTAGGGAACATAAAATTCGTAATTGATTCGTGCTCACAAATAGACAAACATACAAACAATAAAAAAAAAGACTATCAAACCAGAATCTCTGTCTCACCCAGCAGAGAATAGACCTGTTATCCACCTATGGAAGATCACCAAATAGTCAGATCATAAAACCAAATCCCCAATTATTACTAACACAATTAGATTAACAAACCAAGAACAAAGCAAAAATACAACATCTGTAGACATGAAAAAAAAAGAATCTGGAGAAACAGAGAACTGGCAAAGTTAGAGCTCTTATTGCCAACTGGGATTCTCTCTTGACGTGGGCTTAAGCTGCCCATAAAATGCATTTCCTTCTGTCACCCAGGCTGGAGTGCAGTGGCGTGATCTCGGCTCACTGCAACATCTGCCTCCTGGGTTCAAGCGATTCTCCTGCCTCAGCCTCCTGAGTAGCTGGGATTACAGGCATGTCCCACCATGCCCGGCTAATTTTTGTATTGTTTTTTAGTAGAGACGGGGTTTCCCCATGTTGGCCTGGCTGGTCTTGAACTCCTGACCTCAGGTGATCCGCCCACCTCGGCCTCCCAAAGTGCTGGGATTACAGGCGTGAGCCACAACACCTGGCCTTGGATCATTTTTCCTAACAATAAAATAAATAATTAAATAAAATTGTCCTACATGGGAGATAAAAGCTTCATGCCCTTGTGCCCTTGTGCCCTTGGAGAGCAGAAATAGTAAAATCAATTGCTCTTGATGGATGAAAAGACATTCCCTTCCTCTTGCCCAAGACTACAAAGCTATTTCAGGTCAGGGCCAAGGCTAGAACCTCAGATTTCAACTCCCACCATGCTACGGATGTTCTCTGAAACATTTAAAAGGTCTGGGTTCTTTAAGACAGTATCAAGGCAGTTCAAATTAATAAAATAGATATAGAGTGTTAACTAACACACAGGCACCTGTTAGAGAAAACTGACTCCCCTAGGGAAGTCAAAGGAGCGTACCACTTTCTGAGAGGGTGGACAGACATTCAACGTTTGACATTCACAACAGTAAAATGCCCTATGCAGCTCTCTCTCCCTGATCACCCCCTCCAATATCTCTTTCTGAAATGGCTCCTTCCACAGACATTGTGGACCCCTTCCTGAAGGAGTTCTTATCTGGCCAGTTCCCATCCTGTCTGGTGACTCAAAGAGGCCACCAGTGAGGGACAGACTTAGCTCTAAAAATGAGACACTCGGAGTGATTGGCTCTTCAATTCTCCCCATGCCCACTCTGCAGCGTGGCCAGAGGGTTAGCTTTGCTACTTCTGCTTCTTATGGTCCCCTCCAATGACTTTGGGATTTTTATTTTAACCTGCTCTGTGCTTAAAAACAAAATAAAGAAGGCCGGATGTGGTGGCTCATGCCTGTAATCTCAGCATTTTGGGAGGCAGAGGCGGGTGCATTGCTTGAGGTCAGGAGTTCAAGCCTATCCAGACAACATGGTGAAACCCCGTCTCTAGTAAAAATACAAAAATTAGTTGGGCATGGTGGTGGGCACCTGTAATCCCAGCTGCTCAGGAGGCTGAGGCAGGAGAGTCGCTTGAAGCCAGGAGGTGGAGGCTGCAGTGAGCCGAAATCACGCAACTGCACTCCAGCCTGGGCGACAGAGACTCCACCTCAAAAAATAATAATAATAAATAAAAAGCCAGATGCAATGACTCATGCCTTAATTCCAGCAGTTTGGGAAGCCAAGGCAGGAGGATCACTTGAGCTCAGGAGTTCAAAACCAGCCTGGGCAACATAGCAAGACCTTGTCTATACTAAAAATAAAAAATATTATATAAGTAAATAAAATAACAAAAAAAATAATAATAAAAGTGATCAAGAAGCTATGATAAAACTCATTCAGGTTCCCACCTCCTTATGACAATATTTTCCAAACTGCTGGAATATATATTGTTTAACCTTTATACAGAAAAATGAAGCATAGGTACATGGAATGATTGTACCACTTGGTGATATCTTACAAGGTGAACATCCTTATAACCACCACCCAGGCCAAGAACTAGAACTTGGCCTAGCTAGCCCAGAAATCCACTTCCTTTCTCCAAAAGTTACCAGCTAAATCACAGTTTAAGTGGAGCAGAGTCGAAAATATTAGCAGGCATCAAATGGAGCCAACGATGGTTGTAATCTGGCGTTTTTCTTCCATATTAACTTTTATGTTAATGTGTGTCTGTGTGTGTATTTGTGTGTATGTTACTGAGTCACAATGTATCACTGTTGGTCACAATCCAAAAAGTTTAACAGGCCGGGTGCGGTGGCTCATGCCTGTAATACCAACACTTTGGGAGGCCGAGGCAGGTGGATCATGAGGTAAGGAGTTCAAGACCAGCCTGGCCAACATGGCGAAACCCTGTCTCTAACTAAAAATACAAAAATTAGCCAGGTGTGGGGGCGTGCGCCTGCAGTCCAAGCTACTTGGGGGTTGAGACAGGAGAATTGCTTGAACCTGGGAGGCACATGTTGCAGTGAGCTGAGATCGTGCCACTGCATTCTAGCCTGGTCGACAGAGAAGACTCCATCTCAAGAAAAAAAAAAAAAAAAGGAAAGTTTAATAGCCACTGCACCAAACTGAATTGTGAGGGAGGGGAAATGAGAGAAAACTCCATGATTTTGTTTGTTCCCTAAAAATGGGCAGACACAGGCTCGGTGTCACGTGTTTCCCACTTTGTAATGACTACAGCAGCTTCCCTTCTCACCTATCAGAACATTTCAGAAAACATAAAATATTTTTAAAGAACATGAAATATCTGTCCATATTATGCAAAAAAATGAATGTGGAATATTATAAAGAAAGCAATTAATCCACACTTAAAACTAATTGCCTAACCCAGTGGGTCTTTAAATTATTCATTAGTGCTATTTAAAAATAATTGCAGTTTATGAGGAAAACCCATTATGAATTTCTTTTAAGAACTGAAAAGAAAAGGTTTCCATTTTTATTATTTACCAACTGCTTACGGCTCTTGAAACCAGACCCATTTTTAGACCAGCTTAATATGCTCATTATCCTGCTGCCCCAATCAAATCATCTTTAACATTTATCATATCAACATTTCACGAGATTCCCTGTAATGGATTCTGAACTCACAGAGAGGACAAAGGTATTGTCCAAAAAGGACATAACCAGCTACTCAGGAGGTTGAGAAGGGAGGATCACCTGAGCCTGGGAGGTCGAGGCTGCAGTGAGCTGCAGTCGTGCCACTGCACTCCAACCTGGACAACAGAACAAGACCCTATATCAAAAGAAAAGAATATGAAAGGTATGTTCAAAAAGAAAAAAAAAAATAAGACATTCAGAGGACAAAGGTATTGTCCAAAAAGGACATAACCAGCTACTCAGGAGGTTGAGAAGGGAGGATCACCTGAGCCTGGGAGGTCGAGGCTGCAGTGAGCTGCAGTCGTGCCACTGCACTCCAACCTGGACAACAGAACAAGACCCTATATCAAAAGAAAAGAATATGAAAGGTATGTTCAAAAAGAAAAAAAAAAATAAGACATTCAGAGAACAAAGCAAGAAACCACTACCAAGATGTAAGAATTTCCTGAGATTAAGTTCATGCTTATTCCTGCATCTCCAACTGAGTAACCTGGGATTTCCTCATGAGTTTTGCTAAAATTAGTCAAGACTTCTGAATTCTCTCACTGCTGTCTTCATTTACTTCATGCCACCAGAAACTAAAACTGAAAAAATAAATAAATAATATAAAAGACACATGGACAAGTTCACATGAGATGGGACAGAAGGGTTCACAGCCAAATTTATTGGAACCAAAGCCCATGTGATTTTATTTTATTTTTTTGTTTGTTTATTTTTAGAAATGGGGACTTGCTCTGTTGCCCAAGCTGGAGTACAGAAGTGCAATCATACCTCAGTGCAGCCTGGAACTCCTGGGCCCAAGTGGTCCTCCTACCTCAGCCTCCCAAATAGTTGGGACTATAGTGGGGCACCACCATGCCTGGCAAATTTTTAAATTTTTGTAGAGTGGGGGTCTTGCTGTGTTGTCCAGGCTTTGTCTTCAACTCATGGGCTCAAGCAATTCTGCTGCCTTGGCCTTCCAAATTGCTGGGACTACAAGTATGCACCAACATGCTGGGCTAATGTAAAACTCATGTCGCATTCTTAGTTTCTCTACTTTTTTTTTTTTTTTTTGAGACAGAGTCTCACTCTGTCATTCAGGCTGAAGTGCAGTGGCCTGATCTCAGCTCACTGCAACCTCTGCCTCCTGGGTTTAAGCAATTCTTCTGCCTCAGCCTCCCAAGTAGCTGGGACTACAGGCGTGCGCCACCACACCCCGCTAATTTTTGTATTTTTAGTAGAGACTGGGTTTCACCATGTTGGCCAGGCTGGTCTCGAACTCCTGACTTCAAGGGATCCACCTGCCCTGGCCTCCCAAAGCACTGGCATTATAGGCGTGAGCCACCATGCACAGCCACTTTATCTACTTCTTTGGTTCCTTCAAAGAATACTCAGAATTGTAGCTGTGAAATGGTAGAACCTAAAAGGACTTCTGTCTAGTTTAGTGGTTTTCAAACTGTGTCCCCAGGCATGCAGAAGTAGGAGCATGAACTGATGAGTTGGCAGGCCTGGGGTCCCCAGCTCCATCTCAATGCCTATCCCCAAGTCTCCATCACCAGAGCCTACTTTGAACCTTTTTAAGATTTCATTTGGGCCTGGTGCAGTGGCTCACACCTGTAATCCTAGCTACTCGGGAGGCGGAGGCAGAAGAATTGCTTGAGCCAGGGAGGCAGAGGTTGCAGTGAGCCGAAATTGTGCCACTGCACTCCAGCCTGGGCAACAGAGTGAGACTTTGTCTCAAATGAAAAAAGAAAAAACGATTTCATTTGAAAAAGGCATTCTTCCCCTAAAAACAAAATTCAAAATTTACTCTCATGATGTAGATAAGAACACCAAGGCTCTACCCTCTAGCTCCAGGGTGGACCCTTATTAGCTGATGCCAATAGACTGTATCTCCTACCCCTGACAACAGCAATTGGTTCTGTGATGGGGACCTCACTCATTTGAGGCTAGGAAAGCAAACAGATGTTTTCTGAAACTACTGGGAAAAGCCATCTCTCTTCAGCTGACTCTGATCTTTCCTTTAAATCTTCCCCTTAACCCTCCCCACAAAATCTTTTCTAATTGGTTGATCATAGATTTTTTGCATCAGTTTTGTTTTTTACATATAACATCAAAATATTATTTATGCTTTTTATTTAATTTTTTATTTTTTCAAATTTCTGTTTATTCATTTTTGGGGGGTGGGGTGGGGGTAGGGACAAGAACTCACTGTGTCACCCAGGCTGGAGTACAGTAAGTGGAATGATCTTAGCTCACTGCAGCCTCCAGCTCCTGGGCTCAAGCAATCCCCGTGCCTCAGCCTCCCCAGCTGGGACTACAGACATGAGCCACGATGCCCAGCTAATTCTTTAAATTTAATTTTTTGTAGAGATGGGGGTCTTGCTATGTCTTTAGGCTGATGTCAAACTCCTGCCCTCAAGCAATCCACCCATCTCCCCACCTCAGCTTCCCAAAGTGCTGGGATTACAGCCCTGAGCCACCCCATCTGGCCAAAATATTGTTTATCTTGAGTTGTTTTTGGCAGCTCTCCTCTTAAATTTGGCATCTCAGACAAGTGCCTCAATCCCCTAGGCTTAGTCCCTGCCCTGTCGGGATATGGAGCCCATGGTTGCCACAACTTTTTTTTTCCCCACTTTGAGGAGACACTTTGGACTTGATATGGAACCACCACATAGAGCTTTCAGAGGAAGTCATCATTACATAAGACCAAGAGAAACCAGGTCCTAGTTATTTGAGCTGCTAGATCAAGCCTTGCCTGAAGCCACCATACCACTTGACAATTCACAAGAATTGGCGAATTCTCTTTACTCTATAAGCCAACTTGAATTGTTTTATTTGAACTGTAACTGAAATAATGCAAACTGATGCAATGACCAGTTACACGGGGTTAGCCCCTGAATGTCTTGTTGCTTTCAATGTGTGGTCAATTAAACAGAGCCAACATACCCTTGATGGCTATGGTCAACTTTCAGCAGTTTTCATTGTAGAGTAAAATTTTATTCTATCACTTATGCGGGCCCTTTTATGCACCAGGCACTGTGATAAACACTCCATATATATTTTATGAAATATTGAGCTCCCATCAAAAAATATATATATCAACTGGGTCAAGCACAGTGGCTCATGCCTGTAATTCTAACACTTTGGGAGGCGGAGGTGGGCTCATGGCTTGAGCTCAGGAGTTAGAGACCAGCCTGGACACCATGGGGAAACCCTGTCTCTACAAACCAAAAAACAAAAAACAAAAAAATTAACCAGGTGTGGTGGTGCACACCTGTGGTCCCAGCTACTTGGGAGGCTGAGGTGGGAGAATCACCTGAACCCAGGAGGTTGAGGCTGCAGTGAGCCACAGTCACACTACTGCACTTCAGCCTGGGGACTGGAGTTACACCCTGTATCAAGAAAGAGAGAAAAAGATGTCAGCTGGTACTATTATTACCCACATTTTAGAGGAAGGGAAATGAATGAATAAGGAAAAGAGCAACATGTACAAGGTCACTTGAGCAGTTGCAGAGCAGGAATTCACAGCCAAAATTGTCTGAACCAAAGCCTGTGTTTCTTAATGTCTCACGCAATCTGGTCTCAAGATTTTAGCTACAGGCCAGGTGCAGTGGCTCACACCTGTAATCCCAGCACTTTGAAAGGCTGAGGTGGGCAGATCACTTGAGGTCAGAAGTTCAAGACCAGCCTCGCCAACATGGTGAAACCCTGTCTCTACTAAAAATACAAACATTAGCTGGGCATGGAGGCATGCACCTATAATCTCAGTTACTTGGGAGGCTGAGGCAGGAGAATCACTTGAACCCAGGAGGCAGAGGCTGCAGTGAGCTGAGATCACACCACTGCACTCCAGCCTGGGAGACTAAGTGAGACTCCATCTCAAAAGAAAAAAAAAAGGCCAGGCGCAGTGGCTTACGCCTGTAATGCCAGTACTTTGGAGGCCGAGGCAGGCGGATCACAAGGTCAGGAGATCGAGACCATCCTAGCTAACACAGTGAAACGCCGTCTCTACTAAAACTATAAAAAAATTAGCCCGGCGTGGTGGCGGGCGCCTGTAGTCCCAGCTACTTGGGAGGTTAAGGCAGGAGAATGGCGTGAACCCGGGAGGCGGAACCTGCAGTGAGCCGAGATCACGCCACTGCACTCCAGCCTGGGCGACAGAGAGAGACACTGTCTCAAAAAAAAAAAGAAAAAAAAAATTAGCTATTATAGAAGAGAATACCTGCTATGTAATAGATGCTCAATAGGTATCTGAGGAATGAATGAGTGAGTGAATGAATAAGTCTATTAATTAATTGAAAGGTGAAGTGTTAGGCATTTTGATGCACCTTCATTTCATTTGCATTGACCCCTCTCCATAAATAGAGTGCAAAATTGCAGCCTCTTTAGGTTAAGTTTCACTTAATACAGGTGTTTCTATTAAAGGACATGGTTCTCAGGGGTGCATGTCATCAACATGATTGAATACAAATTTCTGAAAAAAAAAAAAAACACAGAGATAGAATAATAGCTATCCATCTGAAAAAGTCCCATGGCAAATCAGGTCTCCTGACTTCAAAGGGCTTGAGAAGGAATCAAACCAGGTCAAGGACTTGAAAATGTCTTGAAAAATATAAGGCAATACACAACTGATGATTAGTATGCTTTTAGATTTATTATCTTCATTCAAAGACTTACCATACAAAAAGCCTGCATTGAATGCTAAATTTCTTTTACTCTAAGACCTAGAGCGATCACTTGATGAGTACGTCTCTAAGACAAAATCAATGCAATGTTAAGCCATAAGTTTATCTGACAAAGGTAAATATCACAGTACAGAGTTCCAGGTTTTTAGCATCCTTACCCAAAGCAATAAATAAACAGACTCCTCCCAAAGTAAAGATGGAAATATAATTATTCAGTCTCTTCATGTTAGATTTGCCCAGAAATTGAAATATTGTTAGCAAACACAGATTTAAATTTTGTGCTCCAATGAATTGGTAGATCTCTTAGTTTATTGTATTGATTTCTCTACATTCTACCACAGGGAAATTATGCAGACTCTTAGAGTACATGAAAAGAATACTGATAATTATGGAATTTGCTGCTTAGCTTGAAGATAATTTCATGAAACTCTTCCGATCTATTGGCATGGTGGCCCGTGTGTGAGTGTATCGCTGCCGTTCTCAAGACCTGTGATCTGACGCATGTTCTAAGTGTGTTTGAAACTCTGAGCTAATTATTCAATTCAGCAAATAAAGTCAGCCCAGACAGTTTAGCCTACGGGGCTGGTTGTTTAACACATTTAAGTCATCCTATAGTCCGAGGCTGGGGGTCACAATACAGTCTGCTCCCAATCCCACTGGCAGGACAAAAGTGCCTCTTCATAAAATGGAAACCCCAGGGGTCCACCCCAGATCTGTAGGATAAGCATCGGAACCCAGGGCATCTCTATTTAAATGAGCCCTTCAGGTGCCTCTCCTGCACAGCCAGGTGAAGAAAACACTTCTATGTTCATAACAGCACAGAATCCAGTAGGGACCAAGATAATTCATTCCTTTGTTTTGTCTGCATGATGCTCCATATAACTGCTTTCATTTTATATTTTGTTGATTTTTTACAAGACCCGTTGGACCCCCTGGCTGCTATAATGTCACAGAGCGACAGGCTCAGAGGCTTTGCTTCAATCTGGAAAAAACAACCATGCTTAGGATTTGAGAGAATTGTATTTATCACAGAGTCTTAGAGTGTGTCTGTTTCAGGCCGCCCATCTGCATTCCCTGTAGTGGTTCTTCCCCACTGAGGTTCAAAGTCGTCTCTCTGTTATAAATAATAACCCTTCAATTTTATGAAGACAGTAAATCTCTCAGTGAGACTCTAAACACCTCTTTTCACCTGACCATCCAGACAAAAAAAAAAAAAAACACTAATGGAGGGCAATGGAAAGCATACAGGCTTTTAACTAAAAATAGAACTACCATTTGATCTGGCAAACCCACTACTGGATATAGATACCCAGAGGAAAAGAAGTCATTATACAAAAAAGATACTTGCACACGCATGTTTATAGCCTCACAATTCGCAGTTGCAAAAATGTGGAACCAGCCCAAATGCCCATCAATCAACAAGTGGATAAAGAATCTGATAAATATATATATACACACACATATATATATAATATACATATACATATGTATATATAATACATATATACACATATATGTATACATACATACACATATATACACATGCGTATGTATACATATACACATATGTATATATGTATATATGTATAATATATTCAGTATATAATATATACACATATGTATATATTATACATACACACACACGTGTATATATTATACATACACACACACGTGTGTGTATATTGTACATACACGCACACGTGGGTGTATATTGTACATACACGCACACGTGGGTGTATATTGTACATACACGCACACGTGTGTATATTGTGCATATATACACATATACATGTATGCATATATACACATATACATGTATGCATATATACACATATATAGTATAATATACATATGTGTATATGTATATTATACATATATACATATGTGCATATGTATATATAATACATATTATATGTATATACATATACATATACACATATATGTGTATATGTGTATATATAATACATATGTATATACATATACATATACACATATATCTGTATATGCGTATATATAATACATATTATATGTATTATAATATATGTTATAATATATTATAAATGTACTATAGTATATGTATGTATCATATTATATATGTATGTATGATATATATGTATAAATAATACATATTATATGTATTATAATACATATCATAATGTATTATAAATGTATTATAATATATGTATGTATAATATAATATATGTATGTATGATATATATGTATAAATGATGGAATACTACTCAGTCATAAAAAGGAATGAATTAATGGCATTTGTAGCAACTTGGATGGAATTGGAGACTTATTCTAAGGGAAGTAACTCAGGAATGGAAAACCAAACATCGTATGTTCTCACTCATAAGTGGGAGCTAAGCTATGAGGATGCAAAGGCATAAGAATGACACAATGGACTTGGGGGACTCTGGAGGAAAGTGTAGGAAGGGGGTGAGGGATAAAAGACTACAAATTGGGTGCAGTGTATACTGTTGGGGTGATGGGTGCAACAAAATCTCACAAATCACCGCTGAAGAACTTAACTCATGTAACTACCACCTGTTTCCCAATAATCTATGGAAATAATTTTTTTTTAAAAAAAAGAAAGTACACAGGCTTTTAATCCTGCACTTACTAGCTGGTAGATTTTGGGCCCGTGATGAAAATTAAATAAGATAATCCACATAAAATATATGCACTAGATAAACAATAGCTATTAGGATCATCAGTATTACTAAGTGATGTTTTCTGGGACTCTGAAAACTCTAAAGCTTTTATATTTCATGTGGTCTGACCTACCATTTTCTTACAGCAAGTGCGGCTATACCTTCAGATATGATTTGGCCAGAGAAGAGCTAAATAAACATATTACTTGGGGTTTTTAAAATTTATTTTATTTTTGTTTTTATTTATTTTATTTTTGTTTAAGATAGGGGAGGTTGGCCGGGCATGGTGGCTCACATGTGTAATCCCAGCACTTTTGGAGGCCAAGGCAGTCGAATCACAAGGTCAGGAGATCAAGACCATCCTGGCCAACGTGGTGAAACTCCGTCTCTACTAAAAATACAAAAAATTAGCCAGGTGTGGTGGCGGGTGCCTGTAATCCCAGCTAACTGGGAGGCTGAGGCAGGAGAATCACTTGAACTTGGGAGGTGGAGGTTGCAGTGAGCCGAGATTGTGCCACTGGACTCCAGCCTGGTGACAGATCGAGACTCTGTCTTAAAAAAAAAAAAAAAATTGGGGAGGTCATACTCCCAAAATCCTTTTCTCTAGTAAAGCAACAGCTGGAATATTGAGATTATTTCTAGACACCCCACTTTATATATGTATGTATGTGTTTATTTATTTTTGAGACAGGGTCTCACTCTGTGGCCCAGACTGGAGTGCAGTGGCACAATCAAGGCTCACTGCAGCCTTGACCTCCCAGGCTGAAGGGACTCTCCTGCTTCAGCCCCCAAGTAGCTGGGACTGCAGGGATACGGCACCATGCCTGGCTAATTTTTGTATTTTTTTGGTAGCAATGGGCTTTTCTCCATGTTGCCCAGGCTGGTCTAGAACTCCTAGGCTCAAGTGACCCACCTGCCTCGGCCTCCCAAAGTGTTGAGATTACAGGCGTGAGCCACCATGCCTGGCCAACACCCTACTTGAAGAAGAATGCAGGGAACCTTGGGGAAAAGTGAGAAGGGAAATTCTGGAAATCCAGTCATTATCATATGAGAAATTGCTTTGGAAACTGGTGTTCTCATGGTTCTCATGGCCGAGTGGGGTGGCTCACATGTATAATACCAGAACTTTGGGAGACTGAGGCAGAAGGATCATTTGAAGTCAGGAGCTGGAGACTAGCCTGGACTGTTTCTACAAAGAAAGTAAAAAAGAAAAGAAAGAAACTGGCGTTCTCAGCTAGGAAAAGAAAAGCCATAGGGGAAGGTAAGACAGTGGTCTTCAAATATCTGAATGGCTGTTTCATAGATGTAGAATATGATTTACTGAGATGACCTCAAGTAATGCAATTAGAACGCGGGCACTCGAGATGATCTGTACGGCCTCCCAGCGCAGTCTAAGGTGACTGGAGTCCAGGAGTTTCCTTCACTGAGCTCTCTGCCTCTACCCAGACTGAAAAGAAATGTGTGTTAATTTTTAAACAGTCATAGTACAGCGCTGTTCTTTCTGAATATTCAAATGTGGCTGAGACTCTTGCTGGAAACGGGTAGCCTGCAAATTAGAGATGAACCACTGTAATTCACATGAGGAAAACAACCCCAAAGACAATGACATATGAGCAGTGGCAAGCAGGATGCCTCAGTAAATTATTTAAAGGGGTCTAAAAAGCATGATTTTCAGGCATCAGGCTCTGCACAGTCTGTTGAGAGCTTTCACCCTGAATATCATGATTATCAGTAAGATGCAGGGGAGGTCCACCAACAAACGGCCCTGGCTGCTCAACAAAACCCTCGTCCACAAACCGAAATCCAGTCCAGAGCAAAGCAGGGATTTTCCTTAATCCAAAAAGCAGACAAGCCGTGTGCAGTGGCTCATGCTGTAATCCCAGCAAGATGGGAGGCTGAGGCAGGAGGATCCCTGGAGGCCGGGAGTTCGAGACCGGGCTGGAAGCCCAGGTTTGATTGGCATTTTGGCCACCACTGCCTAATAGCACTCATTTAGACATTTGGCTGCCTCAGGAGGAGGAGAAGCAGGTTGGAGTTTCAGTGTCACCTCTAGCACTTTTACCCAGACCAGCCTGGGCAACATAGTGAGACACCATCTCTACAAAAAAAAAAAAAAATACAAAAAGCAGACAATTGTTTAACAAACAGCAAATCAACTTTTTATTAAACTTGATTTTCATGATGCATGATGCAGTAGATAGGGAACCCTCAAATATCTAAGCTTATTCCATAGACATAAAACAACTTGTGTTTTGCTTGGTACTAATGCCACTGAATTAAAACAGCTTTTCTGAGAAAAGCAAAGTCTAACAAAATACTTTTTTTTATCCCATACTTCAAAAATAAATGAGTGGGCTCATCTATTTACAAGGAAAGTAAACGAATTTACAAATAAACTTATGACTCTGTGACTGCCTTTTTTTTGTTTTGTTTTGTTTTGTTTTGAGACGGAATCTCACTGACTCTGTCACCCGAGTGCAGTGGCGCGATCTCAGCTCACTGCAACCAATGCCTCCTGGGTTCAAGCAATTCTGCCGCAATCTCCCAAGTAGCTGGGATTACAGGTGCACGCCACCACATCTGACTAATTTTTGTGTTTTTAGGAGAGATGGGGTTTTGCCATGTTGTCCAAGGTGGTCGGGAACTCCTGACCTCAAATGATTCTGCCCATCTCGGCCTCCTAAAGTGCTGAGATTACAGGCATGAGCCACTGTACCCGGCCTCATTTCATTTATTTTCTAATCGCAAACCGTTTGCGGGAGTGCCATTTTTTGGAGGAAAATAGTGGGATGCAGAGGGGTTACACTTCTTGCCTGAATCATGCAATAAAAGTGGCAGAGGTGACACTGAAACTCCAACCTGCTTTTCCTCCTCCTGAGGCAGCCAAATGTCTAATGGAGTGCTATTAGGCAGTGGTGGCCAAAATGCCAATCAAGCCTGGGCTAACCTAAGGCAACAGAATAAACTCGAGGAGGGTAGCATGTTAAGAAGCAGGCTGGACATGGTAGCTCACACCTGTAATATCGATGCTTTGGGAGGCTGAGGCTGGAGGTTCCCTTGAGGCCAGGAGTTTGAGACCAGCCTAGGCAACATAATGAGACCCAATCTCTACAAAAATAAAATGATCAGCCAGGCGTAGTGTCACTCACCTGTAATCCCAGCTACTTGGGAAACTGGGGTGGGAAGATCCCTGGAGGCCAGGAGTTGGAGGCTGCAGTGAGCTATGATCGTGCCACTGCACTTCAGCCTGGGCAACAGAGTGAGAGGTTGTCTCCATAGAAAAGAAAAAAAGAGCCAAGATTAGATGGAATAGTGCCAGTACTGAAAATACCAAAATTAAGGTATAAACTGTGATAAAGGGTGTTTGGAAAATCGGTGATGCTCCAGGTACTAATCAGAACATTAACCTTGGCATTTGCAAAGTTAACCTTGGTTTCCCAATCTCATGCATGACCTGGAAGGTCCACAGCAAGGTCACCAATTAGACCCCCACACAGCCCCACCAGTTTGCACAACTCCAAGGAACATGATCGACGTAGACAGCAGTATGGGTGGTACCTTCCAGAGTCATATGGTGCGGCAGACCTGTAGGAGTCGTTGTCATATTAACAGATGCTATAGCTAGTGAACAGCCTAGCTCACTTCCTAGCATCTGTATCTTGATGTGGACTTGTTGCTTTCTCTATTTAATCCAAATATGCCATGGCGCTTGCAATGTGTAAGGTATCTCATATCTTTTTTGCTTTTGAGTTTGGATCTTGCTCCATTGCCCAGGCAAGAGTGCAGTGCTGCGACCATGGCTCACTGTGCCCTTGACCTCCTGGGCTCAAGCGATCCTCCCACCTCAGCCTCCCAGAGAGTATCTGGGACTACAGGCACACACCACCATGCCCAGTTAGTTTTTAAAATTTTTTGTAGAGATGAGGTTTCCCTGTGTTGCCCAGGCTGGTCTCAAACTACTGAACTCAAGCAATTCTCCCACTTCAGCCTCCAAAAGTGCTGAGATTACAGGCAGGAGCCACCATGCTGGGCCCTCATGTCTTTTCAGGGAAAAAAAGACCCCATTTACAATTGCCAATATGAATAATAGGAATAAAAAGAAAGTGAAGTGTTAGATAAATCCAAGGGTAAAATATCAAATTTGGTAATTGCTTGAAGCCACCAAATACTCCATAAGGGAAAGTAATTTCTGAAACTGTTCAATGAGTGTTTCAACAAGAATTTATTTTAATTGCTTCATAAATTGCTTTAATCCTATATTTAGGGAATCATTAGGGGCCTGAAAGGGTCACTTAAAATTTTCACTTATGCTTAACTAAATTTTATGGAGAAAATTACATGTTTTAATAGTATTCACAGAATTGTGGACTTGTAAAGGTCTCAAGATTTGTCCTTCCAAAATAGCAAAGGTCTGTGACTCAATATCACTTAATTTTCACAATAGCCCCATGAAGGAAGTATAATTATTCTCATATTACAGATGAGACAGCTGACCCTCAAAGAGTTTGAATTATTTGCCAAGTAAGCAATTTGAAGGAAAGATCCTGCGTTCTTCACCTTTCCATTCCCAGGATCTGGCAGAGGACAGATATTCCAGATGTTACTCCAGGGGTTCTCAAAGTCTGCTCTCTGGCTGGGCATTGTGGTTCATGCCTACAATTTCAGGTCTTTGGGAGGCTGAGGCAGGAGGATTGCTTGAGCCCAGGAGTTTGAGACCAGCCTGGGCAATGTAGCCAGATGTTATCTCTACAAAAAAAATTTTTTTTAAATTGTTGTCCCCCGACCAGCCACATAACCATCACCTGGGAACTTATTAGAAATGCAAATTCTTGGGCTCACTCCAGACCTCCTGACTCAGACATTCTGGGTACAAGAAGACGTATTTGTTTTTGCTTGTTTGTTTGTTTTGTTTTGTTTTGAGACAGAGTCTCACTCTGTCACCCAGGCTGGAGTGTAGTGGCACGATCTCTGCTCACTGCAACCTCCGCCTCCCAGGTTCAAACGATTCTCCTGCCTCAGCCTCCCGAGTAGCCGGGACTACAGGCGCCTGCCACCGCACCCGGCTAATTTTTATGTTTTCAATAGAGACATGGTTTCACCATGTTGACCGGGCTGGGCTCAAACTCCTGACCTCAGATGATCCACCCGCCTCTGCCTCCCAAAGTGCTGGGATTACCCGTGTGAGCCACTGTATCCAGCCCTGTTTTTTTTTTTTTTTTTTTTTTTTAGAAACAGAGTCTCACTCTGTTGCACAGGCTGAAGTGCCATGTGCCATGGCACAATCGTACCTCACTACAACCTCAAACTCCCAGGCTCAAGTTATTTCTCCTCGGCCTCCCTGAGTAGCTGGGACTACAAGTGTGCACCACCACACCTAGCTAATTTATTTTATTTTATTTTTTGTAGAGCTGGGGTCTCACTAGATCGCCCAGGCTGATTTCAAACTCCTGGCCTCAAACAATCCTCCCATCTCAGCCTCCCAAGTAGCCAATATTACAAATGCATGCTCTCATAACTGACTAATTTTTTATTCTTTTTAGCTTTTTGTAAAGACAGGAGTCTCACTCTGTTGCCCAGGCTGGTCTCTAACTCCTGGCCCCAAATGATCCTCCCATCTCAGCCTCTCAAAGCTCTGGGATTGCAGGTGTGAATCATCTCACCTAGCCAGCAAGGTATGTTTTAACAAGCCCTCCAGGAGACTGATGCATCCAACATTTAGTTTTAGTAATGCATGCTAGATTTAATGGTGTACACTAAAGTATGCAGTAACCCATGTGTTAAATGAATGTTGAGTGGAGATCATGAAAGTAGGAAGAGGTAGATTCAGGATTCTTGGAGCCCAGAAGCCAAAGTCAAAAGGAAGATCTAGGAAAGTAACATCCCAGCTATGGACTGACCTTTAATGGAGTTTCCTCATGGCTCAGTTCTTAAAGGAGCTCTTTGTCCTCAAGCCACCGTATGCCAGGATCTGTACACCTCTGAGTGTCCCACCATGCCTCTCTGCCAGCAGTGTGTATGGAATCTGGGTCCCTCTCCTCCAATGAATATAATTAGTTGCGTTTCTATTTTGCTTCCTTCCTCCAAAACCCATCAAAGCAAGGGCCACCTGAGGAAAGAAAATTTCATCTTGCATAAAACCAGATTTATCTTCATTCTTTGCCCAACAATACAATGAAAGCCCAAGTGATTTTTCCACATTTGGTAGCACTTAGAAGCTTTTCATCAGTGCAAGAATAAAAAGGAGAACTATTTTCCTCATTTCTGTTTACTGCAGTGATACAGCTGAAAGAAAACAATTTGACTCTATAAAGCACTGAGATGTTTTTGACTTGAAACAAGCACCAAAGTCTCAGTCGTTTATCCAGAATCACAGCCTCCCTGAGATGAAAGGAGCCTAAGAGATCATCAAGTCAGTGTGACATGATTTGCAAGGATACCAGGTATTGTTTCTCTTAAAGAGTTATGTACATGGGTTTTTTGTGTGTTTGTTTGTTTTGTTTTGTTTTTGAGAAAGAGTCTCATTCTGTCACCCATGCTGCAGTGTAGTGGTGCAGTCATGGCTTACTGCAACCTCTGCCTCCCAGGTTCGAGCCATTCTCCTGCCTTAGCCTCCCGAGCTGCTGGAATTACAGGTGTGCACCACCATGCCAAGCTAATTTTTGTATTTTTAGTGGAGACCGGGTTACACCATGTTAGCCAGACTGGTCTCAAACTCCTGACCTCAGGTAATCTGCCTGCCTCGGCTCCTAAAGTGCTGGGATTACAGGCATGAGTCACTGTGCCAGGCCTGTTTGTTTGTTTGTTTGTTTGTTTGATTGTTTGTTTGTTTTGGGACAGAGTCTCACTCTGTTGCCCAGGCTGGAGTGCAGTGGCACCATTTCAGCTCACTGCAACCTCCACCTCCCAGGTTCAAGCAATTCTCCTGCCTCAGCCTCCCAAATAGCTGGGATTACAGGTGTGTGCCACCATGCCAAGCTAATTTTTGTATTTTTAGTAGAGGCAGGGCCTCACCATGTTGGCCAGACTAGTCTCGAACTCCTGACCTCAAGTGATTTGCCCTCCTCAGCCTCCCAAAGTGCTGGGGTTACAGGCATGAGCCACCACGCCTGGCCTGTATGTGTTTTAATATGTATTAGGATAAAGTATTACTTTCATACCAAACCCAGGATTTCTTGTATATGACTGCTTAGGGTAATGCTATAGTCATTTGTAAAAAACAAAAGTGAGGTGATTTCAGAAAAAGTAAGTAAGTAAGCAACAGCCCAGGTGTCATGCAGATATGACAAAAATTGTGAAAGGGATACATGAAGATTGGCCATTAGCTATCACTCCTGCCAGGGTCCTGGCAGGAAAAAGAATTCACTCTCCCCCTCCCCACTGGTAATGATTCAAATGAAGAGACTTCAATGAAGGCAATATTTAGGGAGTTGTGGGCAGGGACAAGAAAACCAAGCAAGATGGTGTAGCACCCAGAGACTCACTACAGGAGGGAGCTGTTACTACCCCTAAGGCTGAAGGGGCAAGAGAAGGAAAATGTGTGAGCAGAGGGCTATGGAAGAGAGGTGGCCTGGTAAGAACCCACACAGGGCACTGGGGAAAAGGAACAGGGAAGAAATCGCTCAACCTCTCCTCCTGCCCTCCCAACTCCCTCCTGGTCTTCCCATTGGCCAAACCCAAGCAGAAAACAGAGACAAAGGAACCAGGCAAGCTCACTGATAGGAACAAGCCTCCAGTAGTGCACTGCTCACTGCCTTCCATTTGCCAAATCTAGCAGAAAGCTAGCTTGCAAGGGAGCCTGGGAAATGTAGTTTTCAAGGTCCAGTGCCTTGTTACCCAGACCAGAGCTGGGGAAGGGTGGGAAGTAAACTTGAAAGCAAATAGGCAAATGATCTTCACATTGCCCACTCTAGCTTATCCTTCAGTCTCCAGTGTACTTGCCGCCTCCACAGGGAGGCCTTCCCCTGAAACTCTAGAGAAGTCATCCCAGTCCTCTATCACACCACCTCCTTGTTATTTTCCTGCATAGTGTTTAACAGTGATAAATACATTTACTGTTGCCTGTTTAATTTTTCCCTATGTCTCCCTGGTTGACACACTTCTTTATTGTAGAATACATACTCAATAAGTATTTATTGTAAGTAAAAGGAAGAGAAAAAAGGAACATATAAAAAATGCATCTGAGGACAAAAAAATTCAATAGAAAACTTTATGCTCAAAGTATAAAAAAATCATCAAAGCATGATGCCACAGAAAATGAAAGACAGGAACTAGCATTTTTGTTTTTTCCCATCCCAAGCCCAGTGAGGAAGATTTTGGAACTATCTAATCTAAAGCTGCAGCCAAATTCTGATTTATTCTTGGTTTATTCTAAGGAAGGTAGTGCACAATCTGAATACCTAAAAGTCCATGTTTCCACACACAAAAGAACAGATGAGAGAGTCGTTATTTGCCTCCACCTCCACTGCCAATATAGGTTTTCTAAAAAGCATGAATTAAACTCATGGAAATAGAGAGTAGAAGGATGATTCCCGGAGTCTGGGAAGGATAGTGGGGAGGACGGGGGGAAGTGGGGATGGTTAACGGGCATAAAACTACAGATAGAATGAATAAGGTCTACTATTTGATAGCATAATAAGTGACTACAGTCAACAATAATCTATTGCGCATTTTTAAATAATCAGAGGAGCATCATTGGAATGTTTGTAATACAAAGAAATGATAAATGCTTGAGAAGATGGATACCCCATCTACCGTGATGTGATTATTATCAGACTCTGTATGCCTGTATCAAAATATCTCATGTACCCTATAAATATATATATATACACCTACTGTGTACTCATAAAACTGAAATATTAAAAATTAACACAAAATCATACTTTAAAGAAAAAGATGTGTACCCCAGTTATAGCCATTTGTCCTCTGGTATTTGAACATTCATCTTCCGGCTGGTTCTAGCACATGAAGGTTAGGTGCCACATTAGGGAGGTATCACCAGTAAGTACTCCATGTCCCAAGATCAAGGTTATTCTTGGCAGTATGTCCTGATTACGACTGAACAGCTTGGATGAGTAAGAGCTCACTTTTTTATTACTATTTCAAGCATTTTTGCATGACCTGAAAACAATAATCAAAGGATAACTCCAGATAAATAAGCAAAATGTGTCCCTCATAGAGTTTAACATAGAGTTATACTATATCCCAGCAATTCCACTCCTAGGTATATGCCCAAGAGAACTAAAAATGTTATGTCCACAGGCCAGGCACAGTAGCTCATGCCTGTAATCCCAGCACTTTGGGAGGCCGAAGTGGGTGGATCACGAGGTCAGGAGATGGAGACCATCCTGGCTAACATGGTGAAACCCCGTCTCTACTAAAAATACAAAAAATTAGCCGGGCTTGGTGGCGGGCGCCCGTAGTCCCAGCTACTCGGGAGGCTGAGGCAGGAGAATGGCGTGAACCCAGGAGGCGGAGCTTGCAGTGAGCCGAAATCGCGCCACTGCCCTCTAGCCTGGGCGATAGAGTGAGACTCCATCTCAAAAAAAAAAAATGTTATGTCCACATAGATATTTGTACACAAATGTTCATGATAGCCAAAAAGTAGAAATGGACACAAATGTCCATCAAACAATGAATGGATAAACAAAATGTGGTATACCCATGCAATGGAATATTAGTTAGCCATAAAAAGGAGTGAAGTATCGACAGGTTCTACAACATAGATGAACCCTGAAAACCTTATACTAAGTGAAAGAAGCCAGCCACAACATGTTACATATTATATAATTCCATTTCTATGAAATTTGCAGAATAGGCAAATCCAGAGAGACAACAGAAAGAAGATTAATGGTTGCCAGGGGCTCGGAGAGGGTGCAACAGGGAGTGACTGCTAATGAGTAGAGGGTTTCTTTTGGAGATGGTGAATATGTTCTGGAATTAGATAGTGGTGATAGTTGCACAACTTTGCAACTATGTTTTTTAAAACCTGAGAAACTGTACACTTCATTTTTAATTTTTTCTCTTAGTTTTACTTTTAATTGACAAGTAATATTTGAAATATATTTATGGGGTACAATATGAGCTGGTTTTTTGTTCTTTGTTTTTATTAGGAGAACTTGTGCAAGTTTGTTCCATAGGTAAATTGAATGTCAAGGAGGTTTGGTGTACACATAATTTTGTCACCCAGGTGTATTAGTCCATTTTCATGCTGCTGATAAAGATATACCCAAGACTGGGCAATTTACAAAAGAAAGAGATTTAATTGGACTTACAGTTCCACATGGCTGGGGAGGCCTCAGAATCATGGCAGGAGGTGGAAGGTACTTCTTACATGGCAGTGGCAAGAGAAAATGAGGAAGATGCAAAAGCAGAAACCCCTGATAAAAACATTAAATCTCATGAAAATTATTCGCTATCATGAGAAGAATATACAGTATGGGGGAAACCACCACCATGATTCAAATTATCTCCCACTGGGTCCCTGCCACAACACATGGGAATTATGGGAGTATAATTCAAGATGAGATTTGGGTGGGGACACAGAGTCAAACCATATCACCAGGTAATCAACATATTACCTGATAGGTAATTTTTCAATCTTCATCCTCCTACCACCATCCACCCTCAAATAGGCCCTGGTGTCTATTGTTCCCTGCTTTGTGTACATGTGTACAGAATGGGAGAAAATATTTGCAAACTCTGCATCCAACAAAGGTCTAATATCCAGAATCTATAAGAAATTTAGACAAATCAACAAGCAAAAAACAAACAACCACATTAAAAAATGTGCAAAGGACATGAACAGGCACTTCTCAAAAGAAGATATACACACAGCCAACAAGCATATGACAAAATGCTCAATATCACTAATCATTAGGAAATGACATGTCAAAACCACAGTGAAATACCATCTCACACCACTCAGAATGGTTATTATTAAAAAGTCAAAAAATAACAGATACTAGTGAGGTTGCAGAGTAAAGGGAATGCTTATACACTGCTGGAGGGAATGTAAATTAGTTCATCCACTGTGGAAAGCAGTGTGGCAATTTCTCAAAGAATTAAAATAGAACTATCATTTGACCCAGCAATCCTATTACTGGGTATCTACCCGAAGGAATAGAAATTGTCTATCACAAAGATACAGGCATGCAAATGTAAATTGTACTTTTGATGATGAATCTTATGGTATGTGAATTCTATTTCAACTTAAAAATCTTTAAGAAATAAACAATATGTATAACATATCTTTGGATTAACACACTGAGCCAATTTCCATCATTCATAACATGATTTTATACTATCTCCATCAACGAAAAGGATAGCTGTTAACCTAGCAGTTCATAATATGGTCACTCAGTGTTCTGAGGCAAGAAACCAAAAGAGTTTATTATCATTTCTTTGTAGTACTTCTTGTAACAATCATTACTATGCATTGAGTACAGACTGTGATCCTGGGGCTGCTTTTTAAATCTCCCATGCTTAAAAACACACTAAATTCTCACAACAACCCTATCAGGTTGGCAGAAGTATTGTTAACTCTATTTCAGAAATGAGGAAAGAATGACATGGGGGGTTATACATCCCAAATCATAGAGCCAGGACATATCAAGGAGGAACAGAACCAAGCAAGTCTGGATCCAAGGTTTCTGCTTTTACCACCAGACTAGACTTCCTTTCAATACAATAAATGATGCTACTATTATTATCCTACTAATGTTTTAAATTTGAAGAGTGCTTCACAGTTCACAGAATATTTTACCATAAATAACGGAATACTTTATTAAATTCAATGTTGAAACAGCATCAAATTCAGATTCAACAGGCATTTATACACTCCCTAACTCATTTGAATGTTTTTCCCTCACCTATAATTCCACAAATACCACTCAAGACAATGAGTGAGCTCCACTGTTTGAATAAAAGAAAGAATGGAAAAGATGTTCACAATAATTACCCACTTCACTCCATCCTTTATAATTTTCAAAAATCTCCACATATATTATCATATTGGGTCTTTACAAAACTCACTGAAATAGAAAAAAATAGAAACAATTATTCCTGTATTTCAGATGATCAACTCAAGGCTCCAAAAAGTTGAGACAGAACTTGAATGATGGTCTCCTGGCTTGTAATCTTCTACACAACGTGCCATCAAATGGATCATTTGGGGGTGATATATTCACAAGAATTTGGCCAAGTTGGCAAATACTCGTTTTTGTTTTGGTTTTTTAATCTCTATTGTAGAAGTCGGCACGACATGTTCCCCCATCTAGGGAGGACCAATGTCTATCAATAGCATGCTTGAGTGCTAACTGTCATCATTTCCAGTTGTTGAAGCAAAACATTGATGTGACTGGTTTTATGTACTATACACGTGCAACTAAGGTAGGAAATGGAACCTGATTCTCCCGACACTCTTCTTTTTATTGGGGGAGTTGGAATGGCCATATTCATGGGGTGAATCACCGGACTGTCTCCCTTTATCCAGAAAACAGCACATTTAAGGCAAATCACTCTGGGAGCTGCTCTCCTCCTCATTTAGAATTACAGGAAGGAAAGAGATTTCAGATCTCTTGCAGGCAATCCCATCCCAAAGATCATATTTCCCTTTGTGTTTTCACAGCCAGGAAATCCTTCCTCAAATCCAAGTAAATCCCTCTTTTTCTTCTCTAAGCCCTCATCTTGTTCTGTTTTCTGTGAGCAGGGAGAACAGCTGGTCGTTTCTGGGAGAAGCAGCAAACCCCTGAAAGCGGCCCACTCTAGCAAGCTGCAGGATTCCACATATTTTAGCGTCAGACATCTGAGTGTTAATTACCTTAACGTGGCTCCCACATGGATGCTGATGGGTGCAAAGCCAAGCTGGCCAAGCTAAGCATTACTGGAAGAGAAAGCAGAAAGCAGGCTAAGGCCTCCCTAGGGGGTCCTAACCTCACAGCACAGATTCTCACACATGGCTCTTACCACTTCTCCCACCACCCTGGTGCACGGTGCCCTCCCACTCCCCCAGCCAGACACCCACGCAGGCACAGACACACAAACAGAAACCCTTGGGGTCTGCCCTTATCTCCACTTTCTCAGCTCTCCCCTGACCTATCACACCCCACCCATGATCCATTTATTTTCTCTTGGGTGGTGGAATGTTCCCACCTCCCTTAGTCCAAAACTAAAGCTTCTTGGTTACGACCACATTTCTTATTTATTCCCTTGCCCTTAGCCAGGGCTTCTCAGGACAGCTCTGCACAATAAATACTTTCTCATGCAGTCCTTGGTATTTTTACATGGTTTTGAATGACTGGGAGAAGCAGAGTCTGTTTCACTCGTTATTGACAAGAAGACTCAGCAAAGCTGGGGGAGTAAGAAACACAGAACAAACCTTCCATGTAGGTTTGGTACACCATGACCAGGATGCAAAAGAAAGCTAGAGAGCCAGCCTGGTCACTGTGGCTGTTTTCACAAAATCTGCCTTGTGTGGGAGGGCAATTATCTAGAACTGGATCATAAATGTGATTACAGCTGGAGGTAAAAGAAGTAAAAGGAAGTAAAAGAAAATCTCAGAACTGGCTTATCATCAGCCTCTCGCAGACCGACCCTCAGGCACAAAGGCATTGAACTGGCATTGGGTCACCAGATAGCACCAAATAGTCCTGTTGCATGTGTTAGCCAGGGCTGGATTCCCTATAGCATGTTGTTAAGAACTTGTGGCCGGGCACAGTGGCTCACGCCTGTAATCCCAGCACTTTGGGAGGCTGAGGCGGGTGGATCACCTGAGGTGAGGAGTTCAAGACCAGCCTGACCAACATGGAGAAACCCCGTCTCTACTAAAAATACAAAATTAGTTGGGCGTGGTGGCACATGCCTGTAATCCCAGCTACTCGAGAGGCTGAGACAGGAGAATCACTTGAACCCAGGAGGCGGAGGTTGCAGTGAGCCGAGATTGCACCATTGCACTCTAGCCTGGGCAGCAAGAGCAAAAACTCCATCGCCAAAAAAAAGAACCTGTAGTACCAGTCAGGCGCAGTGGCTCACGCCTGTAATCCCAATGCTTTGGGAGGCCTAGGCAGGAGGATCGCTTGAGGCTAAGAGTTGGAGACCAGCCTGGGCAACATAACAAGACCCTTTCTCTACAAAAAATGAAAATAAAATATTAGCTAGGTGTGGTGGTGCAAGCCTGTTGTCCCAGCTACTCAGAAGGCTGAGATATGGGAGGATCGCTGGAGCTCAGGAATTCGAAGCTGCAGTGAGCTATGATTGTGCTACTGCACATCAGCCTGGGCAACAGCACAAGACTCTGTCTCAACAAAATGTGATCATAATAATATAAATATATCATAAATATGTGAGCTAATTGTATAATAATTATAATGCTCTAATAGATAAAGATCATAGATACCAAAAGCTAGATCATTCAAAAAGCAGTCCAGTTAGCCAGAGATAGTTCTGGGCTGCAGCTAATATTACCACTGGGGGGCAAGTGTCTCTTGAGGACCTGAATTTATATAACCTGGCCCCCATGGTATTCTTGGGTCCTTTGTGAATCTTTAAAAATCTCCACTCAGCTCCTTCTTCTGCAAATGAAACACCATTAATAGCACCAGCTCCGTCTCCAGGCCACGTCACCTGGTTCCTCACACACTCTCGATGAGGTGTCTAGAGCTAGAGACCCACAAAAAGGACTTCTAATAAGGTTTCGGGCATTGCATAGAATAGAGGAGGCATCACCTTCCCATCTCATACACACGAACTCTTAATGAAGAGGGAATTCCCCAGTGAGCCACCAAAACCTTTCTATATCACCAACCTGGGCAATTACTTACTGTTTTGCAATTAAATTCACTCAGGAAAATAGGATCATTACTGTCAGGAGTAGCTAACCAGCAAAGGGTGAAACTGTGCTTTCAGCCATATGGCAGGCAACTCCCAATGATGTCAACAGAAAATTGCACATGAGTAACGGCGAGGCAAGACACATCCCTGGAAGAGGCTCTGAAGTTTTATTGTCATAAACGGAAGTGGTAAAATGCAGGAACCAAGCATGGCTGTGTAAAGCCATCATTTTCATGCAAACATGGACAGACTTTCTGAATCAAGTTGACCGATACCAGACAGGTATGGCTTATTCCTCCATTCTTTTTTAATCAATACATTAATAATTTGTGGGGAAATTTTTAAAGATTAAAAATAAAAACTAAAGTTGAAATAAAGAATAAGAGCATTGTTTTCAGCTATCTAATAAAATATCTACTGTCTGGAATTAAAATCGAGCTGAGGGCGTCTTCCCTACACCCTCCCTCCACACACATGCACACGCTCTCAACATACCATCAGAAAAGATTTCCATCATCAATTTCCATTCTGCCCAAATTGGGAGGGACAGAGAGAGTAGTCTCAGCTACTAGGGATGCTGAGGCAGGAGGACTGCTTGAGCCCAGGAGTTCGAGGCTTCTGTGAGCTATGATCACGCCACTACACTCCAGCCTGGGTAACAGAATGAGACCCTGTCTCAAAAAAAAAAAAACAAAAAACAAAAACAAAAAAAAACTTGCAGAATCCAAAAGTATCTTTTTATCTTTATCTTTATCCAAAATAAATAATCTCTTTGCAAAATGCTTCATTTTTCAGGGGTTTTTTTGTGCATTGAGATTCTGTACATAACAGAGACATTCAATAAAAATATGTTTTGAGTTAGTGAATACAGATCTTCAGTATGCTGAAAATCATGAAGAAAAATACTTAAGGTCTAAAATGCGAAATCTACCATATATTTATGTTAGAGGTTTCTTCTTCTTCTTTTTTTCTTTTTTTTTTTTTTTTTAAGATGGAGTCTCACTCTGTTGCCCAGGCTGGAGTACGGTGGCACAATCTCGGCTTACTGCAAATTCCACCTCTTGGGTTCAAGCGATTCTCCTGCTTCTGCCTCCCAAGTAGCTGGTACTACAGGCGCACGCCACCATGCCTAGCTAATTTTTGTATTTTTAGTAGAGACGGGGTTTCACCATGTTGGCCAGGCTGGTCTTGAGCTCGTGACCTCAGGTGATCTGCCCACCTCTGCCTCCCAAAGTGCTGGGATTACAGGCATGAGCCACCGCACCTGGCAGAGGTTATTGATAAGATGGAGAAGTAGCACATTGAAAGCAACAAGCACAGAGTACATCTTCAGAGTGTTGTCACTTCTTCAACAAGGAGGTAAAAGAAAATCTCAGAGCTGGCCTTGTCATCAGGCTATCACAGACAGACCCTCAGTCATGAGGGCATTGAATTGGCATTGGATCACCAGATAGCACCAAATAGTTCTGTTGCACATGCTAGCCAGGGCTGGATTCCCTATAGCATGCTGTTAAGAACTTATAGTACCAGCTGGGCATGGTTGCTCACACCTATAATCTCAATGCTTTGGGAGGCTGAGGTGGGAGGATTGCAGAAGTTTGAGACTAGCCTGGGCAATACAGCAAGACCCCATCTTTACAAGAAATTTAAAAAATTAGCCAGGTGTGGTGGCACGTGCCTGTAGCCCTAGCTATTTGGGAGGCTAAGGTGGGAGGATCACTTAAGCCCACAATTTGGAGGCTGCAGTGAGCTATGATCACAGCACTGCACTCCAGCGTGGGCAACAGAGCAAGATCCTATCTCAAAAAACAAACAACAAGAACCTTGCAGTATCCAAAATAGATAAAAGTGATCACTTCTATGTCAAAACAATTCCTCTTTTCATTCATTTGGGTGAAATAAAGCCTCACTCTAGGTGTTTGCTTTACAAAGGCTGAGGATGGATTGCAAATACAGAGAAAAAAGACATTGCATCTTGCTTTGATTTTACTCCTATAGACTCACTGTATTAGTCTATTTTCGTGCTGCTCATAAAGACATACCTGAGCCTGGGTAAATTATAAAGAAAAGGAGATTTGATGAACTCACAGTTTCACTTGGGTGGGGAGGCCTCACAATCATGGCAGAAGGCGACAGGCATGTCTTACATGGCAGCAAACAAGAGAGAGTATGAGAGCCAAGCAAAAGCAGAAACCCCTTATAAAACCATAAGATCTCGTGAGACTTATTCACTACCACGAGAACAGCATGGGGGAAACCGCCGCCATGATGCAAGTATCTCTTACTGGGTCCCTCCAACAACACGTGGGAATTATGGGAGCTACAATTCAAGATGAGATTTGGGTGGGGACACAGTGAAACCATATCACTTACTATGCAATTGCTTGATCAATTCCATAAGAAAGAAGGATGTCAATGAGAAAGCAAGCCAAAGAGAGCATAGAGTTATTTGAGAAAAGGTGGGAGGCTCAGGAGAATCATTCACTAGTTTCACCACAGAGTTGTTTGCTAGGAGGATAACAAACCAAACTAGGGTGATGTCTGTAGAAAGAATAATCACAACAATAAAAAGTATTAATAGCTAAGACAGACAGTGCTTCCATGTGCAGATACTCAGCTAAACGTTTTGCATATGGAATCTTACTGCATCCTCTCAATTACCCCATGTGGACTTCAACCTCCCAGCTTCCCTGTATGGTAGGAACTGCTATTATTCCTATTTCACAGTTGAGGAAACCGAGGTTAAATAATGTAGTACAGGAGCTATAAAGTGACAGGATTTGTTAGGAAGGGATGTGATTGGACTGGAACAGGGAGGCATGGTCACTGGATGAGTAGAGAAATCTGGCCCAAACTCCCCATCTAGGAGCCAAGGGGATAAGCCCACAAGGTCAACTAAGGCAGATGGCAGTAGGCAGGCACCAACAATGCCAGGAGGCAGGTGGAGCCCAAAGTTTGGAATATTAGTGAAGGCGTGAATCAGCCTTGTGGTCCAAGTTAGCGAGCTCTAGTGAGAGCCACAGAAAATACATTTGCTCAGCAAAGGCTCTTTGACAGTTGCCACCAGATTTGAGTCTTATGAGAACTCTGATATACAAATCCTGGGACAGAGGTTCAGAAAGCAATGTGCCTGAAACGGCACCACTGGGAATCGGTACAGCATCGTTACTCAAAGCACCACCAAAGCCCCAGGATGTGTCTGATAAGCTCAGGTGTCTCCCAGAGCACATGGGCCTGCCTAACCCCTACCCTGATTCACACTTTTCTTAAAATGTTCATGTTCTGATCACCTTGAACATAAGCCACAGTCCCAGAGCCTGGCAAAGAGGTCAGATGAATGTGTCAGCATTGAGTTGCCCCATTGGTAATTTGTACTCAGGAGAGGGACGGCCATATCTACAATAGCTGGACTAGTACTTCCAGTGAGTGACCTGTGGTGGGAGGAAAGAGCAGGTTCACCCAGGATCAAAGGAATCAGTCCAGAGGACAAGACATGGGTCAAGTCATAAAACCAAAGGGAGTGAGCCAGGAGCATGCCAGGCCTGTGCCCAGTCACAAAAGACAGTTGTAAATCAGTGGGTTGGAATGAAACAAAGATCCTTCAGTTGACCCAAGGCATCCATGAAGGGCCTCAACTGACCTGCAGCTTGGAATTGTGCAGTAAGCAATTTGCTAGCAAGAAGCTGCACTGTGGGTAGAAAGGGAGGAGCTCTGGGCCAGGCGCCATGGCTCATGCCTGTAATCCCAGCACTTTGGGAGGGCACAGAGGGTGGATCACTTGAGGTCAGGAGTTCAAGACCAGCCTGGCCAACATGGTGAAACCCCCTCTCTACTAAAAATACAAAAATTAGCTGAGCATGATGGCGTATGCCGGTAATTCTAGCTATTCAGGGGGCTGAGGCACGAGAATTGCTGGAACCCGGGAGGCAGAAGTTGTAGTGAGCCAAGATGGCACCACTGCACTCCAGCCTGGGCAATAAAGCGAGACTCCATCTCAAAAATGGCAGGCAGGCAGGCAGGAAGGAAGGAGCTCTGTATAATGCCAGAAATCAGGGCAACAAGTGGTTGCTCACACCTGTAATCCCAGCCCTTTGGGAGGCTGAGGCAGGAGATTGGATTGAGGCCAGGAATTCGAGACCACCCTAGGCAACAAAGGGAGATCCCATCTGTACAAAATTTTCTCTAAAAATTAGCTGGATATGGGGGCATGTACCCGTAATTCCAACAACTTGGGAGGCTAAGAAGGGAGGATCGCTTGAGCCCAGGAGTTTGAGGATACAGTGAGCTATGATTGTGCCACAGTTCTCCAGCCTGGGTGACAGAGCAAGACCCTATCTCTAAGAACTGAAAATAAATGCTCTCCTGGGCATTCCAAATACTGAGATTGTAGACAACAAAACTGAGCCTCCCTTGAATTCTTACCTATTTGGACAGTCAAGCTTCACTTTGGCATCTTTTTTCCTCCAATACTATCACTACACTTAATCTGATTTGAATAATCCCAAGGCCTTATTCAAATATTCCTTTGTGATTTTTTGGGGGAGATGATTTATTTGTATTTATTTATTTAATTTTACCCTTTCTTTTAGGCTCAGGGGTATATGTGCAGTTTTGTTATATAGGCAAATTCATGTCATGGGAGTTTGTTGTACAGATTGTTAAGCCTAGTACCCATTAGTTATTTCTCCTGATCCTCTCCCCCCTCTCACCCTCCACCCTCCCATGTGTGTTGTTCTCCTCTATGTCCATGAGTTCTCATCATTTAGCTCCCACTTTTAAGTGAGAACATGCAGTATTTGGTTTTCTGTTCCTGTATTAGTTTGCTAAGGATAATGGCCTTCAGCTCCATCCCTGCAAAGGACATGATCTCATTCTTTTGTATGGCTGCATAGTATTCCATGGTGTATATGTACCACATTTTCTTTATCAAGTCTACCATTGATGGGCATTTAAGTTGATTCCATGTCTTTGCTATTGTGAATAGTGCTGTAATCAATCAATATCACTGATCCTTAGAGAAATGCAAATCAAAACCACAATGAGATACCATCTCACACCACTCAGATGGTTATTACCAAAAAGTCACAAAATAACAGATGTTGGCGAGGGTGTGGAGAAAAGAGCATGCTTAGACACTGTTAGTGGGAGTGTGAATTAGTTCAACCATGTGGAAAGCAGTATGGTGATTTTTCAAAAAGCTAAAAACGGACCTACCATTTGACCCAGCAATTCCATTAATGGATACATACCCAAAGGAATATAAGTCATTCTATCATAAAGACACATGCACACGAATATTCCTTTTAATTTACTTCAACGTCTTTTCCTGGGAGTCACTCACTTTAAGACAGGTCCAAAGATCTGGGGCACTGTGTTGTGAAAAGCTTCCTCCCAGCAATATGTCCCCACACCGCCAGGGGCTTCCTGCCTCTGTCTCACCTGAGATACAGTTAGACGCCTCTTGTTGAACTGTCAGGATTAATTAACAATTCACTTTCTAACCCTTTGACCAATTAGGAGAAGATCTTCATTCCAGCTCTTTTTTACTTTCTTGCTTCCGTTCTCTTTTTGGCTAAAAGAGAGATTAAGGTGTAACAACATTTCAGTGCCAGTGAGTAGGAGAAAGCCCTTTGATTAATTTTTCTAAAGATAAGAAAGAAACACTTCTCTCAAACAAGGGAACAGAAAGGTTTTCCAGAGGTATCAGCTGGAAAGGTGACAACTAAATTGGAAAACAGTCACCTGCAGCAACTCCACTGCGCAGCCTGCAACTAGGTAGGTCCCTTTGAAGCCAGATATTCTGAAAGCATTGGTTTCTTTACAGGAATGGAATGTTTGAAAACCAAAATTAAACAAGGATTTTGACCGTATGGTTAAGCAAAGTTTGTGACATTAGAATACAGAGCTTGGCTTAAAATAAGAAGAGAGCAACGGCTGCTACCATAAACTTTGTTGGGGAATTAGAAATTTCCATTAATAAAAGTGTCTTTTTTAATAAAGAATGGACACATGCAATAAATTGATGCTCAATTTTCGAATAATTTGCCTCTTTTTAAAATGCACTTATTCAAATAATACTTAACCTAATCTAATCATGTGTTGGCGTTTCAAAAGGCACTTCAGAATCTAGCGTGGCTCAAGATCTTTACTCTGAGTTAGAATTCTAATTCCACAGTACATTTTTTTCCTTGCCACTGCCTTTGTCTCTCCACAGTGTTTCTTCAATTCAGCACCCAGAGTGGTCCTTCTGAAATGTGACAGCTTACAGCATTCTGGGCTCAAAATCCTCCAAAGGTCTCCCTTTATCAGTCAAAGCAAAGTCACATGTCCTGATTCTGACTTCCTGGGTTACCCAATCTCTCTCTCTCTCTCTCTCTCTCTCTCTCTTTCTCTCTCTCTCTCTCTCTCTCTCCCCTCTCACACCAGCCATTTTGAAATTTATAATTGCGGAAAAAAACTCACCACCCATTATACTTGCATCCACTAGTCCTTCTGCAGAGAGACCTAAACACAAATATCCCCCTTAACAATGAGGCCTTCTTTACCCATCCTACTTAAAACATCAGACTTCCCCCTGCAACACACAAGTACATACATACACACATATGCACATGCATTCCTTATCTTCTTGATCCTGCTTTGTTTCCTCCATAACATATACCAAACATTGTATTCTTTCATAGTTTATTCATTCCATGAATTCTTCCTGCAAAGACAGGAGCTTTGTGTCCATCAGCTTTGTTCATTGCTGAATTCCCCAGGACCTACGACAGTGCCTGGAACATGGTTGGTGCTACCAAAAACTTCTTGAATCATGAATGGATATTCCTGGCACATCCAAGTTGCTCAGAAAACTCAAGTTCTAGCTTACTTGTCCAGGCTGATTGACTCAGGGTCTGGAAATAGTCTGGCTCAGGAGACAGGATAGACAATTCTAGTCACCAAACAGCCACCAGGTAGCTGCATAAACTTCAGAGCCCAGTCTCTCTCCTGCTATAAGCATGAGCCACTTTATATTTTAATTGTTTTACTCATCACTCCTCCTTAAGATAACGTTGTGCAGTGCACAACTTGCACAGTGGTACTTAACAGCCCTGTAATAATCATCAATCAATTACTAATTCCAATTGATCATACCTTCCAATGTCTCTCATATCCCTTTGCTGCACTGCTGGTGACGTAGTTTATGTCTAGTTAGTCCGATTAAATCATCTTCCTGGATTATTACTTTACACTTCTGTGACAGCCATGAGAAGGTACCTTACAGACCTCCAACTACAATGAGTGCAATTGACCAAGGGCCTTGACTGCCGTGCCCTGAAATCCATTGCACCGTCTGGGCTCCCCACCAGTGACAGAATGTGGCAGTGTTACTTACTAAGGCAGGCCCCTTTCTAGGAGACACACATTCTTCTGATGGCCGGCTGTGGCTGGAAGACTCCTGACTGCCTTGCCAAACCTTCTTTGGACAACACAGAAGTCTAGGATATTGTCACTTGCCTTTCTTCTCTCTCTCCTTCACCTGTGGCCGGGCTTGCATTGCTGACTGATGGACCTCTCAACCATCTTTAGCTCCCTCCCCAGAAACTCACAATTTTTTTTTTCTGATAAAATCCTTGCATGCTTAATCCTGTCTTGGCTTCTGTTTCTTGGAGAACCCTAACCAATATACCTTCTTCCTAAATTCCCAAGTCTAGCTTCCATTCCTTACAACATGTCTTCCCAAAGGGAGGGGTAGTTCCAACAGAAAAATCAGATCCTGCTTCTCATTTTCTCAACATTCTTTGCTGAATATCACCACTCCTAGGATAAAATCTAACCTGCTTAGTGTGACGTGTGTATAGGAAGACCTTCATGCTCTAGTCGTAATGGACTTTTCCAGCTTTCTCCCTGGTCTTTACTGCCTTGCATTTTAGGCCTTGGCAGCTCCAAATGACCACAATTTGCAGAAGGGCCATGCTCCTCTAAGCTGCTTTATTTTCAGCAAGTTTTCCCCTCTTCCTGGAAAGTCACTCTATCTCAACCTTCCACTGCCCTTACACACATATGCATGCACACACACACACACACACACGCATGCATGCATTTGCATCCCACCTTTTTCCAGTGGAGACCCAGCCCCAGTGAGGTTTGCCCCCATAGAGCTCTTTGCACCCCTCTCAATCTGCCCCAGGTTCTTGTACCTAGAAAACCTTTCCAGAACTCTTTACAGTACAGCATTTAGAGGCTTCCTTTTCACTCTGCTTCCAGACAAGCTTATTGAAGGCAGCAATTATGAAGAGGACCCTAATGGACTATCTGCCCTGCCCCACTTTCCTAAAAGCTTCTCCACCATCCCAGTACATGGAATAACTTTCCTGGGCCCTGGACAGTCATATTATTCAATATGACTGGGCTCACCTCACCACAGTTGAGTGGACCAGTTGTAAGTATGTAACATTTGAGCCAGTTAGAGTTTCCTCTCTAGGAATTTGGATTTCAAACTAAAAGAAAGTCAGGCTATCTTTGGGCAGCTGAATCTGTGATATCACCTCCCACCATTTTGCAAACAACAAAGAACAAAGCCAGTAGACAGGAAGGAGCAGAGATGAAAGGTGGTTCTTGCAAATTAAGGGTCAGATAAAAAGAAAAAAATATGCAGAAGAAGAGGAAGAGGAAGAAGAAGGAGGAGAAGGAGGAGGAGAGAAAAGTGGTTCTAATTCCTCACTACTTTCATCTTCTCCCTTGCTATGGTGAGGCAATATAATATCCTTGTAAGAAACTTCTATTTCCTGTTAAGCTAGCTTGTAAAAGACAGGCCATCTTTTTCATCTCCATATCCAAAGTGCATATAGATCCTCAGTAAACGTTTGGACTAGAATGAATAAAGGAAGGAAGGAATAGCAAATGAGTGAGCAGGAAGCTTGTGGTGGAAGGCAACGATGTGATATCCATCATTGACAGACCAGTGCACATTGGCTGAAAGACATGTGAAGACAGTTTTCTGTGACAAGACAGTGACGCTGGTATTAGGAGACCCAGACAGAGGCTTATGGTAAATATGATGATAACAGCAATCCATGCATGTGTGAGAGGAGAATCTGTAGTTAAATCTCATCAGGCAATACAAGCAGTCTCTGACTTATGATGGTTCAACTTAGAATTTTTCAGCTGATCCCCATCCTAAGTTGTAATCCCATCCTAAGTTGAGGAGCATTTGTAATAACAGTCAGCCCTGCCTGGATGTCCGTGAAGCCAGCCAAGCTGTCAGCTTGCAGGTGCTTGGGCTACTGCACTGAGTCAATAAGCCCTGGCTGACTGCAGGGTTTCCCAAAAAAGTATGTCCTGAATTTCTATGCCTTCAAATTCAGTAACCTGGTCCTTCTGGGGATAAATGCCTTAGCAGTACCAGAAGTGAACTGTACCTAAAGTTGGGAAATCTCCTCCTAGCCCTCAGGTGTACCTTGTGGTGATACATCGGCCCCATAATGTGAGTGATGTGCACAGTACATGAGGTACTACTTGCAAAGTGCTTTGCGCAAAGCCTGGCTCCTAACAGGTGCTCGGTGAAAAGTACATAACCTGTCTCAGCCTCATTTTCCTCTCTGAAGACTGAATTAAATTGGACCAGATGTTTTATAAGTTTTTTTCTCAATTCTAAATATCTTTTATCAATCATAGCATGGTTTAGGGACATTGCCTTGGGGCATTCTCCATGTCATCCAATCAAGCCTGCACCCAAATGAAAACCTGCCAAGGAAACAAGCATCCCATGAGGACTGAAGGACAAACATCAGGAATGGTGACAGGGATGGCAATGTTCTTTTGCAGAGTTCATGGTTGTTAGCTGGTCTCAGAGGGTTCCCAGGATGCCTCTGCTGCTAATTAGGAATGAGGCAGTGAGAGGTCTCCTGGTCCCCAGGGCTCCTTCTTCATAATTTCTCAGGACTCCTACTTCTTTGTGAGTGAGCTCCATCCCATTAGTGCAGGATGCTCTCCTTATCTCTGATTGATGGAAATAAAGTAAGACAAAGGCAGCCAGAGGAGCCAGCAAGCCTGGGTCCCCAGGCAATGCCTCAAGTGCCTTCCCTGAGGTGTGAGCCCTTATCACTGGAAATCTCTGAGTAGAATCTAGACACTCATGTGGAGCCCTGAACTTGGACCGCCTGCCTTCCCTTCATATTGATAAAGAGCCTCTCTATGTGCCAGGCATGTATAACCAGGCACCAAACTATTTACAAGCAATTAATGCAACCCATAGATCTGCAGTGCATTGAAAGCACCTGACTCAGCTTGACAAAGTCACAGAGGTGGAAATTTCTGGTCAGGGCCAAACTGTCTGAGCACTTGACCAAGGCCAGCCCATGTCTAACTTCAATTTCCCAGTCCATATATCAGCTTCTTTTTTCCCTGCAGTTCTCATAAACAGAGGTCCCAAGATGCCTAGCATCTGAATAGGTAATAATTATGTGTTGGTTTTTCTCCATTACCCCGTCGAGGTCCATTCTCTCCTTCTTCCAGCCCCCATCTCAGTGTGTAGGAGACTGGCCACTTTGGACTTCATCAATGGGTCCTCTGGCTCCCCTTGAGTTTGGACCAATAGGAAGCACCAGAAGGATATTGAAGGTGTGAACAGCAAAAATCTGAGACTGGTCTCAGTTAATTTAGAAAGTTTATTTTGCCAAAGTTGAGGACGCACGCCAGTGACACAGCCTCAGGAAGTCCTGATGTCATGTGCCCAAGGTAGTCAGGGCACAGCTTGGTTTTATACATTTTAGGGAGACATGAGACATCAATCAATATATGTAAGAAATACATTGTTTCTGTCCAGAAAGGCAAGGTCAAGTCGAAGCAGGGAGGAAGCTTCTAGGTTACAGGTAGGTTTGAGACACATGGTTGCATTCTTTTGAGTTTCTGATAAGCCTTTCCAAAGGAGGCAATCAGAATAGACATCCATCTCAGTGAGCAGAGGTATGACTTTGAATATAATGGGGGCAGATTTGCCCTGGGCAGATCCCAGCTTGAATTTTCCCTTTAACTCAGTGATTTTGGGGGCCCCAAAATATTTTCCTTTCACCAAGGCAGGAGGAGAGAGAGGCAGAGTATTCACCCCTAACCCCAGCTCGTTCCCTGGGCTACAGTACAGTGACGCTCTTTCTTCCCCACAGAACCACACTCTTAAGGAGTAGCTCTTCCTATGGCATTCTTCCTGTAGCTCTTCCTTGTAGAGTTGATGAAACCACTCCTTTCCCTTGAGCCTTCAAGCTCAGGGGTGGAATCAGCCCAGGGCAATTAACTACCTCGAATTGGCTCCCTTAACTTAGCCCACCTCCCTGTAAATAGTCACTACACTCTCTTCAGCCTCTCCTTTGGAGTGCACCATCTGCCTCCTGCTGGGACCCTGCCTGAGACAGATGTTTACATAAATACTTTGAGACTAAAGGATTTAGATCAATCCCAGAATTATTTCCCTAGTGAGCACAATATTTTATGGAGGGTCTCATTTGTAAACTTAAGAAAGAATGGTATAAGTGAATATGTAAGAAATCCTTTTTCAGTATCTTTTTCCCTCTAGGAGGCTTTCAGAAAGCTTAAAATCCCCTGGAATTGGATCCTCCTGGATTTCTGGTTTGGAATCACTGCTTAGCAATTATTTAGTAACTGCAAATCCCTCACAGAACGAGGAATGAAAGTCTCACCAAGACATTCAGAGCTCGTTGCAATTTGGTACTGAGCTGCCCCTCCATTCACTGCTCCCAGTCTGTGCCTCTATAATCACAGCCACCAGAGCACTTCCTCTCCCCAGGTTCATTCTGGTTCCTTCGACTGGCATGTCCTGCTCCTTCCAAACACATCCATCTCCCATTTCTCCCTTTATTGAAGTCCTAGTCATTCTTCAAGTCTCAGTTCTAATCCTAGCTTCCCTCCCAGTCTTACCGGATTCCCTACTCCTTTGGATCATCAGTGCATCTCCTGTTCTTTCCCTTCTTTGAGTTCCCAGAATCATTTTATTTTTTAAATTAAAAGTTAATAAAATTGATTTTCTGGGGGCCATAAAATTCTGTAAATTTTAGCACGTGTATAAAATCGTGCAAACTGCCATAAACAGGAAACAAACAATTCCATCAACCACAAAAACTTTCTCATGCTATCACCTTGGAGTCATGTATATACGTGTATGTATACATATGTGTGTGTGTATCTATACATACATATATATTTATATAATATAATATTTATATTTTTTATTATGTGTCAGCAAAGCAAGTTGACACATAAAATTAGCCATCGCAAGCATATAAATATTTATATAAATATATATATGTATTTATATGTACACTATAGATAAAGATAGATATAGATAGATAGATAGATATAGAGAGAGATTTATTGCAAGGAATTGGCTCACATGATTGTGGAGGCTAACCAGTCCCAAGATATACAGCGTGAATCAATGACCTTGAGACCCAGGAGAGATGAAGATAAAGCCCAGTTCAAGTTTGAAGGCCCGAGAACCAGAACTGATCATGAAGTTCTTGTCCAAAGGCCTGCATGCTCAAGACTCAGGAAAAGCCTAGGTTTCAGTTTGAGTTCAAAGGCAGGAAAAGATAATGTCTCCAGTTCAAGCAGTAAGGCAGGAGGAAGCCTCTCATACTCAGAGGAGGTTCAGCATTTTGTTCTATTCAGGTCTTCAGCTGATTGGATGAGGCCCACTCACATTAGGGAGGATGATCTTCTTTACTCAGTCTACCAATTTAAATGTTAATTTCATCAATGTCAACACTCAGAATAATGTTCCACCAAATATCTGGGCAGCCTGTGGCCCAGGCAAGTTGACACATAAAATTAGCCATCACAAGCATATAAATGGGATCATAGAATATGTAAACTTTAAGAGTGACTCCTTTCACTTCATAAATGCATTTGTGATACATTCAAGTTATTGTGTGTATCAATAGTTTTGCTCTATGAAAACACCATTAAGAAAATAAAAAGACATCGCGAAGGCCCACGGCGGGTGTTGACGTGATGTGATTTCTGCCCAGTGCTCTGAATGTCAAACTGAAGAAATTCAGTGAAATGCGGGTAAACGGCGGGAGTAACTATGACTCTCTTAAGGTAGCTAAATGCCTTGTCATCTAATTAGTGACGCGCATGAATGGATGAACGGGATTCCCACTGTCACTACCTACTATCCAGCAAAACCACAGCCAAGGGAACGGGCTTGGTGGAATCAGCGGGGAAAGAAGACCCTGTTGAGTTTGACTCTAGTCTGGCATGGTGAAGAGACACGAGAGGTGTAGAATAAGTGGGAGGCCCCCAGCGCCCCCCCATCCCCGCGAGGGGGCAGGGCGGGGTCCGTCGGCCTTGCGGGCCGCCGGTGAACTACCACTACTCTGATCACCAAAATAGCATGGTACTGGTACCAAAACAGAGATATAGATCAATGGAACAGAACAGAGCCCTCAGAAATAACACCGCATATCTACAACTATCTGATCTTTGACAAACCTGAGAAAAACAAGCAATGGGGAAAGGATTCCCTATTTAATAAATGGTGCTGGGAAAACTGGCTAGCCATATGTAGAAAGCTGAAACTGGATCCCTTCCTTACACCTTATACAAAAATTAATTCAAGATGGATTAAAGACTTAAACATTAGACCTAAAACCATAAAAACCCTAGAAGAAAACCTAGGCATTACCATTCAGGACATAGGCATGGGCAAGGACTTCATGTCTAAAACACCAAAAGCAATGGCAACAAAAGCCAAAATTGACAAATGGGATCTAATTAAACTAAAGAGCTTCTGCACAGCAAAAGGAACTACCATCAGAGTGAACAGGCAACCGACAAAATGGGAGAAAATTTTCGCAACCTACTCATCTGACAAAGGGCTAATATCCAGAATCTACAATGAACTCAAACAAATTTACAAGAAAAAAACAAACAACCCCATCAAAAAGTGGGCGAAGGACATGAACAGACACTTCTCAAAAGAAGACATTTATGCAGCCAAAAAACACATGAAAAAATGCTCACCATCACTGGCCATCAGAGAAATGCAAATCAAAACCACAATGAGATACCATCTCACACCAGTTAGAATGGCAATCATTAAAAAGTCAGGAAACAACAGGTGCTGGAGAGGATGTGGAGAAATAGGAACACTTTTACATTGTTGGTGGGACTGTAAACTAGTTCAACCCTTGTGGAAGTCAGTGTGGCGATTCCTCAGGGATCTAGAACTACAAATACCATTTGACCCAGCCATCCCATTACTGGGTATATACCCAAAGGACTATAAATCATGTTGCTATCAAGACACATGCACACGTATGTTTATTGTGGCACTATTCACAATAGCAAAGACTTGGAACAAACCCAAATGTCCAACAACGATAGACTGGATTAAGAAAATGTGGCACATATACACCATGGAATACTATGCAGCCATAAAAAACGATGAGTTCATGTCCTTTGTAGGGACATGGATGAAATTGGAAATCATCATTCTCAGTAAACTATCGCAAGAACAAAAAGCCAAACACCGCATATTCTCACTCATAGGTGGGAATTGAACAATGAGAACACATGGACACAGGAAGGGGAACATCACACTCTGGGGACTGTTGTGGGGTGGGGGGAGGGGGGAGGGATAGCTTTAGGAGATATACCTAATGCTAAATGACGAGTTAATGGGTGCAGCACACCAGCATGGCACATGTATACATATGTAACTAACCTGCACATTGTGCACATGTACCCTAAAACTTAAAGTATAATAATAATAAAATAAAATTTTAAAAAAGAAAATAAAAAGACAAGCTACAGACTGGGAGAAAATATTTGCAAATCACATAGCTCATAGTTCATTCTGTGTTTTTTTTTTCTTTTGCAGAGTAGTATTCATTGTGGGAACTCACCACAATGCAATTTTTATTGCAATTGCATTAAATGTATAGATCAATGTGGGGAGAAGCTTGCCTGGTATGACTCTCCTTTTATTTGGATTTATTTTGATTTCATTCATCACTATTTTGTAATTTTCAGCGAGCAGATTCTATACATGATTTTAAGCATATATCTAATATTTTCATTACTTGGAGCTATTGTAAATTGTACTTTTTGGTTACCAGTTGTCCATTGCTACTATATAAGAATAAGACAGATTATTTTTTAATGTTGATCTTGTTCCCTCATTTATTAGTTCCAGGAGGTTTTTTGTAGATTTGTTTATTGATATCCATTCACTCATTGAAGAATATTTGTATCATTTCCAGCTTGGAAATGATGAATAGAGCTACTATAAACATTGGTGTATAGGTTTTTGTATGAACATAAGTTTTAATGTCTCTAGGATAGCCTAGAAGTAGGATTATTGGGAGGATTTAACTTTATAAGTAAATTTTATAAGAAACTGTCAAAATGTTTTCCACAGTGTCTTGACTACTTTATATTCCTACCAGCCATGCACAAGTGTTTCCAGTTGTTTCACATCTGAAGCATTGGCATTATTAATAATGTCCTCTTTTGTTTTTTTCTGGGCTTTTTTTTTTTGCCCTCCTAAAGGTACATAGTCATATCTCATTGTGGCTTTAATTGGCATTTCCCTAATGGCAAATGATCTTAAACATCTTATACTATACTAATTTGACTTCCATATATGGTCTTTGGTCTTTGTCTGTTCAAGTCTTACCCATTTTCTAATGAAGTTTGTTTATTTTCTTACCGTTGAGTTTTGAGAGTTCTTTTAACACTCCAGAGACAAATCATTTGTCAGCTATGTGATTTTCTAATATTTTCTCCCAGTCTGTAGCTTGACTTTTTATTTTCTTAATAGTGTTTTCGTACAGCAAAACTTTTAATGTTAATGAACTCATGCTTTGCTTGCATGTGAAGAATTGTCACCACTCAAGTGATGGGTGCACCAAAATCGCACAAATCACCACTAAAGGGCTTACTCATGTAACCAAAGCACACGTTTCCCAAAAACCTATAGATCAAAAAAAAAAAAAATTGAAAAATGAACTCTTGCCAAATCCCATGTTACAAAGATTTTCTCCCACATTTTTTTCTAAAAGATTCATAGTTTTACCTTTTACTTTAAATTGACGACCTTCTATTTTGAGTTACTTTTTTGTATAAGGTGTACAGTTTAGATTGAGATTCATGTCTTGCCATACAGATGTCCACTTGTCCCAAAATTATTTGTTGAGAAGCCTATGCTTTTTCATTGAATTGCCTATGAACAGATGCCAAAAATCAATTAACCATATTTGTGTGAATATATTTCTGGATTCTTCATTATTTTCTATTGACCTATGCATCGATTCCTTCACTTTCTTGATTATTCTAGCCTTGTGGCAAGTCTTTAAATTGAGTAGTGTGATTTCTTCCATTTCACTCTCCTTTTTTGACATTGTTTCAGTCATTCTGATTTTTTTTGTCTTTCCACATAAATTTGAGAATACGTTTGTGTATATGTACCAAAAAAACTTGCTTCGATTTTTATTGCAATTGCATTAAATGTATAGATCAATGTGCAGAGAAGCTTGCCTGGTATGACTCTCCTTTTATTTGGATTTATTTTGATTTCATTCATCACTGTTTTGTAATTTTATCATGCAGATTCTATACATGTTTTTAAGTATATATCTAATATTTTCATTATTTGGAGCTATTGTAAATTGTACTTTTTGGTTACTAGTTGTCCATTGCTACTATATAAGACAGATTTTTTTTAATGTTGACCTTCTTCCCTCATTTATTAGTTCCAGGAGGTTTTTTGTAGATGCCTTGGGATTTTCTGTATACAAAATCAAGTCATCTGTAAATAGAGACAGTTTTATATATTTATTTCCCATCTGTATTCCTTGTATTTCTTTTTCCTATCTCATTGAACTGGCTGGGTCTTCTAGCATAATATTGTATTAGATTGGTGAAAGTGGACACCCTTGAATTGCTCTCATTCTTAGGGGAAAACATTTAGTCTTTCACCATTAAGTATGAAGTAAGCTAATTTTTGTAGGTATCCTTTGTCAGATTAAGGAAGTTCTCTCTTATTTTTAGTTTGCTGAAAATTTTTATTATAAACAGAAGTTGAATTTTGTCAAAATCTCTCTCTGTATTAACTGGCATCATGTGTTTTTTTTTTTTCCTTTTTACACTATTAATGTGGTGGATTGCATTGATAGATTCTGAGTATTGAACTAGCTTTGCATTCCAAGGAAAAACTCCACTTGATCATTCTGTACTTTTAGTATATTACTAGATCTGATTCACTAATATTTTAGAAGGACTTTTACATCTGTACTCAGGAAGGATAATGGCTTAGAATATTTCTTTTTCAGGAGATTTTAAATCATGAATTCAATCTCTGTAATAATTAAAATTTCTAGTTATCTCTTACATCTTGGTTGAGTGTTGCTAGTTTGTGATTTTTTGAGGAATTGGTGCATTTTATCTAAGTTGTAGTGTTTATAGGTATATAGTTACCCACAATCTGCCCTTATTTATTCCTGATATTAATTTGTCTTCTCTATTTTCTTCTTTGTCAGTCCTGCTTGGTCCATAGCATCAGATGGTTCCTCTCATAGTTTTATGTTTCCACCTCACATTTTTGCACTATTACAGTGTTGTTTCCAAATACCTTTTATGCGTTTTCCCTTCCCAAGGTTCTCGGGATCTAGAATAGAGCCTCATACACTGAATGGATGGCATTTTTTTCTTTTAACTAAGAGAAGCACCCACAAGCCGATGTGTAGGTTCTCTCCTCTCCAAAGGCAGTTCTGACTCCCTGAGCTAGAATTTTTTTTTCTTTTTCTTTCAGTAGTTTTGGGGATACAGGTAGTTTTTGGTTACATGGATGAGTTCTTTAGTAGTGAATTCTGAGATTTTTGTTCACCTGTCACCCAAGCAGTGTATATCGTACCCAATATGTTGTCTTTTATCTCTCACCCTCTTCCCAACTTCCCCGCTCCAAGTCCTCAAAGTTCATTATATCACTCTGTATGTCTTTGTGTCCTCATAGCTTAGCTCCCACTCACAAGTTAGAACATACAGTATTTGGTGTTCCATTCCTGAGTTACTTCACTTAGAAAAATAGCCTCCAGCTCCATTCAAGTTGCTGAGCTAGATGTAGGTAACACTTTGGTCTGCTGCCACCACATTTACCTGGTGAGAAGCAGCAGCGCCCACTACTGGCTCCTAGGGGGAGCTCATCACACCTCTCTAGCACCACAGGCTGCCTCCTCTGCGCAGGAGTTCTCAAGTGCATTGGTCAAGCACAAGGACGTTCACTGCATCATCAGACTAGGGGTGTAGATTCTCCTTCTCTTTTGCCTTTGGTATTGCTTTGGTTTTTTTCCCTCTTACTTCATTAAGTCTGGGGAAGAAAGTGGGGTTATAGAAATCTTCTATTTAGGAATCACTCAGTCTTGCAGTTTCTGCGTTGTCTATCTCTTTCTGGACTTTTTTGGGTCATGTCTCATGCTCACTCTCTCTCCCTCTCTGCAGAATGAGAGGTCTGTTCTGCTCTCAGCATTAGGGCAAATACTTTTCAATGATTTTCTACTGTTTCCTTAAATTGCCCGATCTTCAGTTGTAACAGTGATAGAATACAGAGGCTCAAAACTTGAGTAGTACGAACTCAGAAGAAGAGGACTGGAAGAGGCAATCCAGCCTGCCACGGCTCTATGTCTTGAGACTGTCTCAAAGTCAGAAAGAAAGACTCCATGTGATCCAGTCTACCTCTTTAGGAGACATGGACAGTGGTTTGGAGCAAAAGCTTCTTGGTATGAAAGAGTGTGTTTTTGCCCAGCTCTTAGCTCTATGTGTAGATTTCATTCAGGTACCTTGCACAGGGCTTGGGGGAAGCTGTGGCAGGGAAAGTATTGGAAATCCAGCTGCTGAGCCCTCAGCCATCATTCTAGACTTTCATGGGACTGTGGTTCAGCTGATGATCAAGAGGCCACCACAGCCAGGCACAGTGGCTCATGCCTGTAACCTCAGCACTTTGGGAAGCTGAGACAGGAGGAGGCCAGAAGTTTGAGACCAGCCTGGGCAACATAGTGAGACCCCCATCTCAAAAATTACAAAAAAAACAACTACCCAGATGCCAGGCATGGTGGTGCACACCTGTAGTCCCAGCTACTCAGTAGGCTGAGGTAGGAGAATCATTTGAGCCCAGTAGCTCAAGGCTGCGGTGAGCTATGATCATGCCATTGCACTCCAGCCTGGGCAAGAAAGCAAGACTCTGTCTCAGAAAAAAAAAAAAAAAAAAAAGACCATCACAGAGACTCTGTAGCCTTTCAAAAAAGACCATGATCCAGGTAACTCTGCAGCCAGAAGCATCCCTGATGACAGACTGGTTTGTCATCAAACCATGGCTTGGCTCTTTGTCCCCACCCAAATCTCATCTCGAATTGCAATCCTCTTGTGTCAAGGGAAGGACTGGTAGGAAGTTATTGGATCATGGGGGCAGTTTCCCCTATGCTGTTCTCATGATAGTGAGTGAGTTCTCATGAGATCTGATGGTTTATAAGTGTGGCACTTCCTCTCTCTCTCTCTCTCTTTCTCTCCTGCCACCATGTAAGACATACCTTGCTTCCCTTTTGCTTTCTGCCATGATTGTATGTTTCCTGAGGCCTTCCCAGCCTTGTGGAACTGTGAGTCAATTAAATCTCCTTTCTTTATAAATTACCAAGTCTCAAGTAGTATCTTTATAACAGTATGAGAACGGACTAATACACAGACCATTTGGCATAATTAAAACGCAAGCCTCTTCATCTGAAAATACTTTAGGGGCTCCCAGCAGTTTACTCCATCTATTAAGTAGGCTTTTTGCTCATTGAGCCTATTCGATTTCTGTATAATATCAAAATCTTCAGGCCCTTGTGGATCTCTGACTCAGATCCCATCCTCCTCCATCTCACTAGCTTGTGCCAAACCTTAAACCCACTCATACAAGCCAACCATAAACACTTCAGTGATTCCCCCAAATCACATTTATTGCAAGAGCTGCCATAAAATGATCAACAGAATCCAAAAGCATCATTTTAAGTCACTTCTCATCATAAACTCCATTCAGCATTTTTGAAGGAGAGAAATTAAGTTGAAAGTGAAGAAAGATTCTTAGAAAGCATCCCCACAGTGCCCTTTTTCAAAGACTTAATCAAGATTTATTAAGTTTTAATTACATGCAAAGCACACAACTATATACTCTGATGAATACAAAGCAAGTATTAAGCATGGTCAACCTTGAGAGCATCAGCTCTGGTAGAAAGACAATTAGATTTCAGACCAGAGCTTAAAATCTGGATCTCTTATTTACTTGGTGTGTGATTCAGACTCTAGACTTGTGACAAGTTATTAAGAAATCTAGGGCTCAAAGAAGAACCAATGAAACTATAGCCATAACCCCCAATGGTGTTTTGTGAGGAATAAAATTAAATAACCAGGCTGGGCATGGTGGCTCATGTCTATAAACCCCAACACTGTGGGAGGCCGAGGAGAGAAGAGTGCTTAAGCCAGGAGTTCAAGACCAGCCTGAGCAACATAACAGGGTCCTGTCTCTACAAAATTAAAAATAAAGGAAAATTAGCCCACAATGGTGGCATGCACCTGTTGTCCAAGCTACTTGGGAGCTGAGATGGGAGGATCTCAGTTGAGCCCAGGATTTTGAGGCTACAGTGAGCTATGACTGCACCACTGTACTCCAGCCTAGGCAACAGAGTGAAAGCCATCTCTAAAATAAAATAAAACAAAACAACACCACTGGTGGGCACTTGGTCAATATCGGCTTGTCAAATGGTCACAAGAATGCATCTATGAGCTTACCATCTAGTTAGAACACCAAGAAAAATACAAGTAAAATAATAAGAGAAGAACCATAAGTTATGCACTGGGGGTAACATAAACTGCATACTTACATTATGAGTGGAAGAAAGAAAATAAAAAGATCACTTGTGGAGTGAATTCGGCCAAGAAACACTTTGGGAAGGAAGGAAGATGTCAATTGGCCCTGCAAAATGGGCATGGTTGGGATCAGCAGAGAGAGAGAGCAGCAGGCAGTGGAAACCCTGTGAATTGAGCAAACCAGGAAGGGTATGTGCAGCTTCCAATACCCACATGCAAGCCCTCAGTTGCCCTCACGAACCAAACAAAATGAAAACATTGTGCAAAAGCTATGTACTACTTAGCCTCTAGCTATGCCTTTCACTAATAAGCTCCATGCCCCATCACACCAGAAATGACACATACCCATGATTTCCAGGTTCAGTCTCTCTACCAAAACCTCTCCAGGATTTCTGGCAGAGAAACAAGCCTTAAGATACAGTCAGCAGGTGTCTACATGCCGATGTCTTCCTTAAGCATGAGCTTCCTCATACCTCAATCGCTTATGTTCTCCAAAAGAAAAATTGTTTTTCTCCTCTTTGAAATAGATAAGATCAAGACTCCATGTAAGGTGATGGAAGGGGATGCGAGAACACTCCCTCGGGCTTCTGTAGCCCCCAGAAAACACCCGTGTTAGCACACTTGGTGTAATGTTTGTTTACATATACAAGTGCCCCACTACTTAGGGTGGCAGGAGGATGTCAAACAAAATCTTGATAAATTCTAGTCATCAAGCTAGAAAATATATTTCTTGCAGCCTAGAAGAAATGTCTTATATTAGAAAGGGGAGCAGAAAAGATTGAACATTTTCAAGAGCAGATTCTTAGCATTCTGCACCAGATAGCACGCTAGACACTCTGCGTATTACCTCCCTTGGCAATTGCAATGACTTGAGGACGTGGTAAATGTTGCCTTAATTTACAAGTATTGAAAGATATTCCACTTATGGAGATGAGGTAACTTGCTGAAGATCACAAAGCTGGAAAATGATAAAATTGGAATTTGAAGTTAGGCTTGTTTGGCTCAAAAGCCTCTTCTGAAAGCATTAAATGCTGAGGCGGATTAGGTGGCCTGAGAAGGTGGAAGTCACATTGCCCCGTCCCTCTTCCATCTGTGTCCATGGAAGTTAGAGGAGTGCTTTGTAAGAAATGAAGGCAAATAAATAAATGAAAATTAGGTGCAAATGGAAAGGCAGAAAGGTGTGGAGGGAAAGAATTTGATACACACAAGAGATTGGGCACAGGGTTGTGGGATATCATTACTTAACGTCATTATAGTTCATAACAGATGCTTCACAGTCCTAAATTTTATATTTATTTGCAGCTTCTTTTTGAAACACAGTCTCTTTTTGATATGAGAGTCATGCTGACAAAACAAGATTGATTAAAGTTTCTAATTATCTGTCATCACAGCATGACCAGTGGCAAATGAAATGCATTTTCTTGCTTCTTCCAGCAAAGATAGAGAGTTCACTAATGCAAGACACAAATCTCTTCTGGTTCACTTCAATACTCAGTAAAAACCTGCACAGCAAGGCAATAAGTCGAGTGGGTGAAATCACACAGCCTCTCAGCAATGCTGATTTTCCATTTAAAAAAAAAAAATTAGCCAGGGCTGAAAGTAAGGACTCCAGAACGAATCGTCAATGCAGACATATTATAGAACAATTATTCTCTTCCTGACTTTAATTTTGGTACCACATGCAACCAGGTTATATCTGCAACTGGTTATATCTTCATATGATAGCCACTAAACAATCCTATTGAAATTCCATATGAGTAGATTATTTAGAGCAATGCTAGCTGCTATAACAAATAAGTCTTTAAATTATCAGTGGCTTAACACAAAAGAAATGTATTTCTTATTCAAGTAACAGTCCAGTGCAGGTGTTCCCGATTGGTCAGCAGCCTCCCACGAGGTGATTCAGGGATCCAGGCTCTTTCTGTCTTGTGGTTTCCCCATCCTCTCAGGCCTCAGAGCATGCTCAATCCAGCCAGTGTTGAGCCAAAAGAGGAGGAAGAAGGCACAACCACTTTGAACCTCTTTAGTCTTTAAATGGCACTTCACTTTTACTTTATTGACAAGAACAAGTCACCTAGATGGCAGAAAGACTGGACAACCATTTCCAAGTAAAACTCTCTCTCCTGGAACAGAAGAGACTTTGGTGGACAGTTAGTGATCCTGCTACTAATGTTTCTTTCGGCCTCCAATATCCATATTAAACTTTATTAATTTTTTTTCTTTTAAAACAGCGTGTCTTCTCTCTGTCACCCCAGCTGTGGTGTAGTGGTGCTATCATGGCTCACTGCATCCTCTGCCTCCGAGGCTCGAGTGATCCTTCCACCTCAGCCTCTGAGTAGCTGGGACTGCTGGTACCATCACACCTGGATTTTTAAATTTTTTGTAAAGACAGGCTCTCACTATGTTGCCCACGCAGGTCTCAAACTCCTGGGCTCGAGGGATTCTCCTATTCGGTCCCCCGAAGTGCTGGGATTACAGTCATGAGCTACTGCACCCAGTTTATATGCATCATTTTTTTCTACACATAGAATATATCCATCTCCTCCTTAAGAGAGACCACCCAAGGTCTCACTTGATACTACACCTGTGCAAAGCACGGGAACTCAGGAAGGCAACGGCCATTTCCCCAGTTTTTATGAAGCATGTCATGATATGATCAGTTGTACACATAAAAAAGAAGAAATCATCTGCCCTCCATACATTTAATATACACAGTGGTGATAAAACAAGGACCAGAAAACCATAAAACAACAAAAAGCTTTCCCAGTCTTCTCTGTTAAGGGGGAATTCCGCACACACCAGTGACATCCCGTTTTCTGACTTCTTCCACCAGAGCGGCAGCCTTAGATGTATTCAGTCCGCCTTCCAAGTTATGCTAGACAATACTTTTCTTTCGTTTTCTTTTTTTTTTTTTTTTTTCTTTCAGACGGAATCTCGCTCTGTCACCAGGCTGGAGCGCAATGGCGCGATCTCGGCTCCCTACAATCTCCGCCTGCTGGGTTCAAGCGATTCTCCTGCCTCAGCCTCCTGAGTAGCCGGGAATGCAGGCATGCACCATCATGCCCAGGTAATTTTTGTCTTTTTAGCAGAGACGGGGTTTCACCATGTCAGCCAGGATGGTCTCGATCTCTTGACCTCATGATCCGCCAGCCTTGGCCTCCCAAAGTGCTGGGATTACAGGTGTGAACTGACACGCCCAGCCAACAATACTTTTTAAATTGACAAATTATAATTGTATCTATTTATAGGGTAAAAAGTGATGCTCGGATACATGGGCACAGCACAGAATGATTGAATCAAGCTAATTAACCTATCTATCACCTCAAACACTTACTATATGATCCCTCCTGTCTAATGGAATCTCTGTATCCTTTGACCAATGCCTCTCCATTTCCCCCACCCCCAGCCTGTAGTAACCACCACTGTGTTCTCTGCTTCGATGAGTTTGATTGCTTTAGATTTCACATACAAATGAGATCATGCACTATTTGTCTTTCTGTGTCTGGTTTATTTCACTTACCATAATGTTCTCCAGGTTCATCCACGTCACAATACTTTTTTGTTTATCTGTTGCATAACATGGGCCTGTACCTTCTCAGCTTCTGATATCAGTATCCTCAAAGCCCACTACCCAAACACCAAACCAACATCACATATTTTAGGCTTTTTCTAATGGCAGCATCCTTCATCATGAAGGGGCTAAAAGTGAGAATCCTACTGAAAAAAAAAACCCCTCCATTCTTTTACTCTCAGCAGAATTCAGAAAATGCCCCCAAATCAACATTAGAAGGACATCATTCTAGGGATGTTACATGTATTTGGCAGGCTAAGTTTCAATATTTTTGTAGAGTTTTTTTTTTTAATTAACTTCTCAGAAACAAAGAAGCTATGAAATATTGCATTCTTTCCTCCAACCTATGGTTTGATAATTGTACGTGTGTTCAAGGACTGACTATAAATAAATGCGATCAATTGGGTAACGGATCTCTCAGGTTATATATGTTTGTATCATCCCTTCAAAGTAGCCTTATAAAGAGCCAATATTGGCTGGGCGTGGTGGCTCACACCTGTAATCCCAGCACTTTGGGAGGCCGAGGCAGGCAGATCACAAGGTCAGGAGATTGAGACCATCACGGCTAACACAGTGAAACCCCGTCTCTACTAAAAATACAAAAAATTAGCCGGGCATGGTGGCATGCACCTGTAGTCCCAGCTACTTGGGAGGCTGAGGCAGGAGAATCGCTTGAACTTGGGAAGTGGAGGTTGCAGTGAGCTGAGATCCATGCCACTGCACTCCAGCCTGGGCAACAGAGTGAGACTCCGTCTCAAAAAAAAAAAAAAAAAAGAGACAATATTTGCATTCCTCCTTACAAACCATTTTCAGAGCCTTCAATACCTTCTTTTTGACCTTCTCCATTGTGACAAGGTTTTGTCAGTAGGCCATTTCCAAACATACAATTTATTTTCAAAGGTATCTATTATCAAGTCTGATTATTAAAGTGAATGGTCAGAGTACTACCACGTGGAGTCAAATATATGGGGTATATTTCAGCAACAATGCAGCAATAATTTGTGTATGAGGATCACAGGTGGAGTTTTGTAAAATGAAGCACCCCTAGGTGGGAACTGGGAGAGATATACACGTATCGCTTTTCATATTGCGAAAGGGTTTAAGGAATAATGTAACATATACTTGTGAACTCACCACCCAGCTTAAGAAAGGAAGTCTTGCACATACATTTGAAGCATCCCCCGTACCACCAGTGGCATTATCGACTCCCCAACAACTTACCCTCACCCAGAGTCACTATGTTCTTTCCCTGGATTTATGTCTTTTTATAGGTATCTTTGTAGTTCATTATACGTTGATCAAATATGCATCAAAATGACCCATCACATTATTGTGCAAATTCTTGAGTCATGAGCAAATAATACACTACGTTCATCCCTGTACAACTTCCTTTTTTCTTTGTCTTGTATTTGTAAGATTTCTCCGTATTGATAGCTCTAGTCCATTCATTTTCCATGTTCCTTTGGCGATCCACTATACGAATCCACCATAATTGACTTCTCTGTTCTCCTGCCGTTGGACATTGAGCTTCTTTCTAATTTGTCAGAATCACATACATGTCTGCTGTGACCATTTTAGCAGCTGCTTCCTTTTGCATTTTTGAAGAGTTTTGCACGTGTTCTGCTTATCCAGCTAGGGTCAAGAACTGGTTTTCTAGTCCAGAGCTTTTCAATATGTGGTCCCTGGACCAGCAGCATTCACATATTCTTGGGAACATTCCAGAAAAGCAAAGTACAAGACCCTACCCAGACTTAATCAGAAACTGGGCAGGGTGGTGGGTTCCTGGGGGAGTGATCTCTATGGTAACAAGCTTTCCAGTTTTTAACAAGATTCTGAGGCTCGGAAACATTTAAATACTACTCTTCTAGTTTAGTAAAATAATGCTCTTAAGGCTAGACACGGTGGCTCACACCTGTAATCCCAGCATTTTGGGAGGCTGAGGCAGGTGGATCATTTGAGGTCAGGAGTTTGAGACCAGCCTGGCCAACATGGTGAAACCCCGTCTCTACTAAAAATGCAAATATTAGCCAGGCACGGTGGCACGGGCCTGTAATTCCAGCTACTTGAGAGGCTGAGGCAGGACAATGGCTTGAACCCGGGAGGTGGAGGTTGCAGTGAGCTGGGATCACGTCACTGCACTCCAGGCTGGGTAACAAAGTGAGACTCTATCTCAAAAAAAAAAAAGAAAAAGGAAAGGAAAAAAAAAAAAGAATAATGCCCTCCATTTTGCATGTGTTTTAACCCAAATCAATATTTCCAAAATGTTTTGCAATGGCTGCAACATTGGAAAAGATCCAGAAACTCCCATGGACTACTTCAAAACACAGTACGCATTTTCATGAAATCTACTAAGCTATAAGAAAGAGCTTCGAAAATCACAAACCGTAATATGAACAAATAATAACCAACATGGTAAATTTATTTTAAAACACAGTTGTGTTGCATTATAAGTCACGACTCATGGATCTAAAGACAGCCAGAGAAAAGAAAAACACAGGGGCATAAAGTCATTTTAGTCAAGTGTAAGTGTTAAGAAAACATTTGAGAACATCCCAGGCATTAAATATATTTCTGAATGAGTTTCAGTATCATCTCCCATATGGTATGGAATTATTTTCCTCTGCATTTCCATGTGTGTTCTTGCTTGCATTTTTGCTGTCTGGACTACTTAAAATTCTAGGCTCTTAAAACAAATGAACAAGCAAACAAATACAAAGTCATATCTCAGGATCTGTTGCTCAAGCATGTCAGCTTTCTGGAGTAAAACCGAGCGGTGAGGGAACAGGGTGAGCATTTTCCATCCCTGGGCACTGAGGGAAGGGTACCAGCCAGGTTAATAGCAGAAGGTCAGCAAACCAGGCATGGGGCAGTAACTAGGAGCTTGGCAATTGCTCTCACAATGCAAGAAAACATCTGATATCATAGGTCTTCTGTGTCACTGGAGAGCGCCAAGAGGTAAATAAGCATGGCTTTAGGTCAGATACACAGAACACTGTGTATCTGGAAAAATCCAAGAATCATCTGGGATAGGGTCTTGTCAAAGAGCAGAGAGGAAACGGTCAAGAATAAAAGATGTCCCCATTTTTGTTGAGGGACTTGGGTTGCTAGAAGGACGGAGGATGAGAAACAGTGGAAGCTGAAGTCCAGGGAAATGGGTAAAGGAAATCACACACGGGAACTCAGTCAGTAAAAACAGGGAAGGTGGCCAGGCACAGTGGCTCATGCCTATAATCCCAGCAGTTTGGGAGGCCGAGGCAGGCGGATCGCCTGAGGTCGGGAGTTCAAGACCATCCTGGCCAACATGGTGAAACCCAGTCTCTACTAAAAATATAAAAATCAGCCAAGCGTGGTAGAATAATGCCCTTCAGCCTGGGTGCGGTGGCTCACACCTGTAATCCCAGCACTTTGAGAGGCCAAGGCAGGCAGATCAATTTAGGTCAGGAGTTTGAGACCAGCCTGGCCAACATAGTAAAACTCCATCTCTACTAAAAATGCAAATATTAACCTGGCACAGTGGCATATGCCTGTAAACCCAGCTACTTGGGAGGCTGAGGCAGGAGAATCACTTGAACTGGGGAGGTGGAGGTTGCAGTGAGCCAAGATCATGCCACTACACTTTAGCCTGGGCAACAAGAGTGAGACTTAATCTCAAAAAAAAAAAAAAAAAAAAAGGAAGGTGTGACCTAGGGGCAGCCTTTTAGAGATCAGGGCTCCCTGAAGAATGACTCAAAAACAAGTCCTTGGATGGAGAGATGGAGCCATGGATGTACATTTGGTTTCAATCAAGCTAGGATAGGAACACATGCAAGTGAGAGGTGACCTAAGGGTGTGTGAGGAACATTGGTAAGGCCAGATGTACGGAGCTTGGAAGACAGATCCTGGGGAAATGAACAGAAAGTCCATAAAAGAAAGGAGAAGAAGAAACAAGTCCCAGCTGGGTGCCAGTGGCTCACACCTGTAATCCCAGCACTTTGGGAGGCCGAGGCCGGCAGATCATGAGGTCAGGAAATAGAGACCATCCTGGCCAACACGGTGAAACCCCATCTCTACCAAAAATACAAAAAATTAGCCAGGTGTGGTGGCGGGCACCCGTAGTCCCAGCTACGTGGGAGGCTGAGGCAGGAGAATGGCATGAACCCGGGAGGTGGAGCTTGCAGTGAGCCGAGATCACGCCACTGCACTCCAGCCTGGGTGACAGAGTAAGACTCCGTCTCAAAAAAAAAACATAGATTTAATATGGACTAAATGATGTTCCTGGCTGACCCTGACATCCCTAGTTTGACGGGACTTGGGATACCTGCTCTCTGACTCCAGTCACCCTCCCCACAGTGCCCACCTGAGTCCAGGAGGCCAGTTAGCCCACCCCTCCTGCACCTGCCTCATTCCCTCAAGAATGGGGAATTGCACCATTCATTAATAAATCCCTTGGGAAAAGAGAAGCATAGGCAAGCAGATCAAACAATGGACTTGTTTCTTTTCTTTTTTTGAGATGGAGTCTGGCTCTGTCGCCCAGGCTGGAGTGCAGTGGTACAATCTCAGCTCACTGCAAATTCTGCCTCCCGGGCCACCACGCATGGTCCCCCGCTCTTTTTTTTTTTTTTAAGAGACAAGGTCTCACTCTGTTGCACAGGCTGAAGTGCAGTGGCTCCATCATAGCCCACTGTAACCTCCAAACCACTGTAACTTCCAATTCCACTCCAAGGTCTCGCTCTGTTGCACAGACTGGAGTACAGTGGCGTGATTACAGCCCACTGTAACCTCTAACTCCTGGACTCCAAGACTCAACTCCATCTCCTGGGCTCAAGTGATCCTCCCACCTCAGCCTCCTGAGCAGCTAGTACTACAGGCATGCAGAACATCCAGCTAATTGAAAAAAATATTTTGTAGAGACAGGATCTTGCTATGTTGCCCAGGCTGATCTCGATCCTGGGCTCAAGCGATCCTCCCACCTCAGCCTCCTGAGTAGCTAGTACTACAGGCATGCAGAACATCCAGCTAATTTTTTAAAAAATATTTTGTAGAGACAGGATCTTGCTATGTTGCCCAGGCTCGTCTCAAACTCCTGGGCTCAAGCAATCCATCCTCCTGCCGTAGCCTCCCAAGTAGCTGGGCGTATAGGCATGAGCCGCCGCACCTGGCCCTCACTGAATCATTAAGCAAGGTGATTAGGGAAAAACAGTGGTGCCAAAAAAGATGGAGGAGGGGAGGGGGAATGGGTTAAGTATACTGGAGCGCCAAGAGGAAGAAGTCAGAAAGACAAGCTAAGGACATTCTGGATAAACCCCAGACAGCAGGGCCAGCGTCTGCAATGTGAAAGCTGAGTTCACTCAATGGAGCCAAACAGGATGGATGACATCCTCCTAAATCACATGCAATCAAAATGGAAGGAATGGGCTTAGCTGATAAAAATCCTGGGCTCAGAAGAATGAAGAGAATCAAGAGTCCTTATAAGAAGCCTTCTGCCCTCCGGGTAGACTGTGGCTCCAGGCAAGTAACCCAGACAGATATTGGACCTAGAAAACTGGATGCTGCTGAGAAGTTTGACAAGGCTCCAAATGCCAGGGCTTCTTTTCATGGAGTCCTAAGTAAACAAAGGTCTCACTCACAAAGCAGGCGCACTCACTTATTTGCAAGTCTAATTTATGCAAAACCACCAGTGGCCAGAGGTAGATTTTCTTACCCAACCCAAACCACTTTTTAGTGTGACAACACTAGAATCTTTGGACTGCTTTGTGTTTGTTGAACTGAAATGAACCCACAGTTGCAGCCAAATGTTTGTGGAGAGTTTTCTGAGTGCCAGGTCACGTGCTCAGTTGAGTGAGACCTAGTTCCTTCCACATCGAAAGAGAGAAAAATGCATTCAAACTCCTGTGGTTAATTATGTCAAGGTTGGGGTCTTTTCTCTCCTTTAATCCTCACTTAAAAGGAGCTTCTGATTCTGGAATGATTTCACCAAAATGTTATACAGACATTTGAAATCAGAGCAATTGCAAAAGCACTATTTATTACTACATTGAAGCTTTATATAATACTATTTGCTAAAGAACAAAACTTATCATTAAGTTGGGGCCATTGTGGGCTGCATTTAGTTCATGAAATACTAAGTGGACAGTTAAACAATTGCATTTTGCCCTGAGCTCTCAGCTAGCTACTTTATATTATTTTTCTCTAATCTTCTCCATCACACTCAGATTATCAGTGTGGATCCAGCAATGGGAACACATTTTGCTCTTGAATTAATAAAAAAATAGATTCAGTTCTGTCAATTCACAACATTTTTGTTTTGTTTTGTTTTAGAGATGGGGTCTCACTCTGTCGCCCAGGCTGGAGTGCTGTGGCACAATCATGGCTCACTGCAGCTTTGAACTCCTGAGCTCAAGCAATCCTCCTGCCTCAGCCTCCCAAGTAGCTGTCACTACAACCACGGGCCATCACACCCCACTAATTTTTTTATTGTTTTTATTTTTGTGAAGTTGAGATCTTGCTATATTGCCCAGGCTGGTCTCAAACTCCTGGCCTCAAGCAATCCTTCCACCTCAGCCTCCCCAAATGCTGGGATTACAGGTGTGCACCCCTGTGCCTGGCTACAACATTCTCTTTGGTGTAATTCTGTAAAAGTATGCTTAAATTAAACACCTTTGTTATTTATTAGGCCAAATGTATGCCTGATAACGCACCAAAGTATTTCCCACTTACATTGCCTGAGTCTCTTGTAGATAAGAAATTGCAGTAAGAACCAGGCCCACTGGGAGTAAAAGGCCATTGAATGGGAAGCGAAGCCATAACTTATGCTATCATTTGACTTATTAAAAAGTACATTGAAAACCATGTACAAATGACAAACACCCTGAGGTGGTATTTCTGTGCTTCCAAATGTAGAATTACAATTTGGCTTCTCCTCTAATTCTGGAGAGAAATGTATGATATATGCACAGGGGCGGCCCTGGGCAAATCTTGCCTGGCTGACCTCCAAGCAAGGCAAATAGAACCAAGGGTGGGCACAGATTAGTCTCCAGAGACTACTGTAACAGGTTACCACACCATTCATTATCTCAGCGTTCTGGAGGCCAGAGGTCCACAGTCAGTACTCTCGAGGAACACCAATTCCTGTTCGGTGTTGGACATCGACTATGGGAAGCCTTGGGAGAATGGCCCTGTTTCAGGAACAGGAACTAAGCCAAAATCTCCTGCCTTCTCTCTGGCCATTCCACTTCCATACCAACTTCTCATTGCATCTTAAATGTAGACACTCTCTTTGCATTAGCCCACCTTGGTTCCTTTGCTCCTGCTCACTGTAGAATGCCCTCTCCTCCAGTGAAAACCTCCTCACCCATCAAGGCTCAGACAAATGGAGCCCCTTCTGACCCTCACGCAGCCAATGGCTTCCTCTGCTGACAGGCAGCACGTGGCTTATATACTCTCAGCACACACCCACCCTGTGTTGGGCTGTGTGTATGCAAGAAATGCATCTGAAAATGTGCTTTTAGAACCAGGAGCATCTGCATCTCCTGGGAACTTGTTTAAAGGGCTATTTCTCAGGTCCCACTCCAGACCTACTGGATCAGACAGTCTGAGAGTGGAGCCCAGTAATCTGGGTTTTAATCTGCCCTCCAGACTCAATGGGGCACTCAATTGGGAAATTACGGATGCAGGCTCTGTGTATCCCACAGGCAGTGCTTGGTACACAGAGAGAAATGATGTGTTAGATCAGATTACCCTGGTAGCTTTGAAAAAAATACTGCGTGGACCTTATTTGCCTCCTCTGGAGGCTCTGGGCAAGACCCATCCTTGCTTCCTCCAGTTTCTGATAGGCACTGGCATTCCTTGGCTTGTGGCTGCATCATTCTCATCTCCACCTCCACCTTCACACTGTCTTTTCCTCCATGTTGTTTGTTTGTTTGTTTGTTTGTTTGTTTGTTTTTGAGACAGAGTCTCACTTTGTCGTCCAGGCTGGAGCTCAGTGGCGTGATCTCAGCTCACTGCAACCTCCACCTCCTAGGTTCAAGCAATTCTTCTGCCTCAGCCTCCCGAGTAGCTGGGATTACAGGCGTGTACCACCACACCCAGCTAATTTTTTGTATTTTTAGTAGAGATGGGGTTTCACTGAGTTGGCCAGGCTGATCTCAAACTCCAGACCTCAGGTTATCTGCCCTCCTCAGCCTCCCAAACTGCTGGGATTACAAGCGTGAGCCACTGTGCCCGCCCCCTCCCTGTATATTGAATCTCGCTCTGCCTCTCTCTTATAAGGACACTTGTGTCTGCATTTAGGCTGCATCCAGATAATCCAGGATCATGTCCCCCTCTCAAGATCTTTCCTTTAATGACAACTGCAAAGACCCAATTTCCAAGGAAGGTAACTGTTGCAGGTTCCAGAGATTAAGGTCCAAAGTATGTGGGGGTGTCGTTATTCTGTCTACCTCACTATGGTTCCTCCCATGAGATGAGGCTGATAATGGGACTTCACCAGAAATTAGACCCTCTTTGCTTGGCCTCTTCCATTTTCCTATCCTGCGTCCACCCATCCCCCAACCCCCAGTCAGTTTCTCCTGGGAGTACATCCTCAGAAAATTGCTTCCTTCTCTCGGAGCCTATTCTTAGACAACCTGACCTAAGATGAAATTATAGAAAAGGAGAATAATACATTTGTACTGTGTTTTTGCTTTGTTTTGTTTTGTTTTGGGGTTTTTGTTTGGCTTTTGTTTTTGTTTTAAGATAGAGTCTCGCTGTGTCCCCCAGGCTGGAGTGCAATGGCACAATCTCGGCTCACTGCAACCTCTGCCTCCCAGATTCAAGCAGTTCTCCTGCCTCAGCCTCCTGAGCAGCTGGGATTACAGGTGCCCATCACCACACCCGGCTAATTTTTATATTTTTAGTAGAGATGGGGTTTTGTCATGTTGGCCAGGTTGGTCTCAAACTCCTGACGTCAGGTGATCCATCTGCCTTGGCCTCCCAAAGTGCTGGGATTACAGGCATGAGCCACCGTGCCTGGCCTGTACTGTGTTGTTTTTAAGCCACCAAATTTATGGCAATGTGTTACAGCAGCAATTTGAAACTAATACACATGGAGCATAACTTAGTCCACAGGGTTTGTTCTGCCTCAAGAACCATAGGAAGCCTTGGGAGAATGTAAACTCCCAGGTAATTTTGGGGCTGGTGCCTCTGGATAAAGCCACAGTGGCCCCAGGATAATCTGCTGAAGAAGGTGGCAGGTGTGCACAGTTAGGAGAGAGGCTTGCAAAATCTAGAGAAAGCCACAGAGCCAGAAAAAGGAATCTTGGGAGAGAATACACATCATCAGCTACAGGTGCAGTGGACTCACACCCAGGACCCAGGTCTACCTCAGTCTATGAATATAGAAAATTCAGAATTTGGCTGGGTGTGATGGCTCATGCCTGTAATCCCACCACTTTGGGAGGCTCAGATGGGTGGATCACCTGAGGTCAGGAGTTTGAGACCAGTCTGGCTACCACGGTGAAACCCCGTCTCTACTAAATATACAAAAATTAGCTAGGAGTGGTGGCGGGTGCCTATAATTCCAGCTACTCAGGAGGCTGAGGCAGAAGAATCGCTTGAACCCAGGAGACGGAGGTTGCAGTGAGTGGAGATTGTGCCATTATACTCCAGCCTGGGCAACAAGAGTGATACTCTGTCTCAAAAAAAGAAAAAAGAAAAAAGAAAAGAAAAGAAAAGAAAAAGAAAGGAAATTCAGGATTCCAGGACTCAGCAGCATGTATCCCTCTGCATCAAGACCTTCTTCTCCAGGTGTGTGGGTCCCTGCCTTATGACATAGTACTTGTCTCCCTAGACCCAGCACATGGCTAGGCTCTTGCCATCGTTCCAGTTGGCCCTGTTGCAGGAACAGGAATTGGTCAGGCTGCTACCTGTATTAGTTTTCTAGGACTGTTATAAGAAAGTGCCATAAAGTAGGTGGCTTTAACAGCAGATATTTTTTGTCTCACAGTTCTGCAGGCTGGAAATCCAAGATCAAGGTGCTGACAGGGTTGGTTCCTTCTGAGGGCTGTGAGGGAGGATCTGCTCCAGGCCTGTCCCTTAGTCTCTGGTGGCTTTGCAGGCAATCTTTGCTGTCTCTTGGCTTGTAGATCTCTACCTTCATGATTTTCTCCCTGTGTTTGTTCTATGTTCAAATTTTCTCCTTTTTTTTTAGAGATAGAGTCTAGCTCTGTCTCCCAGGTTGGAGTGCAATGGCAGGACAAGAGCTCACTGCAGCCTCCAACTCCTGGTTCTCAAATGATCCTCCCACGTCAGCCTCCTGAGTGGCTAGGCTACAGGCATGAGCCACCAGGACCAGCGAACTCTTTAATCATTTTTTGTAGAGACAGTTTTTGCTTTGTTGCCCAGGCTGGTCTTGAACTCTTGGCCTCAAGCGATCCTCCCCTTGCGGCCTCCCAAAGTTCTGGCCTCCCAAACTCCTGTCCTCAAACGATCCTCCCCCTTCAGCCTCCCAAAGTTACAGGTGTGAACATCCACTCCCAGCTCCTTTTTTTTTATAAGGACCCTGATCATATTATTATAGTAGGGGCCCACACTACTCCACTATGACCTCTTCTTAACTAAGGATGTTTGCAATAAGCCTATTCCTAAATAAGGTCATATTTGGAGACACTGGGGGCCAGGACTTCAACATAGGAATTTTAGGAGGGTAGAATTCAACTCAGAACAGTGCCCAAGGGCTCACTACCTTCTTGTAGATTTCTCTGATTTCTTTCAACAGCATTTTGTAATTGTCCTTGTAGAGAGTTTTCACCCAAATATCTAAAATCTTCAAATATCTAAAATTCCAAATAGCTTAATTCTTCTGTCTGTCATGTCTACAGGACCCAGAGGACCTGATCCCCACACTGGCTTCCTGAGCTCACATGGCAGCTAAGCCCAGCCCCACTTAAGAGGGGATTTAGAAAATACCACCTTCTAAGACTCACCTACTCAATCCACCTGTGGGCGGTTATTTTTTTTTTTTTTTTGAATGAGCATGGTTGTGCTCCAATCAAACTTTATTCATAAAAACAGTCAGTGGGGTAGATTTGACTCATGGACCAAAATTTGACAATCCATTTTTTTTGAACAGCATTATTGTGTTTTTATTAATCCTTCACATAATTATTTTAAAATATGTAATGTACAGCATGAGTTCTATGTAGCCTTTTGAAGAGTGACACTGGAACCTATCAGGGGATGGGGGGCAAGGGGAGGGAGAGTATTAGGACAAATACCTAATGCATGTGGGGCTTAAAACCTAGATGACGGGTTGATAGGTGCAGCAAACCACCATGGCACACGTATACCTGTGTAACAAACCTGCACATTCTGCACATGTATCCCAGAAATTAAAGTAAAAAAAAAGATAGGGTGGTTATTTACAAAAAGAGTTATATAGCAACACCCAATTGGGGATAGTTTAAACTTATCTTCCTAGGGGCGGGGGCTACTCAAATAAATGTAGAGTGCAGTAAGTCCTCAATTAATGTCCTCAATAGGTTCTTGGAAACTGCGGCTTTAAGTGAAACAATATATAACAAAATCAATTTTACCACAGGCTAATTGATATAAACAAGAGTTCAATTCCCTCGGCATGCCTCTGGTCACAAAAACATCACCAAACTTCTAGACCAAAAACGCTTCTAGTATTAAACATTGAAATAAGTGTGCATTTTAAATATAGTCAAGAAAGATTAGGCCTGGCATGGTGGCTCACACCTGTAATCACAGCACTTTGGAAGGCTGAAGCAGGTGGATCACTTGAATCCGGGAATCCGAGACCAGCCTGGGTAGCATAGGGGGACCTTGTCTCTACCAAAAATACAAAAATTGGCCCATCTCATAATCTGGTCTCAAAATAAATAAATAAATAAATAAATAAATAGATAGATAAAAATGTAAAAATAATGGATTAATAGAAACAATTAAGATAATTATTTATCCAATTTTTGGTGAATCAGTGAGTGACATAGTCACTCACTGATTAGTGAGTCATAGTGGTGATAGATTAAATTCAGGAATAAACGTTTGCAAAGTGAGAATTGTAAGGTACTCTTCCTGCCACCATGCAGTTCAACAACACTCACAAATGTGCCAGTCCCACTGAACTCTTGCATATCATATCATTTATTGTCGTGCATTTGTGTGATTATCGTATACTTTACAAAATTTTATTTGACAATAATTTGTATTTATTTATTTATTTCCTTACTCGCCAACCGACTCATTCCAGTTCAGGGTTGCAGGTGGCTAGAGCCTATCCTAACATCTCAGGGCACAAGGTCAAGAACCAGCCTTGGCCAGGTCACCATATTCCATCACAGAGTACACCCCTACACACACCCATATTCATGCAGACTTGGAGAACGTAGATATGCCAGTTCACCTAACTCACACATCCTTGGGACATGGGAGAAAATCATCCAAGTACCTGAAGAAAACCCAGACAGGCAAGGGGAAAATGTACAAACTCCACACAGACAATAGCTCCAGCCAGGAATCAGTTTGTTTGTTTGTTTTCTTATCACCGCTATAATAAAACAACATTGAACAAAATGACATTATCCAAAGACCCACTGTGTATCACTTCTGAGTAGTAAGGGAAACATGTATGGTCAACCAGGCATCAGTTCTCTTTCTGTGCCGCTCTTCAAAAACATCCGTGGTAAATGCCCCACTGTTAATAGGCAGCTAGACATGCAAATAGGTTGCTGTCACACAGCGTGGTAAAGGGGGTACCCACAAGGGGTTCAACCGGATACCAAGAAGAGGCACCTCATCTATCCCTGTGAAGACAGGATGCAGAAGGACCAGGGAGCGCTTTCAGAGGAGGTGATAGCAAATCTGAGTCATGAAAGAGTAGATATTCTGTCTCTTGCGCCACTTTTAAAATTTTCACCCAATATGACCTTTCCCTTCTGTGATGGATAATTTCATGTGTCAACTTGATTAAGCTTATGGTGCTCAGATGTTTGGTGGAATACCAGTCTAGATGTTGCTGTGAAGGGTTTTTTTAGATGTGATTAACCCTCAACCCACCCATGGGTGGTTATTCACAATAAAGAGTTAAAAAGCAGAATCCAATGGAGGGGTATTTTAACCCTATCTTCCACAAGGGTGGGGGCACTCCAATAAATGTAAATATAGATTACAGTGCATCCTCTTGGTAAACTCTGAATAAAGCTGATAATTGTCGATAATGTGATGGGCTTCGTCCAATCAATTGAAGGCCTTACAGGCAAAGAACGGAGGTTCCCTGAAGTAGAAGGGATTCTGTCCCAAGGCTGCAACATGGAAGCCCTGCCCGAGTTTCCTGCCTGCTGCCCTGTGGAATTCAGCCTCAACTCTGCCACATCAACTCTCACCCAGGTCTTCAGCCTGCTGACCTATCCTGTAGATTCTAGACTTGCCATCCCCACGATCACATAAGCTAATGTCTTAAAATAGATGACATACGGATGAATGGATGGGGAGATGATAGATAGATTAGATAGATAGATAGATAGATAGATAGATAGATAGATAGATAGATGATAGATAGATAATAGAAAGATGATAGAGGAGACAGCCAGGGATATAGGGAGACAGAGATAATAGAGATAGATGGAGAGATAACTAGGTAGATAGAGATATAGACACATGACAGAGAGATAGATAACAGAGACATAGATAGATAGATAGATAGATAGATAGATAGATAGATAGATGATAGATAGATAGATAGATAGATAGATAGATAGATAGATAGATAGATGAGATAGCTAGGGAGATAGGGAGAGAGGTAATAGAGATAGATGAAGAGATAGAGAGATAACTAGGTAGAGATATAGACACATGACAGAGAGATAGATAACAGAGATAGATAGATGATAGATAGACAGATATAGACACACAGAGAGAGAGAGAGAGAGAGAGAGAGAGAGAGAGAGAGGCCGGGCACGGTGGCTCACACCTGTAATCCCAGCACTTTGGGAGGCCAAGACGGGTGGATCACCTGAGGTCAGGAGTTCGAGACCAGCCTGACCAACACGGTGAAACCCTGTCTCTACAAAAAAAAAAAAATACAAAAATTAGCCAGGCGTGGTGGCACATGCCTGTCATTCCAGCTACTTGGGAGGCTGAGGCAGGAGAATCACTTGAACCTGGGGGGCGGAGGTTGCAGTGAGCCGAGATCGCACCATTGCACTCCAGCCTGGGTAACAAGAGCGAAACTCCGTTTCATGAAAAAAAAAGAAAAAGAGATAGATAGATAGATAGATAGATAGATAGATAGATAGATAGATAAGATAAGATAGAAATAGATGACAGAGACAGGTAGGTAGATATACAAGTATAGAAAGATAGATGATAGATATAGATAGATACATACATAGAATAGATGAATGAATGAGTGAATGGAAGATAGGTAGATGATAGATAGATGATAGATAGATAGATAGATAGATAGATAGATAGATAGATAGATAAATGATGGATGGATGGAAGATAGATAGACATAATAGATGATGGAAGATGATAGATGATAGATAGATAGATAGATAGATAGATAGATAGATAGATAGGATAGAAATAGATGATAGAGACAGGTAGGTAGATACACAAGTAGAGAGAGATAGATGATAGATATAGATAGATAGATAGATAGATAGATACATACATACATAGAATAGAAGAATGAATGAATGGATGATAGGTAGACAGATGATAGATAGATCGATAGATACATAGATAGATAGATAGATAGATAGATAGATAGATAGATAGATAGATGATGGATGGATGGAAGATAGAGATAGACATAATAGATGATGGAAGATAGATAGATAGATAGATAGATAATAGATATATAGATATATATCCTATTCGTTCTGCTCCTCTGACGAGCCCTCATTACCCACACAATTGGTGGGTTTAACTGCTTGGTGAGTGACTGTCCAATGACCAAAACCAAGGAGAATTTCACAAGGGGATTTTATAATGTTACGTGCACCATGTAAGGAGAACACTGGGGATAGTTCCCAAAGCTCCCCTAACAAAGGTGAACACAGGGCTTTTATTGGGATGGTTAGCTGAGTCACTGAGTGTCCGGGTGGAGTGAGAGCAGTGCAGACACAGTCGCAATCATGCTTCTACATACATTGTACCTATGGAAAATGGTGAGTAAGTTCCCCCAACCTCGGCGGGGTTTTCAGGACGACCATGAAGAGTGTTTCCCAAAGCTCATCTCCAACTCAGGCATCTCTGGATCCAACCAGTTTTTGTTTTTTTCTGGAGCTGAACTTCTTCCTGCAACTTTTTGAAACAAGAAATCAAGGTGCAGCTTTTTCACAGTGTGGACCAGAAAACCCAGGAACTCTGAGTACGCCCAATGCACCTCCTAAATCACAAATCTCTAGGGGGAGGGAGTTCTGATAGAGCTAATTCAGGACCAGTGACAGCAGCAACCACTCCATGAGGCCTGGGCAGGGGGCGAGTGTGAATCTAAAAGTCAGTCCTTCCATGGGGTGGCTGCACCACCACCACCAAAAAAACGGAGCGACTTCCCTGGCAGCTTAGACATTCCTCTCCTGAAAGAGCAAGAAATCCCTGGGGCCAGTCCCTTGTGGGGATGCAGAGATGTACTGCTAAGTGCCAGCACCCAGGGAAGGTGCTCAGAGGAAGGTCCTCTGGGATCTCTATTCTCTTATTCAAGGGACTGGGAATGCCACCAGGACTTGGAATGACAGTAGGCAAGAGACTCAGGGACAGGGCAAGGGTGGCGGAGAGAAGGAAGAGAATTTACAAAGGCTACAAGTGGAGCAAGAAAAAAAATCCACTGCCAACAGGTGGGTCTCTGAATTCTCATGCATTCCCTCTGCTGTCCTCTGCCCCCCCAAAATGGAATCTGAAATTCATGGTTCTAAAATTCTATAGGTGATTCTCTCCATTCCTCATCATACTCCACAGACTGGATGCTTGTTTGATGAGGGTTTACCTACACCGATTGATGTTCCTGGTCTCAGGAGCTTGGTTCTCAAAAAGGAGCTGAGACAAACAGCTCCAGAACCCCAGAAGCAGCCCCCAGGACACTTGGGAGTTGACTCAAACTTGCAGGAAATACAGCAATAAAGTGAAGGCAAGAACTGGTCTCAAAAGGAGCTCATAGAACACAGAGATGCAGACAGGGCGCAGTGGTTCTTAGGCCTGTAATCCCAGAGCTTTGGGAGACGAGGTGGGAAGATTGCTTAAGTTCAGGAGTTTGAGGCCAGCCTGGACAACATAGCAAGACCCCGTTTCTTTTTTTTTTTTTAAGTTAAAAATTAGCTGAGTGTGGTGGCACATGCTTGCAGTCCCAGCTACTCAGGAGGTTGAGGTGGAAGGATCACTTGAGCTTGGAAGTTGGAGGCTGCAGTGAGCTCTCATGGCACCACTGCACTCCAGCCTGGGCATCAGAGCAAGACCCTGTCTCTATAAATACATGAATAGGTATATAAATATATAAATAAAGAAATGAATGAAGATGAGCGATTGGGGTGGATGGAGAAGTAAGGAAAGTCTTCCTTAGTCATGCTTTGAAGAAAGGCTCCAATTTGGTAGCTGAGCACTGTGATAAAGGATACGTCTTATTGAAACAAAGTATGTGGGGGAAGGACAGGAGCAGCGAGGAGACCCACCTGTGCTAGACTGTGCAACTCAGGTGTGGAAGTTGACGGGAAGAAAGGAAAGAAGGAAGGAAAGAAGAAAGGAAGGGAGGGAGGGAGGAAGGAAGGAAGGGAAAGAAAGAGAAGGAAGGAAGGAAAGAAAGAGAGAGAGAAAGATGAAAGAAAGAAAAAGAGAGAGAGAAAAAGAAGAAAGAAAGAAAAAGAAAGAAGAAAGAAAGAAGAAAGAAAGAATGAAAGAAAGAAAGAAAAGAAAAGAGAGGAGGGAGAGAAAAGGAAGGAAGGAATGAGGGAAGGAAGGGAGGGAGGGAAGGAGGGAGGGAAGGTAGCGGAGGGAGGGAGGGAAAGAAAGAACAACAAAGAAAGGCAAGTGAGGCTGTACCTGGGCTTTTGGCTTATCTATGAGCCCCACCCTAAAAGTGCAAGACACTCTCTACAGCTCTACAGGCAGCATTCATTCTGAAATTCTCCCTGACTCTCTCCTCACACCTGATTCTGGTTCTCTCAGAGCCAACCCTGCTCACTGTCCCAGGCTCCAGCCTCACCGTGACACTTGGTATGGTTGGCCCACCCCCAAGTCTCAGCTGTTCTTAATAAAAATCCTGGTTTGTCACACCGTTAATTGGCCTCCATCTGCCTTGGAAAAGCCCCCTCTGATTTGATTTGGCTCCTCGAACAGGCTCCCCTCAGTTCCCCATGAGCAATGAGCAGGCCTCCAGGTCACAACACCCCTTGCTGCTGTCACCTGCTTCTCCACTCGACATTTTTCCCTGAGTCCCTATCATCAACAGTTGTCATTGCAGCTCCCATTTTAAATGCTCATTATTTGCCATTTTTAATAGAGATACAAATCCAGATTATAAAAAGCACTTGTAAAAATAGAACATCTTTGCTTATAGAATAAAGCAGTTCGTGTGCACACGCACCCACACAAACACACGAAACCAACCGTTTGTGAAATGCCTGTTTGCAAAATAAAGCCGCATTCTCAAAGCTGTGAATCACACTGTCCCCAGAAAACGGTGCCACTTGGCTGTGACCACAGGACAGGGTCAGTGAATCAGTCTGCTACAAGCCAACTGAGGAATTGCAGCCTTGTAGGATGCATTCAATGGTCATTTCTACCTGTCACTAATTTCCCTTTCTGGATGAGCAACAGCTCTATTAATCAGGAAAGACCTTGATGGATGCAGCTTTCCTATCTCCAGATTCAGGTGCACTGTGGGTAGCTTGCAGAGCATGACAAGGGCACCAGGCCGGCCAGACTGCTCGCCACTGCCTGCATGGGTCAGTGAATCTGATTACAGTGCTGCTTGGTCCAAAGTGTCTCGCTCTGTTTTTTTTATTTATTTTTTTTCCCCTCTCCCTAAAGAGTGGTGTGATTACTTTATGCCAACCCACTCAAGGATAATTCATACTGTCAGGAAACCCTTGTGTTTGCCCATTATCCGACAGTTTTGGGCTCACCTCATATTCCAGAGTGGCATGATATAATGTAACACATTTTGAAATACTGTAAGGCAATAACCAAAATAACACAGTTTGACATCTTGAATCTCAGAGGAGGTAGGCACACTCTGGCTACACCGTATTTCCACTTCCCCAGTATCTGCTACTGATAGAATTTGACTTTTTACAGCATTATGTGTTTTTAAATGTAATTAGAAAAGTGAGGTGTTAGCATAAAAGAAAATTCTCAGGCTTGAGAAGAACAGTCAGTGGCATATCCATCCTCAAATTGAGACCCTCCAGTGGGACTCCATGAGCCCACGCATATGACACACTGTAGATTTTAAAGAATCAGTGCACGGCCGGGCACAGTGGCTCATGCCTGTAATCCCAGCACTTTGGGAGGCCAAGGCAGGCAGATCATGAGGTCAGGAGTTCGAGACCAGCCTGGCCAACAGGATGAAACCCCATCTCTACTAAAAATACAAAAATTAGCCGGGCGTGCTGGCACGTGCCTGTAATTCCAGCTACTCAGGAGGCTGAGGCAGGAGAATCACTTGAACCTGGGAGGGAGAGGTTGCAGTGAATTGAGATGGCGCCATTGCACTCCAGCCTGGATGACAGAGCAAGACTCCATCTCAAAAAAATAAAAAAGAATCAGTGCACACCTCATACCCCATATCATATGATGAGACACTGCCGACTCATTTACAGGAGCCTCAAAGCCCTTTGTACATCAAACCCATCCAACTGAACCACAGCTATTCACTGTGCACCTACTACGTGCAAGGCTTTAAAAGGAAATAGTTGGTAGGTGGATTGGAAATCAGGAGGGTCATGATGAGGTGCACCTGTCAGCTTAGGGTAAACATGGAAAATTTTCCGGAAAGTTTTCAGACCTGCTTGCCCAGTTGATCTGAGGGTTCTTTACGTGAGCCAAAAGGAAAGGTTTGGGCCAAGCAGAGAGTCTTGTGATGCTGTCTCAGCGTCAGCATCGCGAAGTTCCGAAAAGCCAAGAAAATTCACGACCCCAGCACTAAGGTCCAGACTTGGCACAGAGTCCATTCTAAAGAAAACAAACAAATTCTTGCAAACAAAGAAACTCCTCACAGTCCTTCCTCCTCCTCAAATTATTACCCAATCCATCTTTTCTTTCACTGTAAACATTTTATTTTATTATTTTATTTTTTGAGATGGAGTATTGCTCTGTCACTCAGGCTGGAGTGCAGTGGTGCAATCTCGGCTCACTGCAACCTCCGCCTCCTGGCTTTAAGCAATTCTCATGCCTCAGCCTACTGAGTAGCTGGGATTACAGGTGTGTGCCACCACGCCTAGCTAATTTTTTTGTATTTTCAGTAGAGACAAGGTTTCACCATGTTGGCCAAGCTGGTCTCAAACTCCTGACCTCACGCAATCCACCCCCATCGTCCTCCCAAAGTGTTGCTATTACAGGTATGAGCCACCGTGACCAGCCTCCAGATATAAATATTTCAAAGTAGCTAGAAGAGAGAATTTTGAATGTTCTCACCACAAAGAAAGGATAAATGTTTGAGATGAAGGATATGCTAAGTACCTTAATTTGATCATTACACAATATATACACGTATCAAAACATCACACTGTACCCCATAAATATGTACAATTATCATGTGTCCATGAAAAATAAAATAAAACTTAAAAAAAAGAAGTATGATGTCACATCTCTTGAAAACCTTTCACCATTCTCAATTGACTGAGGAATTGTTTAGCATGACATTCAGAACTCTGAGATTCTTGCTACATTCTATATTTTCTGGTCTTATGTCCAGGGAACAGTCCCCAACCTTTTTGGCACCAGGGACAGGTTTTACAGAAGACAATTTTTCCACAAGAGGGGGTGGCAAGGGGACATGGTTTCAGGATGAAACTGTTCCACCTCAGATCATCAGGCATTAGATTTTCATAAGGAGAACACAACCTAGATCCGTTGTATGCACAGTTCACAATAAGTTTCATGCTCCTATGAGAATCTAATGCCGCTGCTGATCTGGCAGGAGGTAGAGCTCAGGTGAGAATACACACCTGCCCATGGCTCACCTATCTGGTTCCTGACAGGCCACAGACTGGTACCTGTGCCAAGGGATGCTAGAAATTACCTCACTCCAATTCTACAGGAAACGTTATCATCCCCAATCATACTTATGCTGCCAATCTTTGTCTTGCCATCCCTTCAATCTAGAATTCTTTGCAGCCCCTTTCCTGTCTACAAGACCCCAACTTATTTCCAAGCCCATTGTAAATGTCATCTTCCCATGAATTCAGTAAAAGCTAAGCAGTTTTATCGAAACTTTAAATCAATTGTTGGATTTATTTTATGTTTCATAACACATAAGCAACTAAATTGTCTCTTCACTGAGCACTTACTATGTGCTAGCCTTTGTATATTCAGCCTTGACACACACTCTATGTTTTAGGCTGTTCTTGCGTTGTTATAAAGAAATTCCTGAGACTGGGCAGTTTATGAATAAAGAGGTTTAATTGGCTCTTGGTTCTGCAGGCTGTACAGCAAGCATGACACTGGCATCTGCTCAGCTTCTGGGGAGGTGTCTGAGAGCTTTTATTCATGGTGGAAAGGGAGGTGGGAGCAGACACATCACAGGGCAAAGGCAGGAGCAAGAGAAAGAGTTGCTGGGAGAAGTGTCACACATTGTTAAACGACCAGATCTTGCGAGAACTCACTCGGACAAGGACAGCACCAAGGAGATGGTGCTAAACCATTCATGAGAAATCCACTTCCATAATCCAATCATCTCCCACCAAGCTCCACTTCCAACACTGGGAATTGGGCAGGGACAAATATCCAAGCTGTGTCACCCTGCAACATAGATACTGCTATTATCCCTACTTTTACAGAGCAAGAAACCAAATTGAATTAAAAGGTCTTAGACTTTCCCCAGGTCACACAGCAAACAGGAAAGCTAGGAATCTAACCCAGATCGACGGACACCAGAGCCTGTTTTTATTTAACACACTATTTGGTACACCCTCAAAAGAAAGAGGTCTCGTTTAATTTATCTTTAATGCTCCATATCTAGGCTGCAGTCCGTGATCAATAAATGTCTGTTGATAGAAGGAGAGAGAGTAGAATATCATCAGACTTTCCCAAGGTTCACCAGGGAAACCAGGAGACTCCTTTGTAATTTGGCTGAAGTAACTATTCAGTGAACATTGAATCAACTGTGAATTGAATTGAGTTACCCCAAGTAATAGAGCTAGATATGTCTCACGAATTGAAGACAGAGAACTCCCTTCTATATGAGTTTGCAACTTATCACTGTCAGAAAGACTGGGCAGGGAGAGCTGGGCTCAAGCCAGCATACACAAAAGAGTCTAAAAAATAATCAATTGAATTCAAATCGCCATACATCATGGATGTTTAGACCCAGGGAGGACCTGGGAGACCATCTGCTTCTCTTCTTTCATTTCACAGAAGAAGAAAATAAGGGCTAGTAGAGAATGTGGCCCCAGCAAAATCATCCAGGTTGGTGGAACCACATCCCTTGCTGCCAGAATGCCTGCCTACATTATTTTCTTTCTTTCTACATATTTTTCATTATTATTGCCTTGGATGCCTATTTAGAATTTTTACTTATTATTTAATTAATGAATATACTGGGTTTTTTGTTGTTGTTATTATTTCTGGGGGCCTTTTTGGGGCAGGGTCTCACTCTGTTACCCAGACTGTAGTGCAGCAGCACAATTGAGGCTCACTACAGCCTCAGCTGCATAGGCTCAAGAGGTCCCCCAACCTCAGCCTCCCAAATAGCTGTGACCACAGACGTGTGTCACCACTCCCAGCTTATCTCTTTATTATTTGAGGAGATCAGGTCTCCCTATGTTGCCCAGGCATGTCTCAAATTCCTGGGCTCAAGCAATTCTCCTGTCTCTGCCTCCCAGACTGCTGGGATTACAGTCATGAGCCACCGCGCCTTTACTGTTTTACTTTAAAGGATTGTCGCTTAAATGTTTTGTTTCCATTTTTGACCCCTATAAAAGGGTAATTTATAACATCAGCCAGCAAATAAAAGCCATATGTCTATGAAACTTCCACTTTTAGATATGGAATGTGACCTTTCTAGCCATCAGTCCAGCAAACGATTTTACAGGCCCTCATGGTTGAGATAAATGAGACCAAGTCAAACCAAAGGGGGACAAGGCAGGGGTCAGAAGGCAGGAGAACGGTGTTAAAATACTTAGGAGTTGCAATGCGCTCAACTGCAATACACATAAAACACCACTCAAATAATAAAGGGAATGCACGCCAGCTCATGCCACTGAAAAGTCCACAGGAAAGGTTGGCATCAGGTAAGGCTTGTTCTGGTCACACATACAGTACATTCATGACTCGATTTCACCTGCTTTGCAACTGAGGTTGCCGAGGTGAAAAAAAATCATAGTTTTCCATCCTCAAGGAGCTCCCTGCCTATTGAGGGAGACAAATAGATTATAGCCATCTCCTAAAAACAGTCATCTGAGTATGCTGAATCCACTTCCTCACCACCTATTCAGCCTTGAGCCCACTGTGAGTACACACTGAGAGATAGGCAGGCCACTTGAGAACAGAGCAAGGGGTACTTCCCCAGCCTAGGCAACCACTCAAACTCCTCCTCAGAGTGGCCAGGAGGTACTCTGCATCCTTAAAGAACTCAATAAAATTAGTCTGGGAAGAAACATAAGCACAGGGACAAAAAATAATTATGGGTCACAGTAGGAAATTATGGACTATTAAGTGGTAGCAGGGAGCAATTCAGAAAGAGAAAGGGAAGAGAAGAAGAAGCAGGTGGACCCAGATCACAGAAAGCCTTTCATATAGGGTGGAGAGATGCCATATACAGGAAGCATTGCCCTTTAAGGACTCCCAACAAAGGTAGATTTGGGGGTTCTTGGCATAGAGGACTGGCCAGCCTGAGCAACAGAATAAGGCCCTTTTAAAAAACAAAAAACAAAAAACACGTCCATGATGGGGACAACAGTGCAACAGTGGGGAGACAGAGACCTTCCAATAATGGGCTAAAAAGTGAATACCGTAAGAGTTGGAGAAGTGGAGCCAGGATACCCAGAAACTCCTTCCAGAAGTTTGATCATAGAAACAGGTGAAAGACTGGACAGAAACTAGAAATGAATATTGCAATGTAAAGGGGACAGTCAGTCCTCTTCCTGGCCCGAATTAAGTGAAGTAAGTACTGGAAGAATAAGTCGGAGATTTTTTTGTAGGCCCAGAATTCTGGGAAAACCTTTTTCACATGCCCGAGTAAGGGTTGCTGCTGTACAAGCTATTGATCTATTAGGTCCACGGGTTCTGGCCACGTGCAGTGAACCCTATGACCACAGTGTGCTTACTATATCACACTGGCTGGGTGCAGTGGTTGACGCCTATAATCCCAGCACTTTGGGAGGCCAAGAAGGGACGATCACTTGAGGCCAGGAGTTTGAGACCACCCTGGGCAACATAGCAAGATCACGTCTGTACAAATAATTTATAAATTATCCCAGTGTGGTTGTGCACACCTGTGGTCCTGGCTACCCAGGAGGCTGAGGTGAAAGGATTGCCTGAGCCCAGGAGGTCAAGGCTGCAGTGAGTCGTGATCATGCCACTGCACTTCAGCCTGGGTGACACAGCAAGACGCTGTCTCAAAAAAAAAAAAAGCTTAAGAACTTCAAAGATGTATTCTTACATTAGCTGAAGAACCAGCAGAATTCTCTACCTGGGGTCCATCAGAAAATTGCCCTAAAGCACCCACTGTACCAAATTAGATCCTCTTCTTTTTATGTTTTGTTTGTTTTGTTTTGCTTTGTTTTGTTTTGTTTTGTTTGAGACAGGGTCTCACTCTATTGCCCAGGCTTTCACTGCAGCCTTGACCTCCTGCCTCAGCCTCTCAAGTAGCTAGGACTACAGGTGCACACCACCATGCCTGGCTAAGTTTTTCTTTTTTTTTTTTTTTTTTTTTTAAGTAAAGACAGGGACTCGGTATGTTACCAGGCTGGTCTTGAACTCCTGGGCTCAAGTGATCCTCCTGCCCCAGCCTCCCAGAGTGTTGGAATTACAGGTGTGAGCCACCGCACCCCACCCCACCTAAATTCTCTTCTGGTCCATTCCAAAAGGTTTTAGTTATGTTCTATTCCTATGAGAATAGAGAAAAATAGTTACTCAAGTCCGTTTCTGGGTTCTGTGGCTGAGATGAGGAACCTGGCTGGGGATAATTACGTGACAGCTTACTATTTATTTTATTGCATTCTGACTTTTTTAAAAGAAAAAAAAAAAGCTGGTCGTTTGGCAAGTAAACATAGCTTAGTCCAAATATTTAATTTAGCAAAATAAGCATCATGCCAGTGTAGATGTATGTGGGACTGCATGAATGCTACTACTCTCTTCAATGGTAGGAATTTATGCAGATGTTTTATCTGAAATGCGCAAATGAGACTCTTTCAGGTTTACAGAAAATGCAATGTGGGGGCCAGGTGCAGTGGCTCATGCCTGTAATCCCAGCACTTTTGGAGGCCGAGGTGGGCAGATCACCTGAGGTCAGGAGTTCAAGACCAGCCCGGCCAACATGGTGAAACCCCCTCTGTACTAAAAATACAAAAATTAGCTGGGCATGGTGGTGCGCGCCTGTAGCCCCAGCTACTTGGTAGGCTGAGGCAGGAGAACAGCTGGAGCCTGGGAGGCAGAGGTTGCAGTGAGCTGAGATCATGCCACTGCATCCCAGCCCTGCAGCCTGGGTGACAGAGAAAGACTTTGTCAAAAAAAAAAAAAAAAAAAAAAAAGCAATGGGTGGGGAGTTCAGAAGGGACTGCAGCAAGCCCCATCATGCTGGTAACAGGAACCAGGGTTTATTGACCCCTAATGGAATCTTCTCTCCTGTCCTCTGCTCTTTGTCTGTCAGAAGAGTGTTTTCTGATTATTTTCCATTAAATGCGTCATTTGCATTCACTCTCAGGAGAGCACTTTTGAAGCATCCTCATTCTTTTACGCAATCACTTAGCATGGTGCTCTGTGAAATCTGTGGTTTGAAAACCTTCGTGTTGCCCCTAATCACATGCTTTTCAGTTCTCCTCTCCCCTTGCTTGAATTCCTAGGACGTGTGCACCTGATAATCAAGACTTATTCATTGGAAGCCTTCATTGCATTTGATGTGGATAATACAAATTTTACTCGCGAAATGCTACTCAGGGTCTCACTTTTGAATGAAGACGTTGATTTACTTACATTTTCAGAACACACACAATAGGCGGAGAATTAAAATAATGGACAACAACTAATAGAAAACAGGTGTGACTCCAAAACTTAAATTGTGCATTCCCCGGTCTTGGAGAAGCGCTGGGAGAAGGATGTTTACCATACAATAACAGAGACAGCAAAAAATAAAATGAAATAAACAATACATTCACATTGAATGAGTGTGGCTTTCCAGCTGGGGCCCATTTCAGCATCTAGCAGCGCAACCAAAAATGAATAGACAAAGATGGCTAAACTAAGTTGATATTATTCCCCTAGACACTGGCAAGAAGATGGCAACAGTGTAATTTGATTTCAGTAAAATGTTTTCTAAACAAGTTCGGGGACCGTATCATCTGGGTTGACAAATTGAATACCAGGGATGAAGTTCTCCTAATAAGGTGGATGCGGTGACTTCATGAGAGAAACGCATCAATCAAATCCACTGGACTTGAGGGCCGGGTGCGGTGGCTCATGCCTGTAATCCTGGCATTTTGGGAGGCTGAGGTGGGTGGATCACCTGAGGTCAGGAGTTCAAGACCAGCCTGGGAAACATGGTGAAATCCTGTCTCTACTAAAAATACAACAAATTAGCCAGGAATGGCAGTGTGCGCCTGTAATCCCAGCTACTCGGGAGGCTGAGGCAGGAGAATTGTTTGAACCTGGGAGGCAGAGGTTGCAGTGAGCCAAGATCATGCCACTGCACTCCAGCCCGGGCAACAGAGCAAGACTTTGTTTTAAAAACAAACAAACAAACAAACCAAATCTACAGCTGAGAAGGCAACAAAATTTCAGGGAAACACAGAAAAGCACCAAAGGCCAAGCCTTCAGACTAGCTCCTGATGTGTGGCAAGGGAGGGTTTAATCTGCTGGCCTGCAATCCACAGGACAACTTGAAAGTGAAAAGGACTGTGTGTGGTTATTTCTTCTTTTCTTTTGTTTTGGTTTTTGTCTTTTAGAAACAGGATGTCGACGTGTCACCCACGCTGGACTGCAATGGCACAATCATAGCTCACTGCAGCCTTGAACTTCTGGGCTCAAACCATCCTTCTGCCTCAAACTCCCTAGTAGTAGCTGGGACTAAAGGCCTGTACCACCACTCCTGCCTTTTTTTTTTTCTGTAAATATGAGGTCTTGCTATGTTGTCCAGACTGGCCTGGAAGTCCTGGGCTCAAGGGATCCTCCTGCCTCAACCTCCCAAAGTGTTGAGATTATAGGCATGGTCTGCATGGTTATTTCTGGAATCCTGTGCCTACTCATGCTGTAACACTGAATTCGCTCCACTGGCCAGCTTTGGCTGAATGGCATCGTGTTTAAAGCACCTCTTTTCCTCCTATTCTAAGCTCTGAATTACACTCTGCCAAATTAGCCTGACTCCATACCCAGGGCATTTCAGAAAGATGGATCCATGTCACTTACGGGAACTAAGAAGGGACCAAAAAACTGTTATTTTTCTTTTCTTTTTTTTTTTTAAGACAGAGTCTCACTCTGTTGCCCAGGCTGGAGTGCAATGGTGCTACCTAGGCTCACTGCAACCTCCACCTCCTGGGTTCAAGTGATTCTCCTGCCTCAGACTCCCGAGTAGCTGGGATTACAGGCGTGTACCACCACACCAGGCTAATGTGTGTGTGTGGGTGTGTGTGTGTGTGTTTAGTAGAGAGAGGGATTCTCCATGTTGGCCAGGCTGGTCTTGAACTCCTGACCTAAGGTGATCCACCCACCGCAGCCTCCCAAACTGCTGGGATTACAGGTGTGAGCCACCACACCTGGCCAATAAACCAGAAAGGATTCATTCCGTAAGCTGGGGATTGAATTCAGGACACTATTGTGAAGGAGTAGAGCTTTAGCAACTGAGCTAATGCACAGAGTCATTTTTCTTTTGGGCACTGACCACCTGGAAAATCCAGGTAGGGAAGAGAAGAGAAGAACTGGAAAGCCTTTGTGACAGAAAAAAAAAAATACAGGCCTTATAATACAAGGATGATCAAGAAAGACACCTATAGACCCTATTCACATCTTCCATTCAAGATAGCTTCCTTCTTCCTTTAAAATGTCTTGGGGGCCAGGCACAGTGACTCAGGCCTGTATCCCAGTGCTTTGGGCAGCCAAGAGAGGAGGATCACTTGAGGCCAGGAGTTAGAGTCCAGCCTGGGCAACGGAGCAAGACCCTGTCTCTACAAAAAAATCTAAAACTTAGCCAGGCGTGGTGGTGCACGCCTGTAGTCCCAACAACTTGGAAGGCTGAGGCAGGAGAGTCGCTTGAGCCCAGGAGTTAGAGACCAGCCTGGGCAACAGAGCAAGACCCTGTCTCTACAAAAAAATATAAAAATTAGCCAGGTGGGGTGCTGTATGCCTGTAGTCCCAGCAACTCAGAAAACTGAGGTGGGAGGATCACTTGAGCCCAGGAGTTTGAGACTGCAGTGAGCTATGACTGTGCCACTGAACTCCAGCCTGGGTCTGGTTCCAGACAGAGCAAGACCCCATTCTGCAAGCCTGCCACCCCCCAAAAAGTGTCTGGCCATAGCTCCTCAGATTCTCTTTTATAGACAGTAAGAGCCAAAAGTTTGGAAAAAACCTTAGAGAAGTCATCTAGTCCAACTCTCTATTCAAGGCAGTGTCCACTATGGGCATAACTCTCAAAATTCATGAGAAACGTGTTGAAATACATATGCCTGAATCTTTCCCCAAAATATTCTGATTCAGTAGATCTAAGGCTGGGCCCAAGAATCTTCATTATTAACAAGCTCCCAGATGATCCTGATGCTGGAAATCTGCAGAATTCACTTGGTGAAATGCTATATCCTAAGTTTCCATGTGACACCAACGCTTCAAAACCTCTAGGGCTGTGGTTTTCATGTCCAAGCAGGCAGCCAGCACTCAGGCAGATTTTATTATTAAAAAGGAGGCCAAGGGGCTGAGCATGGTGGCTCATGCCTGTAGTCCCTGCACCTCGGGAGGCTGAGGAAGTCAGATCGTTTGAGCCAAGGAGTTCAAGACCAGCCTGGGTAACACGGCGAAACTATCCCTACAAGAAATACAAAAATTAGATGGGCAAGGTAGTGCGTACCTATAGTCCCAGCTACTCAGGAGGCTTAGGTGGGTGGATCACTTGAACCCAGGAGGCGGAGGTTGCGATGAACAGAGATAGCACCACTGCACCCCAGCTTGGGCAAGAGAACAAGACCCTGTCTCAAAAAAAAGAAAAATGAGGTCAAGGTAGGAGGATTGCTTGAGCCCAGGAGTCTGAGACCAGCCTGGGCAACATAGCCAGACCCTGTATCTACAAAACATAAAAGATTAGCAGGTTGTGCCTGTGGTCTCAGCTACTCAGGAGGCTAAGGCAGGAAGATCACTTGAGCCCAGGAGTTCGAGACTGCAGTGAGTTATGATCCCACCACTACACTCCAGCCTGGGCAACAGAGTGAGATCCTATCTCAAAATAAATAACTAATTTTAAAGGACTTGCTTGTTCATTAGCCCACTGGCGCCGGCTCTGCATCCCGGAGCTGCCTGCAGCTATTCTTCCTCCTAGAACGACCCTCCAGATATTAGAAGACCCCTGTTTGCCCTTCCCCCTGAGATTTCCCTTTTCCTTTCAGTTTCTTTCAATGGTTCCTTTTCCTGATTTAGGATCAAGTGCAAATGCATGGAGCTATGAGACCCACCATGACACTCACACCTGTCTCTGTCCAGGCCCATGGTTCCTCAGTGCTTGCTTCACACGTGAGATTTCCACAAAACCCAAGAGCGGTTGTCCACACACATTGCAGCCGTAGGTTTCCATGCCTTAGCTCATGGTTTGTTAGTTTTGTTTTATTTTCGTTTTTGTTTTTTTTTAATGTGAAATATGTTTCTCTGACTCCTCTCCTCTTCTCCGCCTTCTTTTTGAGGTGGTAGAACTTCAAGAGTCACTCAGGCCAGGTAGCCTCTAAGAAATCTTCATCACACCACAGATCAAACCCCATGCAATTTCTGTGTGCTTCGTTTCACCCCAGCCTTCCTCTACTATGGCATCAATCGCCATGTTATTCATAATTATCTGTATTCTAGCTGGGCATGGTGGCACTTATCTGTAGTCCCAGCTACTCGAGAGGCCTAAGCAGGAGGATCACTTGAGTCCAGGAGTTTGAGACCAGCCTAGACAACATAGCAAGACCCTGTCCCTACAAAAAAAAAAAAAAAAAAGTAAAAAATTAGCCAAGCATGGTGACATGCTCCTGTAATCCCAGCTACTCCAGAGGTCTAGGTGGGAGGATCACTTGAGTCCAGGAGTTTGAGACCAGCCTAGGCAACATAGCAAGACCCTGTCTCTAACAAAAGATAAAAAATTAGAGCGCTTGGTGGCATGCACTTGTAGTCCTAGCTACTCCGGAGGCCTGGATGGGAGGATCACTTGAGTCCAGGAGTTTGAGACCAACCTAGGCAACGTAGCAAGACCCTGTCTCTACCAAAAGATAAAAAATTTGAGCACATGGTTGTGCATGTACTTGTTGTCCCAGCTACTCCAGAAGCCCAGACAGTAGGATTGCTTGAGCCTCAAAGTCGAGGCTGCAGTGAGCTATGATCACGCCACTGTACTCAAGCCTGGGTGACAAAGCAAGTCTCAAAAAAATAATAATATTATAAAATAATATAAAAATATAAAATATATAATATTATAAAAAATATAAAATTTATAAAACATTATAAATAAATGTAATAGCCATATAAAGAGATATAGGGCAGAGTATGGGAAAAGAGTGCAGAGCTCTGAAACCCTCTCTGGGCACACCACCCTCCCAGCATCTCAATGTGTCCTCCAACTCAAAAGCTCTCTAAGTCCCATCCTTTACAGTTTTATGGAGGTTCCATTATGTAGGAACGACTGATTAAGTCACTTGCCATTAGTGATTCAATCTCCAGCCCCTCACCTCTCCCTGGAGGTCAGGGGATGGGGCTGAAACTTCCAGCCCTCTAACCCCATCGTTGGTTCCTCTGGCAACCAGCCCCCATCCTCCAGGAGTTACCTCATCAGCATAAACTCAAGTGTGGATGAAAGGAGCTTATTATGAATAACAAAAGATGCTCCTGAGTCAAATAGGAGTTTTGTTTTAAGTTCTTTGAGAAATCACCAAACTGCTTTCCACAACAGCTGAACGAATTTACACTCCCACCAGCAGTGTGTAAGCATTCCCTTGTCTAAGCAACCTCACCAGCATCTTTTATATTTTGACTTTTTAATAATAGCCGTCTTCACTGGTGTGAGATGGTGTCTCATTGTGGTTTTGATTTGCATTTCTCTAATGATTCGTGATGTTGAGCATTTTTCCATGTTTGTTGGCCACATGTATGTCTTCTTTCAATATGGGTCTATTCATCGACTTTGCCCACTTTTTAATGGGGTTGTTTGTTTTTTCTTGTTAATATGTTTAGGTTTCTTATAGATTATGGGTATTAGTCTTTGGTCGGATGCATAGTTTGCAAATATTTCCTCCTATTCTGTAGGTTGCCTGTTTACTCTGTTGATAGTTTCTTTTGCTGTGCAGAAGCACTTTAGTTTAATTAGGTTACATTTGTCGATTTTCGTTTTGGCTGCAGTTGCTTTTGGTGAAAAACTGCCTGTGCTTATGACCTGAGTGACAAAATAATCTGTACACCAAACCCCCGTGACACGCAATTTACCTATATAACGAGCCTGTACTTCAGGTCAGCTGCAGAGAGCCACTCACTTATGGTCACACCACAAAGGTGTAAACCAAAAATAAAATTCCTAGGCCCCAACCAACTGAGTGAACCCCTTTCTTAAACAAGGGGATCTGAAAAAACTAAAACTAAAAAACTAGTTCAGGTCATGGCAGAAAGAGGGGGACATGTCCCAATATACCCCTTCCCTTTGGAGTTCAGGCACAACTAACCAGCATTAACATTAAAATAGAGATCATAAGACCACAAAACAGACATTTTGTAGTAATAACGTCAGAGGCGTTTGAACCTGAGTGAGCAGAGTGACTCCATCTTGAACAGGGGCTGGGTAAAATAAGGCTGAGACCTGCTAGACTGCATTCCCAGGAGGTGAGGAATTCTTAGTCACAGGATAAGACAGGAGGTTGGCATAAGACACAGGTCACAAAGACCTTGCTGATAAAACAGGATGCAGAAAAGAAGCCGGCCAAGACCCACCAAGATGGTGATGAAAGTGACCTCTGGTTGTCCTCACTGCTCATTACACTCTAATTATAATGCATTAGCATGCTAAGAGACACTCCCACCAGTGCCATGACAGTTTACAAATGCCATAGCAACACCTGGAAGTTACCCTACATGGTGTAAAGCAGGCAGAAACCCTCAGTTCCAGAAAAATTGCTCACTCCTTTCCTGGAAAACTCATGAATAACCCACTTCTTGTTTAGCATATAATCAAGACATAACTATAAGTAACCTTCGTCCAGCAGCCTACACCCCTACTCTGCCTATGGAACAGCCATTCTTTACTCCTTTACTTTCCTAATAAACTTGCTTTCACTTTACTCTATGGACTCACCCCAAATTCTTTCTTGTGCAAAATCCAGGAGCCCTCTCTTGGGGTCTGGATCAAAACCCCTTTCCAGTAACAGTAATATACCAATTTCCAACCTGATTCTGGTATAGCATCACATGACAGAGAGCAGGCTCTGAAGGAAATCACAGTATTTTACCCCAAAATATATGTCTTTGTCATATTTTGAAATGACCCTGCAAAGCCGTCTCTTGTGGGAGAAATTTGCGTTCTGTAGAGAATCTCCTTCCCTTTCCAGGCCTTTTCCTGACCCAGGAGAGAATTAACTAAGAGTCTGACACCTTTTAAGATCCTAAAAGAGGCATTTACCATCCATTCTCTCTGAAGCCTGTTACCTAGAGGCTTCTTCTATGTAAAACCCAACTTCCCTATCTTAACTCAAGCATCTATTTTTCTGCTGACTTCAACTCTTTAGGCAAAGCTAACTTCTTCAACCAACTGTCAACCAGAAAATCTTTAAATTTACCTAGTGACACGTCAGCTCCAGCTTCAAGATGGCCTGTGTTTCAGGGCTGAACCAATATATACTTTCTAAGAAGATGTTACCCGAAAGGTGTCCCAATCCAGACCCCAAGAGAAGGTTCTTAGACCTTGCACAGGAAAGAATTCGGGGCAAGTCCATAGAGTAAAATGAAAGCAAGTTTTTTAAGAAAGTAAAGGAATAAAAGAATGGCTACTCTGTAGGCAGAGCAGCGGCATGGGCCGCCCTACTGAGTATACTTACACTTACTTCTTGATTGTATGCTAAACAAGGGGTAGATTATTCATGAGTTTTCCAGGAAAGGGGTGGGCAATTCCTGGAACTGAGGGTTCTTCCCCTTTTTAGACATTATAGGGTAACTTCCAGGTGTTACCATAGCATTTGTAAACTGTCTTGGTGCTGGTATGAGTGTCTCTTAGCATGCTAACGCATTCTAATTAACATACAATGAGCAGTGAGGATGACCAGAGATCACTTTTGTGGCCATTTTGGTTTTGGCCGGCTTCTCTTTTTTTTTTTTTTTTTTTTGAGATGGAGTTTCACTCTTGTTGCCCAGGGTGGAGTGCGATGGCGCCATTGCGGCTCACCACAACCTCCACCTCCTGGGTTCAAGCAATTCTGCCTCAGCCTCCTGAGTAGCTGGGATTACAGGCATGTACCACTACACCCAGCAAATTTTGTGTTTTTAGTAGAGACGGGGTTTCTCCATGTTGATCAGGCTGGTCTCGAACTCCCGACCTCAGGTGATCTGCCCACCTCGGCCTCCCAAAGTGTTGGGATTGCAGGTGTGAGCCACCACACCCGTTGGCCAGCTTCTTTACTGTTTTATCAGCAATGTCTTCGTGACCTGTATCTTGTGCCAACCTCCTATCTCCTCCTGGGAGATGCAGGAGGAAGAATTCCTAACTTCCTGGGAATGCAGCCCGGTAGGTCTCAGCCTTATTTCACCCAGCCCCTATTCAAGATGGAGTCGTTCTGGTTTAAACACCTCTGACATATTTTGACAAATTGGTTTATGTCTTTACCTGTAACTTCTGTCTCCCTAAAATGCATAAAACCAAGCTGTAACCCCACCACCTTGGGCACATGTTCTGAAGACCTCCTGAGGCTGTGTCATGGGCCATGGTCACTCTTATTTGGCTCAGAATAAACCTCTTCAAATGTTTGACAGAGTTTGGCTTTTGTTGTCTATAGCAATAACCTACATCTAAGTCACATCCTGACCCTGAATGTGGTGGGAATAGAAAGGCTGGGATGTTTTTGCTCGTCTTGGGACACTCCAGAGGCCAATACTGATCCAAGCTCCTGCTTCATTGGCTGAAGATTTGTGGGTTCTGCTCCAGTTCCCCATCTTTCTCAGTTCAGTCCTGTTTCCTTCTTGCTTCCTTTCCCCATAAACATCCTGCACCCCAACCTTTGTCTCAAAGCTGCTTCCAGAAAGCCCAGCCTGTGATACCACAGTCTCTTGACTACAAACCCACTGTTTACTTCCATAAGAATGACAGATACATATTTTTTTAAGCTTGAAAAACAAACCCTCAACACATCTATGCCTGAGGCAAAGCAGGGCAGAAGATCACAGGGTTTCTGTTATGCCAAAATCTCTCCTAGGTAAACGCTGCGTGCAGGCATCTAAGCCCCTGGAGGTGCTTCAATTTATATTTCATGTGCAAACACTCTAAGGAGGGCTGCGTGTGGAAGCCAGATCAAAACATTTATCCTCACTGTGTCTTGGAAAAAACTTATTAGCTGGCTGTATACAGATATTGAAGAGGAGCAGAAAAATGGAGGGAAAGAAAAAGAACAACCACCAAAAAAAAAAAAAATCTGTCGCTACCAGTTAAATAGAGAAGGCTGGTAGCAACAGATTTTTGGAGAGCCAGGGCTGCAGGTGGCAACTGTAATATATTGTTATGCATCGCCACCAGAGCCCTTGTAGAGCAACCGCAGACCATGTCTGACATTGCCTTCGCTGACCTTTTCAATATTGCCCCAGCGCGGTGGAGCTGGTGTTTCTAGAAGAATTCAAATCGAATGTACTCAGGCAGAAAGGATTTGGCTGTGGGCAAACCCTATCAGTCTCTTCACGTTTCGCCTTGTCATTCTCATGTAAATTGCAATTCTTTATTAGCATGGCCAGTCTTCTACCCAGGTGCAAGATGCTCCTGTCTAAATGTTAGCGAGGCCACATCTGCCTGCTCAGAGCAGCAGGGCTCCTCTGGCTATGACACCAGTTCAGATGGTTTCCCCGGGCATGCAGAGGCAGGGAGACTGCCAGGGTCCCACTTGAAAGTACAATGGGAATGTGAAGTTCAAAAAGAAAGGGGAGCTGGGCACGGTGGTGCAGGCCTGAAGTCCCAGCTACCTGGAAGTCTGAGGTGGGAGGATCGCTGGAGCCCAGGAGGACGAGGCTGCAGTGAGCTATGATTGCGCCACTGCACTCCAGCCTGAGTGACAAAGGGAGACCCCACCTCTAAAAAAGGAGAAGGAAGAAAGGGGAGACCAAACTTTGTCATTCAGTCAACTCTTTAATTTTTTTATTTTTACTTATTTATTCATCATTTTAGACACAGGCTCTCCCTCTGTTGCCCAGGCTGGACTGCAACAATGCAATCATAGCTCACTGCAGCCTCAAACTCCTGGGCTCTTGTCATCCTCCTTCCTCAGCCTCCTGAGCAGCTGGGACTACAGGCACGTGCCACCATGCCCAGTTAATTTTTTTAATTTTTTGTAGAGACGGGGGTATCACTATATTGCCCAGGCTGGCCTTGAACTCCTGTGCTCAAGTGATTCTTCCACCTTGGCCTCCCAAAGTGCTGGGCCTCCCAAAGCCACTGTTCTTGCCCTTCCTTTTATAAATTTCCCCAAGTACACCAATCTCTTCATGTCTCACCAGCACATAGTCATTGGCAGAGGAGACTCTGGGGAGAGCTGCCTTAGGAGACAGAGGGAGCCTTAGAGAGGCTTAGAGTGCAAGTTGGTAACACTGTGGATTATATAATCTTTCACTGCTTTCTCTGCTGCTAAAAGCATGACCAGGTTGGTAGCAATCATTTAAGGCCCCATGACTGCACATGGCAGTGCTCCAAGATCCCATAAGGACAGGCTCAGAGATCAGGATCTCCTGCCAAAGTGTTTCTCTTATTCCTATTCATTGCTTACCTTCCTTGCATACAGCCACAGTTCTCAAAGTGTCATCTGCATTGCAGAAGCATCGGTAGCACCTGGGAGCTTGTCAGAAATGCAAATCCCCAGGTGCCATCCTAGACTTACTGAGTCAGACAGTCTGGGGTGGGGCCTAGCAAACCGAGTTTTGGCAAGCTTTTCAGATGATTCTGATCCACGCCAAAGTGTAAGAGCTCCTGCTCTGATAGAAGCCTTTGTCTATCTCTCTAGCCTAATCTGCATCTAGCTCAGGGACTTTTAATCACTTGAGGGGAGGGGACTGTATTAGTCCATTTTCACACTGCTATTAAAGATGCTACCTGCGACTGGGTAATTTCTAATGAAAGGAGGTTTAATTGACTCACAGTTCTGCATGGCTGGGGAGGCCTCAGGAAACTTAAAATCATGGTGGAAGGCAAAGGGGAAAGCACGACACGTCTTACACGGCTACAAGAGCAAGACGGGGACAAGGGAACTGTCAAACACTTTTAAACCATTAGCTCTCATGATAACTCACACACTATAACGAGAACGGCATAGGGGAAATCCATCCGCATGATCCAATTACGTCCCACCAGGTCCCTCCCTCAACACATGGGGATTACAATTTGAGATGACACAGAGCCAGACCACGTCAGGGACAGTAGGTTTATCTCACCATGGTCGCCTCCTTAGAGGCGTATCTAAGGAGGAGAAACTTTGCCTGGCAAAGCAGTCAACAATTTAATGTTCCAGAAACATGGAGACAATGAATTAGAAGAGAATGAACTGACTTCTCCAGTGGCTGGAGGTCAATAATGTAGGGAAAACTAGAACCACCCCTTCCCTGGCATTTTTGGGGGCAGGTGAACCTCCTGGAGATATAGCCATACAAGGGAATCTACGAACTGTGATGTTAGGCCAAACTTGGTGGGTCATACCTATAATCCCAGCACTTTGGGAGGCTGTGGCAGGAAGATCTCTTGAGGCCAGGAGTTCGAGGCCAGCCCGAAGAACAAAGGGAGATCCTATCTCTACTAAAAATTAGTGAGGCAAAGTGATGTACACCTGTAGTACCAGCTACTTGGGAAGCTGAAGCAGGAGGATTGCTTGAGCCCAGGAGTTCGAGGCTACAGTGAGCTGTGATCGCACCACTGCACTCCAGCCTGGAGGACAGAGTGAGACTCCCCACTTGAAATAAAAGAGGAAGAAGAACTGCGATGTTGAGAACCCAGGTCTGATTTCACGTGGCACTTTCTCGGCTGGGCTATCAGTCCACATACACAGGAAACTGGTCATTAGTGAGAGATGGAGAGCAGCACCCAGGCACTTGCAGGCTTAGAACAGGAGCGATCAGGCTGTACCTCTGCAATGGGGGAGGACTTAATCCCAGCAAGTGGCAGAAATACTTGGCAGGAGAACCGAGGCAGCAGCCCAGTATGGGGACAGGATACAGAGGAAGATGGTTCTCGACCCAGATAGCAGGTCGATGGCAGCACAGTCATCTCCAGCTGGCTAAGGCCTGACTTACGCATCCTGTCCCAGATAAGGTTGGCTCAGGAGCTGGGGAGCCTCATTCTGATAGGAAAAGGATCAAAACAGCCTTGTGAGGAAAGACTAGAAAGACAAGAGCAGATGGATCCAATCCAAACTTACAGGTTTGAGAGTTTAAATAAATTCAAGGACTTTTCTCCCCACAAGCGAGGGATCTGAGGAGTCCATTGAAGCAAATACAACAGACACTCTGTGCTAAAAAAGAAAGAGCTTATAAAGAAGGCGGAAAAGGCTTCCATCACATCAAAAAGCTCTGAGAAAACAATATTTTGTCAAGTTAAGTGTAAAATAATCAAAAACATGTGGATAATGTCTCTAAAAATATACACAGCTCTGAAAATCAAGGTGGAGAAGAAGCTGATAAAATCTGTTTTGGTTTTGGCAGAATTCAACATGTTTGGGAGCGAGGTGCACCTCTTCAGGAAACAGGTTTTTCCTATTATTTTTCTTTCTCCCCACTCATAATCCTTGGGATTCAAGGAGGTTTAGAGGGAAAAGATCTTCAAAATCATCTCCTGGGCTCCCTCATTTAACACACGCTGAGGCTTCAGAAGGTTCAGTTATGTATAGAATTTCATAAATAAACAATGGTAAACCTTAGAGCACTGGAAAACCAGATCAGAGATTATTTTACTAAACAGAATTTCCTCTGTTATCTTTGTCTTCAAGTGACATATCCAGGAGCCATTCAAGACCAAGTGATTCACATACTCCATGGATCTTCTTTCCTACACTCAGGCCATACCTAGACATTGGGTGTATTCATCCTTTTTCACACTGCTATGAAGAAATACCTGAGACTTGGTAATTTATAAAGGAAAGATATTTAATTGACTCACAGTTCCCTATGGCTGGGGAGGCCTCAGGGAACTTATCATCATGGTGGAAGGGGAAGCAGGCACGTCTTACATGGCAGCTCGCAAGAGACAGCCTGTGAAGGAGGAACTGTCAAACACTTATAAAACCATCAGATCTTATGAGAATGAACTCACTATCACGAGAACAGCATGCAGGAAACCTCCCCCATCATCCAATCACCTCGCATAGGTCCCTCCCTCAACACATGGGGATTATGGGGATTACGAGTCAAGATAAGATTTGGTGGGGACACAGCCAAACCATATCATTGGATAAAGACAAATTTGATAGATACATCCTGGTCTTGGGCCTTGCCAAACTTGGGAGCTAAACCAGGAGAGATGCCCCACGTCTGCAGGGTTTGTGCCTTCTCACTTATCTTAGTTTGTAATCTGAAAAACAAAGTGTATTAGTCCTTTCTTAGATTGCTACCCAAGACTGGGTAATTTACGAAGAAAAGAGGTTTCATTGACTCACAGTTCCACAGGCTGTATAGGATGCATGGCTGGGAAGACTCAGGAAATGTACAATCATGGTGGAAGGTGAAGGGGAAGCAAGCACATCTTACATGGCAGGAGCAGGAGGAAGAGAGAGAAGGGGGATGTGCTACACACTTTTAAACAACCAGATCTCGTAAGAGCTCAGTCACTATCATGAGAACAGAAAGAGAATTACTGGAAGAGATTACCGAGAATGTAGCACAAAGAGATGAGGAAAGGAAATTTGGTCTAATATACACCTAATCAAAGTTCCAAGAGAAGAAAGTGTACAGAACACAGAAGAGAAAATATTAAGAGAAGTAATCGCTGAGAATTTTTAAAAAACAGTGGAAGATGTAAATCTTCAGATTTAGATACCACAACAAATCTAAAGCAGGAGTCGTAAAAAGACCATTGTATTAGTCCATTCTCATATTGCTATGAAGAACTACCTGAGACTGGGTAATTTATGAAGAAAATAGGTTTAATTGGCTCATCGTTCTGCAGGCTGTATAGGAAGCATGGCTGGGAGGCCTCGGGAAACTTACAATCATGGCAGAAGACAAAGTGGAAGCAAGCACATCTTCACATGTCAGATCAGGAGAGAGAGCAAAGGGGAAAGTGCTGCATACTTTTAAACAACTAGATCTTGTGAGAACTCACTATTATGAAAACAGCAAGAGGGAAATCTGCCCCGGTGATCCAATCACCTCCCACCAGGCCCCTCCTCCAACACTGGGGATTACAGTTCAATATAAGATTTGGATAAGGACAGAGCCAAACCATATCACAAAGTCAAGGTGTGGGAGTGAGGATCATTAAAAAGTAACTAAGAAGCCCAGCCATGAGATGCCAAGGTCCATCATTCATTGAGAGACATTAGAGACATGTACATAATTACATAATGATAAAAGGGTCAGTTTTCCAAGAAGACATAACACTCCTAAACGCACACATGCCAAACAACAGAGCCTCAAAATATATCAATCAAAACTGATAGAGCTGAACAGAGAAACAGGCCAATCCACAACTGGAGACTTCAACACTCTATTCTCAGCCATTGACGGAACTACTAAACAGAAAACCAGTATGAATACAGAAGAATTGAGTAACAGGGTCAACAAACAAGATCTAGTCGAAATATATACAACACCCTACCCAACATCAGCAGAATCTGCATTTTTTAATCAAGGGCCCATGTAACATTTACCAAGATTTGTGTTTAATGTGTGTGGTTACATTTAAGTCTATCACCTCCCATTTGTTTTCTACTTGTCCCTCTGTTGTGTCATTTGTCATCTTTTATCTTCTTTATTTGCTTATAAGCTATAACTCTGTGCTCTTTATTTTGATGGTTTTTTCCATTTTTTCAAATTTTTTCAATTTCTCACAATTTACTTTCAAACAACATACCATTTCACATGTAAGAAACTTATAATGATATACTTTCATTTATCTCTTTTTTGTGCTAATCATTTTGTGCTAATGATGCCATATATTTCACTTATATCTATGTTATAAACCCCAAAATATAGTATTATTTTGGTTTAAATAGTTGATTATCTTTTAAGGAGATTTAAATAGTAAGAAAATTTCTTACATGATATGATAGTTACCAGTTCTAATGCTCTCCATTTCTTATGAAGATCCATATTTCAATCTGGTGTGATTTTCCTTTTGCCTGAAGGACTTCCTTTAATATTTCTTAGAGTGTGAATGTGCTGGTGATTAATGGCTTCAGCTTTTGTATCCCTGAAAGAACCTTTATTTCATCTTAGTTTGGAAAGATTTTCATTTGGTATAAAATTGTAGGTGAACAAGTTTTTCTTTCAGTACTTAAAAAATGTTCCTCCTTTATCTTCTCTCTTGCGTTGTTTCAGATGAGAAATCTGATGTCATTCTGATTTTTATTTCTTGATACATAACATATCCTTTTGCTCCAGCTGCTTTCAAGATACTTTATCAACAGTTTGAATAATTTGATTATACTGCATCGTGGTGTAGGGCTTTTTAGTTTCTTGTGCTTAAGGTTCATTAAGCTTCTTGGGTCTGTGGGAATATAATTTTCATCAAATTTGAAATTTATTTGGTCACTATTTATCACAATTTTATCCCCTCCCTCTCTCTCCCCTAGGAGTTCCAATCATGTGTATATTAGGCTGCTTGAAGTTGTCTCATAGTTCACTGATGTGCCAATCACTTTTTTCTTGAATTTTCTTTTTGTGATTCATTTTGGTAAAAGGCAAAAGATTTATACAATCTGAAGAGAAACCAGAGTCTGTGTGATTCATTTTGGATCGTTTCTATTGTTGTGTCTTCAAGTTTATGAGTCATTTTTTCTACCGTGTCTAATTTTTGTTAATCCCATGTGCTTTTTATCTCAGACATTATAGTTTTTACCTCTACAATTCTGATTTAGAACTGTTTATGTGTTCAATGACTATGCTTAACCTTTTGAATACATGGAATATATTCATAAAATATATTTTGATGTCCTTGTCTGCTCTCTTCATCATAGACTATATTGTCATATTTCTTTGTATACCTGCTAATCTTATACTGGTGGACTATGTAAATTTTACCTTATTGGATGTTGGATTGTTTGAATTCCTGTGACATTTTTGAAATAACTATATTATTAGGATTTTCATAACAATTTTGAGTTCTTGGATGCAGTTAAATTATTTGGGAATAGTTTGATCCTTTGGGGTCATGCTATTATGATTTGTTAGGCAGATCTGAAGCCCTGTCCAATCCAGAGCAAATTATCTCCAAATATTGAGGCAAGACCTTCTTGAGTATTCTACCCAATGTCCCATGAATTATAAGTTTTTCCAGTTTGGCTGGTGGAAACAGGTGTTTTTTCCTGATGCTATGTGAGCTCTGGGAACTGTTTTCTAATCCTTTTAGTTCCCTTGCATCCATGTAATCACCAGCATTTTGCTAGGTGCTTGAGGGGGCATCTCTGCAAATCTTCAGAGTTCTTGCAGCTCTCTCCTCTCCAGTATTCTGCCTTATGAACTCCAGTCACTGTGGTCTCCCTGGACTCTCAGCTCCCTCTTTTCAACTAAGGGAGTCTGTTGGGCTCTTTCTGGGTTCTGCCTCCCTGGGCCACAGCCTAGAAACTCAAGACAGTAAGCTGAGACTATAGTAGGACTCACCTCATTTTTTTCTTGTCTCTCCAGGACCACTGTTCTTTTTCTTTTTTTAAATTGTTTTGAGGCCAGGTGTAGTGGCTCACATCTGTAATCTCAACACTTTGGGAGGTCAAGGTGGGTGGATAGCTTGAGCCCAGGAGTTCAAGACCAGCCTGGGCAACATGGCACAACCCCATCTTTACAAAAAAATAATAATAATACAAATTAGCCTGGTGGTGTGTACCTGTAGTCCCAGTTCCTTGAGAGGCTGAGGTGGGAGGATCACTTGAGCCCAGGAGGTTGAGGCTGCAGTGAGCTGTGATCATACCACTGCACTCCAGCCTGGGTGGCAGAGCAAGACCCCATCTCAAAACAAAAAAGATTGTTTTATATATTTTGTCAGAGTATTTTTATTGTTTCTGGCAGGATGGAAAATCCCCTCTCTGTCACTTCATCTCGGGTGAAAACAAAAGTCCTATAGGAGCTTAATCTGGGGCCAGAGGCCAGCCACAGGATCTCAGCAGAGGCCAAAACTAAGGATTCATCATACGGCATCCAGCAGGAATGTTGTCTCTCTGGATCCCCTGGTCAGCAATCTCATTCGTCATTTTTAATCCTAGTGCTGGTCTGAAATGCAAAACAATACCTTCTCTTTGTGCTCATGCTGGCTAAACATGGGAAAAGAAAGAGAAGTTCAAAGTGAGTTTTATTTAATACAGAGTTTGTTGAATTGTTTTAATTGAAAACAGGTCATTGACCCAAGTTTTTAAAATTGCAATTTAAATTTAATTTATTTTGGCTGGGCACAGTGGCTCACGCCTGTAATCCCAGGACTTTGGGAGGCCAAGGCAGGCAGATCACTTCAGGTCAGGAGTTTGAAACCAGCCTGGCCAACATGGTGAAACACCATCTCCACTAAAAACACAAAATTAGTCAGACATGGTGGCACGTACCTGTAATCCCAGGTACTCAGGAGGCAGAGGCAGGGGAATTGCTTGAACCCCGGAGGCGGAGGTTGCAGTGAACCAAGATTGCACCACTGCACTCCCAGCCTGGGTGATGGAGCAAGACTCTGTCTCAAAAATAAATAAATAAATATATATATACATATATTTAATTTGTTTTAACTATCATATAATAGAATCATAACATCATGGCTTTCAAAACAACTTTTAAAATAATGGTATTAAAAAGCACTGCAACTATGTAGCTCTTATAATTTACAAGCAATTTCATATGCATTATCTTTTTAAATTGTTTCCAACCTCTTTAGTACAGATACCTATACTAAGGCTTTTAATGGTTATTTGACCCCATATTTGTCAGCTACAGCTAAGACTCAAATTCAGATTATTATTTAACTCTGATGTATAATGTCTAAGTAATGATAGACTCTTAACTTTAAAAAGTTGATGTCATGGGGGAAAAAGTTGGAGTCTGTTCTGAATTAAAGGAGTCCAGAGAGACAAAAATAACAGAAGTCAAAGCATCGCTCTTGATTCGATCCTGGTTCAAGAAACAAACCAAAACTACAAAAGACATTTAGGGAGAAAATTTGAATATGGATTGGATTAGATCTTATCAGAGAATTGTCCTAAGTGTCACAAGTGTGACCATGATAGTGTCATTTGTAGGGGAATGTTGTTATTCCTAGGACACATGTAGGGAAAAAATTGGGGGGGTAAAATATCATGAACTTTACAACTTACAAGTGGTTTAGGATCAACTATATGTATATTCATACACATACGTAAGTAAAGCAAATATGATAAAATGTTATCAGTTGCTGAGTCTAAGCAGTGGGTGTATAGGAATTTAATGTATGATTCATTCAATCTTTCTGTATGTTTGAAAGTTTTAACAACAAAAAAGATGGGGGTTGCCGCGTGCCATGCATGACTCTAATCCCAGCACTTTGGGAGGCTGAGATGGGCAGATCACTTGAGGTCAGGAGTTCAAGACCACCCTGGCCAACATGGTAAAACGCTGTCTCTACTAAAAATATAAAACGTAGCCAGGAGCGGAGGTGGGCATCTGTGATCCCAGCTACATGAAAGGCTGAGGCAGAAGGATTGTTTGAACCTGGGAGGCTGAGGTTGCAGTGAGCTGAGAGTACACCACTGCAATCCAGCCTGAGTGAGAGAGCAAAACTCCATCTCAAAAAAAAAAAAAAAAAAGAAGAAGAAGAAGATGGGGAAGGGAGTAACCATATTAGCCTCTAAAACAAAACAACAAAAAGAATCTGCAGATAGACAAGGTATGACTGTAACCCTATCCTTGCAGAAAATAAAGAATCCCAGGACTGTGAATTTTCCTTCCCGACATTGGCCATGCATATAATCTTTGAGACAGATAAGTAAAATGTGAAATGCATTTACTTGAAACCAAAAACCTATTTGGATTAAAGTAGTGTTGAAGTGAGTAAACTACAATTTATGCAAATATATCAGAATGCTTTAGGCCTTCCTTGTTATACTCAGATACTTTTTATCATAGAAACCTACTTCCCAATAGCCAGAAAAAGAAATTTTTAAGTAACAATCTTAACATGACATCAGGTGTTGAGATGTATAGTCAGCTCTCATTATTCCCAGTAGTTTATGGTCTATAAAGTTTCCGCAAATGCTGAATTAGTAAATACCGAATCATTGCTTCTAGGGGAAATATGTACATATCTAGATATATATCATACATCCCAGCACTTTGGGAGGCCGAGGTGGGCAGATCACCTGAGGTCAGAAGTTCAAGACCAGCCTGACCAACATGGCAAAACCCCACCTCTACTAAAAAATACAAAAAAATTAAAAAATCAGCTGGGCGTCGTGGCGGGCGCCTGTAATCCCAGCTACTTAGGAGGCTGAGGCAGGTAGAATTGCTTGAATCCAGAAGGCAGAAGTTGCAGTGAGCCAAGACCATGCCACTGTACTCCAGCCTAGGCGACATAGAGAGACTCTGTCTCAGAGAAATTATATATATATAATCTTAAATCCTACAAACAATGAATCCTGGTGGATTCTCTTTTCTTTATTTTTACAAAGGAGAAAATGAGGTTTAGAAGTGTTCAATGACATGCCTGAGGCTACCTTCTCCCAAGTGTTAGATTTGGAATTCAAACCTAGTCCATCAGGTCCCAGAACCAGAGCTTCTCTCCCTACACTTCGCTGTTCCACCTGCATCTTCTGGATATCTCTGTGTGAGGCTAAAACAAGAAGAAAGAGCATTGCTTTGTTGCACCTCAGCTGGGAAATTGTGCCTCACATGCCTCAGATTTTTTTTTTTTTTTTTTTTTTGAGATGGAATCTCTCTCTATTTCCCAGGCGGGAGTGCAGTAGTGCGATCTCAGCTCACTGCAACCTCCGCCTCCCGGGTTCAAGTGATTCTCCTGCCTCAGCCTCCTGAGTAGCTGGGGTTACAGGCACACACCACCACGCCAGGTTAATTTTTGTATTTTTAGTAGAGACGAGGTTTCACCATGTTAGCCAGGCTGGTCTCGAACTTGTGACCTCGTGATCCACCCACCTTGTCCTCTTAAAGTGCTGGAATTACAGGAGTGAGCCACCACACCCAGGTGATGCCTCAGGTTTTTAACTGCTTCACACGCATCTGCGAATGACCATGAAAGCGCAGGAAGTATTGGTTTAGGGGACTACAAATGAATTTTAGCACGTTGGTAAATTTGTGAATACAGAATCTGCACATAATGAGGGTTGACTGTAATTTTACGTTTTTTTTTTTTTTTTTTGAGACAGGGTCTCACTTTACCACCCAGGCTGGAGTGCAGTGGCATGATCTTGACTCACTGCAGCCTTGACCTCCCAGATTCAAGCAATCCTCCCTCCTCAGCCTCCCAAGTAGCACACCACCATGCCTGGCTAATTTTTGTATTTTTTTAAGAAACGAGGTTTCGCCGCCACGTTGCCCAGGCTACAATCTTGAACTTTTCTATTAAATTGTAGTGGATGGTATCCATGTAAAAGTAATTTTATTTATTTTAATTTTTAATTTTTAATTTTTTTTTTTTGAGACAGTGTCTCACTCTGTCACCCAGGCTGGAGTGCAATGGTGAGATTGTAGCTTATAGTGGCCCCAACCTCCTGGGCTCAAGAGAGCCTCTCTCCACAACGCCCCCAGTGGCTGGGACTACAGGTACATACCACCAGGCCCAGCTAATGCTAGTTTTTCTTTTTTGTGGAGATGGAGTCTCACTATGTTGTCTAGGATGCTCTTGGCCTAGACCTGGCCAAGTGATCCTCCCACCTCAGCCTCCCAAAGTGCTGGGATTACAGACATGAGTCGCCATGCCCATCCTAAATGTACTTTTGTATGCTCAACAGTGTTCACCCCAAAAAGGTCCTCAGTATATCTTTGATAAACAATTGAACGACTGAATGTAAAGTTAATACCCTATACCCAATAATAGGTGATGGTTTATGGATAAGACAATTTGGAAATAAGATAAAGAAGACCAGGCAGATTCCCTCTAATTCTTTCTCAGCTTTCACCATCAAAACCAAAGATGAATAAGCCCTTTAGAAAAATGTTGGCAGAGCGTGGTGGCTCACGCCTGTAATCCCAGCACTTTGGGAGGCTGAGGTGGGTGGATCACCTGAGGTCTGGAGTTCAAGATCAGCCTGGCCAACATGGCAAAACCCCGTCTCTATGAAAAATACAAAAAAATTATCCAGGGGTGGTGGTGCGCACCTATAATCCCAGCTAATTAGGAGGCTGAGGCAGGAGAATTTCCTGAATCTGGGAAGCAGAGGTTGGAGGGAGCCAAGATCATGCCATTGCACTCCAGTCTGGGTGACAGAGTGAGACTCTGTCTCAAAAAAAAAAAGAAAAAGAAAAAAAAAGAAAAAGAAAAATGTTAAAGCTCATGATATTGCCTCCAGAACCTATGGGACAGGCTGAGCAAGAGTGCACATAGAGCAGTTTCCAAGCAGTTTCTAAATGACAAAATAGGTTACATACCTATGAAAATGGTAAATCATTGTTTAAAGATCAAGACAGATTTTCTCAGTTTATGAATGGTGCTAGTTTCCAGTCTACAAAGGCATGTGTTAACCCAAAATATCTAAGACAGATCTCAGTCAATTTAGAAAGTTTATTTTGCCTAGGTTAAGGATGCATCTGTGACACAGCCTCAGGAGGTCCTGATGGCATGTCGCCAAGGTGGTCGGGGGCACGTCTTGGTTTTGAACATTTTAGGGAGACATGAGACATCAATCAATATATGTATGATGTACATTGGTTCGGTCCAGAGAGGCAGGACAGCTCCAAGTGGGGAGGGGGCTTCCAGGTCATGGGTAGATAAGAAACAAATGGTTGCATTCTTTTGAGTTTCTGATTAGTCTTTCCAAAGAAAACAATCAGGTATGTATTTATCTCGGTGAGAAGAGGGGTTACTTTGAATAGAATGGGAGGCAGGTTTGTCCTAAGCAGATCCCAGCTTGACTTTTCCCCTTAGCTTAATGATATTGGGGTCCTAGGATTTATTTTCCTTTCAAACAAGTATTACACAGACTGTAGCTTGTTACCGAGGTATATTAACTGTCAGGAAATGTGTTAACTACAAGCTTTAGTGCTAGATTGTCTGTCCACAAATCACATGATCAGTGAATGATTCTGTCACTCCTTTCAAAGCCCGTCACTGCACATCTGTTATTCAGTTCACACACAGACAGCAAAGTGTGTAGGCGTGTTGCCTCCCTGTCTAATCCCAGTGTTCAATCCATGTGACATTTTATAAAAATGGATAAGTGGAAGAGGGAGTTGGCCAGCAAAGATCAAAGTGTAGCAAAGAAACAAAAGGTGATAATACTGGGAATGAAATTTGATGGTAAAATAAATGGAGTTATAAAAGTAGCAGCTGACCATGGAAATGTTCATGCTGCAGCTGATACCTTAGACACCCAATCAGAGAATTAGTGAAGGCGAGCTCATCAACATAAATGAAGATTTATAAAAAGAATGAAGGTGTCCCAGAAGAAGTGGTGCCAGTGGTAAACAACTTCGCATTAAAGGAACTCTCAGAGATATTTCCCAAAATTGAAAGCACAAAGAATAGAACGTTGAAAGCTGATTCAGCCTTACACCACAGTATGACAGTTCACCAAAATGTTCACTCCGTGTCATAAGTTGTAAAAACAGAAGAAGGCAAGCACTGTTGAAACTACCCTTGAGATATATTTCACAAAGAAATCAAGATTTTAGTTCCCTATATTTCATTCATTTAAAATTTCAGTGTACTAAATAAATATTCATTTTTATTTTTAAATTTTTCTATACATTTATAATTGACAGTAAGAAAGTTTTTAAAGTTCTGACTTTTAAAGTTCATGAAACAATCATAATTTTTCCCATTGATTCTTTTTTTTTTTATATGGAGTCTTGCTGTGTCCTCCTCGCTGGCGTGCAGTGGCAAAGTCTCAGCTCACTGCAACCTCCACTTCCCAGGTTGAAGTGATTCTCCTGGCTCAGCCTCCCAAGTAGCTGGGACTACAGGTGCATGCCACCACACCCGGCTAATTTTTTTGTATTTTTAGTAGAGATGGGGTCTCGCCACGTTTGCCAGACTGGTCTCAAACTCCTGGCCTCAAGCCCTCCTCCTGCCTTGGCCTTTCAAAGTGCTGGGATTACAGGCATGAGCCACCGCACCAACCAATAGCCTTTAAAGGAGCATTTGGTTATACAAAAGAAAATCTAGATGAAAGAGACAGGAACAGGGAGGATAAATTTATCTTCATTGGTTAAATGCATTTTCCTTAGTTAAGGCATTCTGGCATAAGATTTATTTATTTATTTTTAAGAGACAGGGTCTTGCTCAGTGACTCATGCTGGAGTGCAGTGGTACAATCATAGCTCACTGTGGCCTCCAGCTCCTGGGCTCAAGTGATCTTCCTGCCTCAGCCTCCCGAGTAGCTGGGACTCCAGGCATGTGCCACCACACTGAGCTAATTTTTATTTATTTATTTATTTATTTATTTATTTGTAGAGATGGGGGGTCTCACTACATTGCTCAGGCTGGTCTCAAACCCCTGGCCCCAAGTTATCCTCCTGACTTGGCCTCCCAAAGCACTGAGATTACAAACGTGAGCCACCACATCTGTCCAAAATTATATATATTTAGTGCTAAGACATTTGAAGATTTCACTTGGCAGGCTCAAAGAGTTTTTTACACGTTGTTGAGGCAGCTACAGATAGTATTAGCAGGTGTTGGCTCTAAGGAGAATGAAGCTTTCACAAAAGAACATTCAGCTGAAACCAAGGAGAACTATAGCTTTTAAGGGAATTTCTGGGGTGATGGTTGGCCATTAAATTTTAGGAACAGCAACTTCTGCTGTTTATTTTGAAGTCATTTTCTGCCCTGTGCTATCATTTTCCTCTGTCCCCCAAGCCAAAGTTCTCTGGTGAAGTCACTTGCGGGTTGGTGGTGCTATGGAGTTGAAGGAGAGGCACCTCCTTTCACATTTGGTGTGCAATCATAAGAAAGATACAGCATTTGCAGACAGCCAGCGATGTGTTGGGGACTTGGCAGTCAGAACCATCTAGCATGCCCTGCGGAGGTTGGGGGAATACCAGATTCACTGCAAAGAAGCAGGATAGAAGCTTCATTTATATGATTTGGCTAATACAGGAAGGTGTGACCTCAGAAGGCTAGAGAAATGAGACACTCGAGTTGCCGGCTGTGCTCCCTGCAGAACATCTCCTAATTGAGATTGTTGCTGGCAGCCTGGGCCCCTTTTCAATGGTCTGAACGTCTACACACCTGCCCTGCTTCTTACCAGATTCACACCAGCTTTACAGCTTAGATATTCCACCTGCCACCCGCCAGGGCCAACTGCCTCTTTCCTGCCTGCTCAGGGAAATCAGCCCAGATCCCCTACGGCAGCCACCACATGGGAAGACTGTCCTCAGTTTTTGGCTCAGGCGAGTATGCACTAATCTGTGTCTCCATCCCCAATCCACAGGATCCCCAAGGAGTTTAATCCACTGCAGCTAACCTGTGCATCCGAGGAAGAAGGCGACATCTCTGAAAATCCCATGCCTTGTTCCTTATTTCCCAGTCTCTTAAAAATCCCCTGATCCCCTGAATTCAGCTAAATCTCTCTCCATCAGAAGATTTGTTCCCTGTGGTCTGTAATCCCAGCACTTTGGGAGGCCAAGAGGGGCGGATCACCTGAGGTTAGGAGTTCGAGACCAGCCTGGCCAACATGGAGAAACCCCGTCTCTATTAAAAATACAAAAAAAAAATAAAAAAAAATTAGCTGGGCATGCTGGTTCATGCCTGTAATCCCAGCTACTCAGGAGACTGAGGCAGGAGAATCACTTGAACCCAGGAGACAGAGGTTGCAATGAGCCAAGAGCTCACCATTGCACTCCAGCCTGGGCCACAGAGTGAGACTCTGTCTCAAAAAAAAAAAAAAAAAAAAAAAAGATTTGTTCCCAATAGAACAAGCAAATTATCTTGAAAAAGAAGCCACAACATAGAACACAGCAGTTTGAAAAGAGATGTTCATTCATTCATTCACTGAAGAAAGGTTGCTAAGCTGCCACTATGCATTAAGTGTGAAGACATGATATTGATTTTAAAAAAGATACACAAAATACAGTCAGTCACTGCTGCTCTTTTGAAGTGACGTCCAGAGGAGGTTAGTCCAATTATCTTGCAGCTGATGTATGTACAAACTGCTGTCAGTGTCATGAAGGGAAGGAACTCACTTCTTTGAGAGTTTTTTTTTTTTCTTTTTTTTAGACAGGGTCTCCCTCTGTCACCCAGGCTGGAGTGAAGTAGCAAGGTCATAGCTCATTGCAGCCTCAAACTCCTGGGCTCAAATGATCCTCCTCCCTTGGCCTCGTGAGTAGCTGGTACTACTACAGGCACACACCACCACACCGGGCTAATATTTAATTTTTTTTTTTTTGAGACAGAGTCTTGCTCTGTCACCAGGCTGGAATGCAGTGGTGCTATCTCAGCTCACTGTAACCTCCACCTCCCGTGTTCAAGCGAATCCCCTGCCTCAGCCTCCCAAGTAGCTGGGATTACAGGTACGCACCACTACGCCTGGCTAAGTTTTTGCATTTTAGTAGAGAAGGGGTTTCACCATGTTGGCCAAGATTGTCTCGATCTCCTGACCTCATTATCCACCTGCCTCGGCCTCCCTAAGTGCTGGGATTACAGGCGTGAGCCACCGCACCTGGCCTAATATTTAAATTTTTTGTGAAGATGGGGTGTAATTATGTTGCCCAGGCTGGTCTCAAACTCCTGATCTCAAGCAATCCTCCTGCCTCGGCCTCCCAAAGTGCTGGGATTAAGGCATGAGCTATCACACCTGGCCTCTGGAAGTTTTTAAGAGAAGAGTCTGGCCTGGCCTGGGCAGCCATGAACCACTTCCCTGATGGGATGTAGTGCTGGGGAGATCTGGGGATCAGTAAGAGAAATCTAGGCCAAGAGGCAGAGATGGGAGAACAACATGCCTCAGGAAGGCAGGCAGGTACATATGGATCGAGGGAATAGAGAAAATTGTGGGAGCCATAGGACTCCAGGGTGTGGAAAGCATGCGGTATGAGAGGCAAGACCATGCACAGCCCCTACAGAGGCCACATACACGAGAAGAGACTTAACACAGCCTTGCTCTGTAACCGAACCAGGGTTCAGCTGCTGACCACTTGAAAGCCTTACACAAGAGACAAGAATTTGTGGGAAGAAAAGCTGGTTTATTTGGAGAGCAAGCAAAGAAAGAAGATGGTGGACTATCATCCCAAAGTACCATCTTGAGTCACAACCAGTTTTAGGCTCTTTTTATGTTAAGAGCAGGGGGAAGGGGGGCGGCTAGGATCAAGATGTAACTGACAGTGCTTGCTTCGGCAGCACATATACTAAAATTGGAACGGTACAGAGAAAAGTAGCAAGGCCCCTGGGCAAAGATGACATGCAAATTCCTGAAGCATTCCACATTTAAAAAAATAATTTAAATTTTAAAAAGAGGTAACCGACCACCGCAGATATCTGGGCACTAGTGAGGGTCCAAGGAGGTTGGAAACTTCTCTGTCCTTGGTCAGGTCACAATGCTCATATAAATTTTACAACAAAACAGCTAGTTGTTGACATACTTCTCCCTTAATCCCAGAGTTAGTTTTTAAAACTACATGATTGCTGTGTGTGTGTGTTATTATCCCAGTGTTCTAAAATTATCCTAGGCTACGTGCAGGAATGAGTAAAGGTCCCTTAAACAAAAATGTAGTTAGTTATGTTTGTTCTTTTACTGTTTCTCTGCTGTAGTTCAAAGATGGCTTCCTAATGAAATGAAGCTCCCAGGACTCATACCCTCATGCAATCGCCGTTCCTCAAATCTCAACAGGCCTGTGACTCTGCATGGCTTCTGAAGCTGTCATAAGAAGCCTTGGCCGGGCACGGTGGCTCACGCCTGTAATCCCAGCACTTTGGGAGGCCGAGACAGGCAAATCACGAGGTCAGGAGATCGAGACCATCCTGGCTAACATGGTGGAACCCTGTCTCTACTAAAAATTCAAAAAATTAGCCGGATGTGGTGGCGGGCGCCTGTAGTCCCAGCTACTCGGGAGGCTGAGGCAGGAGAATGGTGTGAATCTGGTAGGCAGAGCTTGCAGTGAGCCGAGATCGCACCACTGCACGCCAGCCTGGGAGACAGAGCAAGACTCTGTCTCAAAAAAAAAAAGTCTTGTGGCTTCCACTGGGAGATCTTGGAAAGTTTACACTGTAAGTGCTTTGCAGTTGGCTACCCCAGGTTAACATGAAAAGAGAGTGTTGCCCAGCTAACCCATGTAGCTCTGCTACCCCCACTGAGACAGCAGACATATCAGAGAAGAGCTGAACCTTCAGATGACCCCAACTGTAATCAGTATCTAAATGCAAAACTGTTTGAGAGATTCACAATAGCAAAGAAATGGAATCAACCCAAATGCCCATCAATAATAGACTGGGTAAAGAAAATGTGGTACATATACACCATGGAATACTACAAAGCGATAAAAAGGAATGAGATCATGTCCTTTGTAGGGACATGGATGGAGTTGGAGGCCATTATCCTCAACAAACTAACGCAGGAGCAGGAAACCGAACACTGCATGTTCCCACTTACAAGTGGGAGCTGAATGATGAGAACACACGGACACATGGGGAGAACTGCACACACTGTGGCCCATCATGAGAGTGGGGAGAGGGAGAGCTTCAGGAAGAATAGCTAATGCATATGGGGCTTAATACCTATGTGATGGGATGATCTGTGAGGCAAACCACCATGGCACACATTTAGCTATGTAACAAACCTGCACATCCTGCACACGTACCCCTGAACCTAAAATAAAAGTTGAAGATTTAAAAAAAAACTTTTGGCGAGACCCCAAGTGAAAACCATCCAGCTGAGCCCAGTTCACCCACAGACCTGTAAGAGCCAAATAAATATTTACTTTAAACCACTGCATTTTGTGCTGGTTTGTTCTGCAGAAGTAGAGGAACAAACTTCGTGCCTGGAAGTTGGCGCTTCCAAAAAAAGAAGAAAGAAAAAGAAAATATTAAAACAAGGGTGAAGACATACAAATGTGCCAGTGGATCAATAGGGTTGCCCGTTTCACATCTTGAGAATGAATGCTGCCCAGACAGCCTCAAAGGCACAGAGCCTGCTGGATGGAGTTTGGCTCCTGTCCACCTGTTGAATTTCTATAGTCTTTAATTTGTCTGAGTCATGTGTTTTCCTGACTGACACCGATAGTTCAGTGTGTCCTTCTGGGCACAGTGCTATAAAATTGCAGTCGAGTTGATTAATAAGGTGTCTCTATTCCCCTCTTTCCTTCACTGCCATTTACAAGAAAATAGCGTGAGTGAGTGGCAGAATATAGCCCTGTCAGGATCCTGCCTTCACAGAAATAAAGAAAAATGTGAAACTGTCAAATCTCAAGTGTTCTATATCCAAAGGAACATTACTGCATCCTCTCTGGCATCCCTCAACATCCCATAATGCTCCTATCAGTGAAGAAAAACAATAGCGTGATGTGCAGATGCTTCTTCTGAGTTTATTTTTATTTGGTTCGGTAATAACCAGAGTGATTTCTGAATCCCAATAAGACAGCTACACACAGTATTCTTGTCTTTCCTTTCAGACAGAAATATAGTTTATTCACCACGCCAGCCACACTAAAATGCCCAGAAAGTTTCACATTGGTCTATGAAAGAATTCTAGTGTCATTGGCAGAGATTTTAGGTGTTATCTAATCTACCTAGTAACCGGATTCATTGATTTCTTCATTCAAAAATTTGCTATTGAATACCCACTATGAGTCAGGCACTGTGATTGACTAATCCACTTTTTCCTCTTGTGGTTGGTAACTGTGGTCGGTAACTGTGGTCTGTAAACTAAAAATGAACGCCGAAGCCCCACCTCCCCGCCTGCTGCCCCAACCTACTGAACAAACTCTCTTGGCCAAGGGGACCCCAGAAAAACCTTAAAACTGAGTTCCCAACCACGATGGGATGGGGGCGTCAGACATGCCTCATAATACATGCCCTTTTGCAGTTCAGACATGGCTGACCAGCACTAATGTTAAAATAGAGACCACGAGACTGACAGAACAGATTCTTTGTGGCAATAAGACACCAAATTCTAAACAGGATCTAAGGTCATATCAGGCAGGGTTAAGTCAGACACCCCTACACTTCAAGAATGAACTACATTCTAACGGCCACAAGGTTTTTATTTTTCTCTAGCAGCTAAACAAGCACTGACCTTGGGATAAGTATTATTAAAATAATTAGCTCACCACCAGACACTAACTGACCCGCACCCCCATTCCACCAGTCACAACTACAGCTTTGATTGGACAAGAGGCTGCTTTCTGTATCTTTCTCCTGACAAGAAGACCACTAGCCATGAGCTGGTTCCAGCTGGTTTACAGAGGCTGCACACTTGAGTAGCTCCATATCCCGAAAAGATGTTTTGACATTTAGAGGCTAACTGTAATATGTTTAAGTGCTAAGTCTCCGCCACCGTGTGAACATGGGTCCTATGTTAGATGTACGTTTGTTCAATCCACATATATTAGGACCACCTTCATGAATATTCATAGCTCTTCCTTAACCTGTTGAATATGTATGTTTAGCCAACCTGTTCGTCATAAACTCCTGCCCTAGCTCCTCCTCCTCCTTTGACGTGCCTATCTATGGTCTGGGCCAAAGGCTATGCTTCCCAGCATATGCGATGGCCATCTTGCAGGATGTAATTCTTTACAAGAAATAAAGTCTTCTCTAAATTTATAAATTTGTGATTTTTTTTTAAGTTAACAGGTCTTAGCCTACAGAGCTTTATTTACTTTGGAGTTCTGGCAGAGCTACCTCTGAGCCAAGGTTTGGGCATGTGATAATCTGTGTGTTTCTATTGCCCAGTCTTCCAGAATGGTGTTGGTGCTTTTTTTTTTTTTTTTTTTTTTTGGAAACTTGGTTGTCCAGTTCTTTCTTCAATTCCAAGACATATTTTCTATTCTTTCAATAAACTTTTTCTTAGTTGAAATTACCTGGAGTCCATTTTTTGTGGCTTACAACTAAGCAACACCAACTGATACAGTTCTACTTACAGCTGAGATGGCATTTGTTTTCTCCTAAACTTCATCCAGTTTCAAATAAAATAGACAGCTCTATAGGTGTCTGTCTTAACCACCTTAGGTGTTGGTGCCACCTCTATGCAATGGAAGAAATCAGTTTTGACCCTGAAACCTTAAGTCTTGAGTATCTGTTCTCTGCTAGGCCAGATGGGGAAGTCCAAGTTGAAGACACAATGCGTGTGCACATCTAATCTGCCCTAATAGACTGTAAACTCCTTGCTGTGAGAGACTATGGCTTGTTCAATTTCATATCCTTAAAAATGGTGATTCCTAAGCATGGATGCTTCAAGGGTAGTAGATGTGGTTTTTGAGACTCATCAGAATATAGACAGTCATTAGATGGATGGAAGTCTTAGAAACAGATAACAGTATCTTGGGAAATTGGAAGGGATTTGTATTAGTTCATTCTCACATTGCTATAAAGAAGTATCTGAGACTGGGTGGTTTATAAAGATAACAGGTTTAATTGGTTCACAGTCTGTATAGGCTGTACAGAAAGTACGATGCTGTAATCTGCTCAGCTTCTGGGGAGGTCTCAGCAAACTTACAATCATGGCAGAAGGCAAAGTGGGGTGCCAGCATTACACATGTTGGGAGCAGGAGGAAGAGAGAGGGGGGAGGTACCACACACTTCTAAACAACCGGATCTCATGACAACTCATTATCACAGTGACAGCATCAAGGGGGAATGGTGTTAAACCACAGAAACCACCCACATGATCCAATCACCTCCCACCAGGCCCTACCTCCAACACTGGGGATTACAATTAGACATGAGATTTGGGCAGGGACACAGCTCCAAATCACATCAGGATTTAAAAACTAAACCCGGGGTAATATCAACATTTAAGATAAAGAAAGACGTGGAAAGAAAAGCCGGCAACAGAAGCAGAGAAAGGAATCAGAGAAGTAAGAGCCAAGGGTGTTAGCACAGAAGTCAGTGGAGACCCAGGTTTTGAGAACCAGGCCATGGCCAACAGCACCACGTGCTGCAGAGAGTCCAGGCCAACTGTGCACTAAGAAGAGTTCAAAGAACTCAGCAACAAAAAAACCTCTGATGATTCCATTCCCAGCAGAGCGATGAGAACAAAAGCCAGCTTGCCCCGGTGGACACGCAGAATTGAGTCGTGACGATGACCCCTTATTGTGGTGCTTAAAGGGAAGAAGAAAGAGGGGGCAATATTTTGTGTGGCAAAAAAATGAGACGGAGAGGAGCTCTGGCTGTTCTTTGTAAAGGCTCAAATAATTAAATGAATTATTGAATGAATTATTATCTTTCAAAAGAAATGCCCTCACTAATGGTGAATACCCTGCACACCACTCAACCCCAAATTCCATTTTAAAATCATAAAAGTAATTGGCACTTGGATAGGACTTTGTAGTTGACAATGCATGGGTTAGTACTCTTTCTCTCTGGTGTTTAAGCAAAAGTGATTTACTCAAAACCCCAAACCAAGAATAGTCTTATATGGAATCTCCAACAAACTAAGGCTCTAAAACCCTTCCTTTGATCAGGGACTGAGAGCACTTGAAAAGAACACTGTGTAATCCTCCCACTCTCCGCCTCAAAAAAAAAAAAAAAGCAACAAGCACTGATGCAAATAGCAAGTGCTTTGAACTGAAAATCACACAATGGCAGGGGAGCATCAAAAGTGCCCACATGAAGGTTTTCTCTAATGGAGACAAAGACAAAAAAACCCGCTTCCTAACATGTTCAATAGGGCTTAGAGAGTAAAGCCAATGCCATTTTTATGCTATCTGGATGCCAAAAGTTTTACCCATATAATAATGCATGTTTCTAGTTATTTTATTCTATTTTTTAAATGCCTCTTAACATTACATGACAAGATCACGCATCTTTAGGTTAACATAATAAAGTAGCTCAGTGGCTATATTCTGTATTCCATCCTTTCTGCCCAATAGCCAGTCAATTTCTTCAGAGACGAGACCTTGTCTACCTAGTTCACATTATAGTCCCATGTCATAGCACCATGCCTGACATGTCATAATTTTGTTCAATTAATGAATGCCTTAGCTAAGCCCTCATCATCCTTTGCCTGAGTAATTATGTTCTCTAATGAATGCCTCTGCTTCCATTCTCCCTCCTGTATCAGTTATCTATTGCCTAGTAGCAAATCATGACAAAATTCAATGTCTTAAAACAATAGTAATCCTTTCTTCTGCCCTTGAATGTGCAATTTGGGCAGGGCTGAGCAGGGTCAGCCCCTCTCTGTCCCATGTGGAATTCACTGAGAATGAAGGATCCACTTTCAAGACGGTGTAGTCCCGTGGCTGGTAGTTAACACTGACTGTCAGCTGGGAGCTCAGCCCTGGCTTTCAGCTGGGGTCCTGAATTTCATTCCTTGTGGCTCTTTCCACAAATGCTTGGGCATCCTCATGGCATGTTGGTGAGTTCCAAGAACAAACATACCAAGAGGCCTAGGAGGAAGCTGTGTTGGGTTCTGTGATCTGGCTTGGGAGTCTCACAGTATCATAAGCCTGCCCAGATCTACTCAATGGAAGGAATACCCAAGTCACATTGTAAGAAGAGCCTGTTGGATGTCTGATATGGTTGCAGCCATGTATACAATCTCCCTCATTCTTTTTAACCATCTCTTTCAATGCTCCTACATGATTTTTTAAAACACAAATCTGATTGTGGTTAACTGTCAACTTAAAAACATCAGCTGTAGGCCAGGCGCAGTGGCTCACGCCTGTAATCCCAGCACTTTGGGAGGCCGAGGCAGGCGGATCATGAGGTCAGGAGATCGAGATCATCCTGGCTAACACGGTGAAACCCCATCTCTACTAAAAATACAAAAAATTAGCCAGGCATGGTGGCAGGCGCCTGTAGTCCCAGCTACTAGGGAGGCTGAGGCAAGAAAATGGCATAAACCCCAGAGGCGGAGCTTGCAGTGAGCTGAGATTGTGCCACTGCATTCCAGCCTGGGGGACAGAGTGAGATTCCATCTCAAAAAAAAAAAAAAAATCCATTGTTCCTAAGAACAAATTCTAGGCCAAGCACAGTGGCTCATGCCTGCAATCCCAACACTTTGGGAGGCTGAGATGGGAGAGCCCAGGAGTTCAAGACCAGCCTGGACAACACAGTGAGACTTCATCTCTACAAAAAAATTTAAAAATTAGCCGGACATGGTGCTGCACACCTATAGTCCCAGAAACTTGGGAGGCTGAAGCAAGAGGATCATTTGATCCCAGGAGGTTGAGGCTGCAGTGAGCTATGATCCTCACTGCACTCCAGCCTGGGTGACACAGTGAAACCCCATCTCAAAAAAATAAATAATAATAATAATAACAACAACAGCAAACCATGGAGGACACACAAATCTTCCATGACCTGGTGCCTGCAGCCCCCTGAGTTTCACCTCCTACATGACCCCCCAGAGCCACATCAGTTACACACTTTCCTCACATGTTCTTCCTGCTACCTCCAACAGGTCATTTCAACTGTCTCATCGGGTGCACGCTCACTTGGAAAAGATGAGTGATCATCCTTATCCTCACTGTCCTTTCTCTATTGCCTTCTGAGGATCACCCAGAGAAGGCTTCCACTGGACTGAGTACTCTCCATTTTAAGTAATCATTTCTTTTTCTTTCTTTTTTTTTTTTTTTTGAAACTAAATCTTGCTTTGTCACCCAGGCTGGAGTGCAGTGGCATGATCTCGGCACTCTACAACCTCTGTTTCCCGGGTTCAAGCCATTCTCCTGCCTTAGCCTTCTGAGTAGCTGGGATTACAGGTGTGCACCACCACACCCAGCTAATTTTTGTATTTTTGGTAGAGACGGGGTTTCCCCATATTGGCCAGGCTGGTCTCGAGCTCCCGACCTAATATGATCTTCCTCCCTTGGCATCCCAAAGTGCTGGGATTATAGGCATGAGCCACTGTGTCTGGCTAGTAACCATTTATTTTTCAGTCTGCCCTTGAAAATGATCTTGTGGAGTGAACAAACCTTGTTTAATTCATGTATATATCCCAGGACCTCACCACAATAATTGTTATCAATAATTGCTATCACGGTGTTAAAGGATAAAACTGAAATACAGAGAGTAAGTAACTTGCTCAATATCCCATAAATGACAGAGCTAAGATTTGAATTGAAGTCTTTCTGGGTCTAAAGCCCTCGCTCCCCGCAGAAAGGGACCGATGTGGTCTTGAAAGTACTATTAAGGTAATGAAGGGGCATCATGGTGTCTTCAGCTCTCAAAACTAACAAAACAAATGTAAAAGACAAATTTAAAACCAGCATAAATATAGACAATAAGCAAAAAAAAAAAAACAAAAGGCCACAAGGCTTACGTCAAAAACCTTTTTGGGTGTTATTTTGTTGTTGTTGCTTGAGACAGCATCTTGTTCTGTCACCCAGGCTGGAGTGCAGTGACACGATCATAGCTCACTGAAGCCTCAACCTCCTGGGCTCAAGTGATCCTCCCACCTCAGCCTCCAAGTAGCTGAGTCTACAGGTATGTGCCACCATGCCTCATTAATTTAAAACATTTTTTTAGAGGTCGGCGGGGGTGGGGGGGGGTCTCACCATATTGCCCAGGCTGGTCTCGAACTCCTCACCTCAAGTGATCCTCCTGCCTTGATCTCCCAAAGTGCTGGGATTACAGGCATGAGCCCACACACCTGACCCATAATCCTTTTTTGAAAGTCTAGAAATAATGTCTAAGAATTAGTGCTTCTCATAGCCATCTTCTCCCCAAAACCAGAACAGAATAAAGATGGTCAATGGACAAAATCCTAAGATAGCTCATGAATACCTCAATTTCTAGAGAAGCAGGCAGAGGGTATGTGTAGGCAGTTGGGGTGAAAAGGTGTAGAAAATGCTTCAAAGACTGAAGCCCTCCCCCATAATCTCGGTGTCTCACCTTTGTTTTTCCCTGGTGGAGAGGAAAGCCAGAGAGGAATGGAGAATGATTATAATTGCACAGAGCTAATTACCTTCAGCAATAACAGGGAGTTTGCGATGCAGTCACGAAAATAAATAAGACGTCCTGAGGGAAGGAGAGGCGTGGAAGGGAAAGAAACACACAGAGACTCAGTTCTGTCCCCCTCTTCCCACAGGTCAAAACATTGAGCCCCAAAGCCCCATGTTTCGCCTTCTGTGTCTTCCACAGACGGCGAGTGGTGAAAAACAGCCCCTGGGGAGAGATGGGGGAAGTCAAGGAAGAGGCTCACTGGGACCCAACATTGGTTCAAAGGGAAATTTCGGACTCTGCCTGGAATTGGGGAAACGGCTCAAATGGTCCGAGAGTGACCTTGGTGAGAGCCGTAGGACAAGACTTTTTAACAAACTTGAGGAAGAGAGAGCAGAAAACACCCACTCACCATAATACCCCACATCCCCAGCCTGCTTACCTGCGTGAACTCTCTCTCCCTCTCTCCCTTTCCCTCCCTGTCTCCCCTTTACTTTCTCCCTCTATCTCCCCCTTTCTCTTTTTCTCTTTCTCCCTGTCCTTCTCTCTCTCCCTTTTTCTTTCTCTCTCTCTCCCTCCCTTTCCCTCTCTCTCTTCCCTCCCTCTCTCCCCTTTACTTTCTCTCTCTCTCCCCCTTTCTCTTTTTCTCTCTTTCTCCCTGTCCTTCTCTCTCTCCCTTTTTCTCTCTCTCCCTCCCTCTCCCTCTATCTCTGTCTCTTTTTATCTTTATTTCTTCCTCTCTCTATCCCTTTCCCTCTTTCCTCCTCTTCCTCTCCCCCCCTCCCTCTTTTACTTCCTCTCTGTCTCTCTCCCTGTCTCTCATCTCTTTCTGTTTTTCCTCCCTCTCTCCCTCTCTTCCTGTTTCTCTCTCATTTCTACCTCTCTCTCATCTCTCTCCCTCTCCCTTTTTCCTCCCTCTTTCCCTCTTTCTCTTTCTGTCTCTCCCTTATCTCTACCTCTTTCTTCCTCTCCTCTCTCCCCTCCCTTCCTCCTTCACTCTCTACCTCCCTCCCTCTCTCCTTCTCCCTCTCCTTCCCTCTCTTTTCCACCCTTTCCTTGACCTCACACTCTGCAATCTCAGGCAAGGAGAAGATAAAAAGATACTAAGGTCAAGGAGACTTGACCCAAACTCTATTAGGACAATACCTGTAGCCATGTTTAACATGAGCAAATAGGGAATAAAGTCTTAGCACTAGCACTTGTGCTAAATAACTAGCAAAGAATATATATCAAAGGAAGAAAAGCAGCATGAAAAATACAGGCAAAGACACTTTACAACTGGTGTAGTGACTCACACCTGTAATCCCAGCACTTTGTGGGGTCGAGGCGAGAGAATTGCTTGAGCCCAGGAGTTCCGTACCAGCCTGGGCAACATAAGGAAACCCTAATTCCTACAAAAAATAGAAAAATAATTAACCAGGCACAGTGGCGCATGCTTGAAGTCCCAACTACTCAGGAGGCTGGGGTGGGAGGATTGCTTGAGCCCAGGAGGTTGAGGCTGTAGTGAGCCATGATTGTGCCACTGCACTCCAGCTTAGACGACACCCTCTCTCCAAAAAAACGACACTCTTCAGGTCTCTTGCTTTAGGATTGGATAGATATCCTGGGAAACGTTTCACTATGAAACAAGTAGATGCTGGGTATCCCACAGCAAATATAGCTCTGAATGCACAGAAAATTTCACAAGAAATTAAAGAAGGTTTCCAGGGATCGAAATGAAATAGGAGCTCATGCCAGAGTGGTGAGTACAACCATAAGCCAAAGCTGCCCTGGGGTGCGTGCGCTGGTGTCCGTATCCTGGACTTGGGTTTTGATGGCTTGGCCAGGAATAAGAGACCAAGTTTTCCATACGTCCTTGGTGAAGCATTGGAACTGAGACTCCTTACATCAGTGAGGACCCCACAAGAGCTATGCCTATAATACGAAGCTGAGCTAGGGAAAAAAAAAAATCCTTCCTCAAGCAAAGGAACCCAAAACAAACGCAAACATGTTTGTCTTGGCCAAGACGGTGAGTAGAGGAGGTCTCCTCTGAGAATGTGTAATCAAGCCCTGTCCTTATGTGAGTATGGTGTTGAATTTACTCTCTGATTGCTCCAGGAAACCCAAGGTAAGTGACTAGACTGAAGACGCACCATGCTGATAGCAGTCCTAAGAGAAAGACCTAAGAGAAACCAACACAAATCCTGTTGTAGAGGAAATCATTTCTATCCCAGGCTCTTCAGGAATCTCAAATAGAAAAGCCAGTCACATATGAGTTCACAATCAAAAATCATAAAAGACATGAGGACAAAAGTCACCTTCCTCAAGAGCCAATAAGATTAATATACAATACAGTCTCAAGAACCAAGAACTTTTAGTGTTAGAGTTATCAGATACAGATTGTAAAATAACTGCATTTAAAATATTTAAATAGGCCAGGTGCGGTGGCTCACACTAGTAATCCCAGCACTCTGGGAAGCCAAGGCGGGCAGATTGCTTGAGCCCAGGAGTTCAAGACCAGCCTGGGCAACATAGCAAAACTTTGTCTCTACCAAAAAAAAAAAAAAAAAAGCAAAAATTTGCCAGGTGTGGTTGTGGGCAGCAGTAGACCCAGCTACTAGGGTAGAAGGATAGCTTGGGCCTGGGAGGTCAAGGCTGCAGTGAGCTATGATTGCATCCCTGCACTCCAGACTGGGCAACAGAGAAAGAGAGAGCCTGTCTCAAAACAAAACAAATACATCAATATAAATAAATAAATAAAACATTTAAAGAAATAAAATGTATAATAAAAAATGACTGCAAATTTAGAGGCTCCCAAAATAACCACTGTAGTATTTGTGGTATAGTGGTTAGCATAGCTTCCTTCCAAAATAACCATATAACTTTAAAAAAAAAATAGAACTTCTAAACATGAACTATAAAATCATTAAAATTCAGAATTCAATGTGGTTTAAAGAGCTGAATGAACACAACTGAAAAGAGAATTGACCAGGTGTGGTGACTCATGCCTGTAATCCCAGCACTTTGGGAAGTGGATTGCTTGAGCTCAGGAGTTCAAGACCAGCCTGGGAAACATGGCAAAACCCCATCTCTACAAAAAATACAAAAACTTAGCCAGGCATGATGGTGCACACCTGTAGTACCAGCTATTTGGGAGGCTGAAGTAGAAGGATCTCTTGACCCCAGGAGGTTGAGACTTCAGTGAGCTGAAATCACACCACTGCACTCCAGCCTGGGTGACAAAAAAAGAGAATTAATGAACTGAAAGAGATTACCCAGAATGTAGCACAAAGAGACGAAGAAAGAATAATTTGGTCTAATATACACCTAATCAATGTTCCAAAACAAGAAAGCATATAGAACACAGAAGAGAAAATATTAAGAGAAGTGATGGCTGAGAATTTTAAAAAAATAGTGGAAGATGTAAATCTTCAGATTTAGATACTACAACAAATCTAAAGCAGGAGCCATAAAGAGACTATTGTATCAGTCTGTTATTGCATTGCTATAAAGAATTACCTGAGACTGGGTAATTTATGAGAAAATAGGTTTAATTGGCTCATGGTTCTATAGGCTGTATAGGAAGCATGGCTGGCAGGCCTCAGGAAACTTACAGCCATGGCAGAAGGTAAGGGAGAAGCAGGCACATCTTCACATGGCCAGAGAAGGAGGAAGAGCGAGAGAAGGGGCAGGTGCTACACACCAGCTCTTGTGAGAACTCACTCACCATCACGGGAACAGCAAGTGGGAAATCTGCTCCCTGTGATCCAATCACCTCCCACCAGGCCCCTCCTCCAACATTGGGGATTATAACTTGACATGAGATTCGGTCAGGGACACAAATCCAAGCCATATCTACCATCCAAGATACAGCATAGTAAAACCACAGAACACCAAAGGAAAAGGAAAAAAAAAACAATCTTTTTTGGCCAGTGAGAAATGACAGTTTCTCACTAATTAAACCACCGCCAGAAATCTTTAGCAACAACTATAAAATTCAGAAAATTATAGAATAATAACTTTAAAGCACCAAAAGACTCTCATTTTTTCTAATGTGTCAGCACTAAGCAAGTCTAAGAACTTTAAATATAATTTTATAAAATGGACATAAGAAGATGGCCCAACGAGAACTAAATTGGAATTTTTTTTTACTGGTTCATCAAGATGGGGGCTTACATTTAAAAATAAATATAAAAATAATAGGATGTGCTATTTCTTACCCACCTTCCCCCACAAAAAAAAAAAATTTAGAGAAAATATACCTAGCTAAACTATCATTCCATCCAAGATATAACATTAACCAATGACAAAGTCAAGAAATTCTGAGAGCCTGTGACCAACAGGTCCTCACTAAGGAACTATCCAAAGAATATACTTCAGGAGAGAGGAGATGACCTAGAAGGAGAGTCCAAGATTCAAGAAAAAATGGTAACTAAGTAAAGCAATAATCACATCAGAAGATCTAAAGCAAGTGTTGACAAACTATGGACCAAATCCAGTACATTGCCTATTTTTGTAAATAAAACTTTCTTGAAACACAACCACTCTTATTTGTTTATGGTTTTATGGCCGTTTCTGTAGTACAACAGCAGAGTTGAGTAACTGTGACATAGACCTTGTGGCCAGAAAATCTGTCCCTGCACAGAAAACTTCTGCTGACCCCTGATCTAAAGCATTTGCAAAACAACTGATTTGTGGGTTAAAAGAAAAAAAATCAGCATAAAATTAAATATTGATCTACAATAATATGTAAAACAGAGGATAAGTTATTTAAAGTATTCTAAGGTCTATGATTGTTCAGAGATAGAAATATTCTATTTAACTTTGGTCTCTAAGTTACTTAAGCATATCAAAATTTTAAGGGTACTGACTAAAAGAATAGAATAGGTCAAGTGCGGTGGCTTACGCCTATAATCCCAGCACTTTGGGAGGCCAAGGCGGGCAGATTACTTGAGGTTAGGAGTTCGAGACCAGCCTGGCCAACATGGTGAAGCCATATCTCTACTAAAAATACAAAAAAATTAGTCCGCAAGCCTGTAGTCTCAGCTACTCGGGAGGCTGAGGCAGGAGAATCTCTTGAACAGGGGAGCTGGAGGTTGCAGTGAACTGAGATCATGCCACTGCACTCCAGCCTGGGCAACAAAGCAAGACTCTGTCTCAAAAAAATGAATAAATAAATAAAATAAAAGAATAGGATAGAGTGAAAACTTCCAAAACAATAGAGAGGACAATGAAACTTACAAATACAATCAATCCAAAAGAAAACTGAAAAAGAAAATCCATAAAGCACAGAAAAGGCAGATCAAATAGAAAGCAGAAACTATAATGCAAGAAAGAAGATTAAATATATCAGTAAATGTAATGGAGTGACTAATATTTTCCAGTAAATAGAGAATGTCAGATTGAGTTTAAAAATACACACACACACACACATACACACACACACACCACACACACACACATATATACTAGTATACAAATGAGAGTTTGAAAGGCAAAAAAAATCTGGCATAATTTACTGATATCAGAGAAAATAAACTTTAAAGCAAGCAAGTATTATTATGAATAAAAAGGATTGCTATCATGATCAAAGGTTTGCTTCCCCAGGAAGGTAGTTTTATATTTGTTCATGATTAGTAGCACAATCTCATTTATAAGATAAAAATTACAGAACTACATGAGAAATTGTCAAATCCTTCAACAGAATGGAATAGGAAAACACACCTTTCCTAGGAATAAATAAAGCAAGCAGTAAATTACGGAAGGGTTGAACTACACAATTAACAAGCTTGACCTAATGAATATGCGTATGTGCGTCCCTGCACCAAACAATTAGGGGAATCATATTCCTCTCAACCACTCATGAAACATTTATAAAAACTGACCACACTGTAAGTCAGAAAGTTCTTTAAATTTTTGTAGGACTGGCATCTAATAGACCACATTCACCAAAATTTAATGGTTAGAAATCAGCAATAAAAAGGTAACTAAATCCCATGCATTTAGACATTTCAAAAACATACCTTAAAAAGATCTTTTTATTCTGAAAATCACAAGCACACTTTAATTCGTGGGTCAAAGAGGAAATTAGCATGGGAGTGTTTCACTACTTGAGACTGAACCATAATAAAATCTTATACATTTAAAGTGTTAGTATGCACTAAAGCAATACTCATAGGGAAATGTATAATCCTAACTGCTTATATCAAAAAGATAAAGAGTAAAAATTAATGATCAAATCATCTAATGTAAGAAGTTAGTGACAGAACACAGAATAAACTTGAGGAAAGTAGCAGGAAGAAAATAATAAACATAGAAATGCCAGGGCACGGTGGTTCACGCCTGTAATCCCAGCACTTTGGGAGGCCAAGGCAGGAGGTCAGGAGATCGAGACCATCCTGGCTAACAGAGTGACACCCCGTCTCTACTAAAAATACAAAAAATTAGCCGTGCGTGATGGCGGGTGCCTGTAGTCCCAGCTACTTGGGAGGCTGAGGCAGGAGAATGGTGTGAACCCGGGAAGTGGAGCTTGTGGTGAGCCGAGATGGTGCCACTGCACTCACTCCAGCGTGGGTGACAGAGTGAGACTCCGTCTCAAAAAAAAAAAAAAGAAAAAAAAAGATGAAAGGAATGAAGTCTAAAATAAAGATACAATAGATACAATAGAAAAAATTGTCAAAGCCAAAAATAGCTTCTTGGGAAAGACACAGAATGAAAAATGCTACATGATTTCACTTACATGTGAAATCCAAAACAAACAAACAAACAAAAACAACACTTGAATATGTAGAAATAGAGAATAGAACAGTGGTTACCAGGGGTGGGGGAGTGGGGAGATGGGGAGATGGAAGTCAAAGTGTACAAAGTTACAGTTATACAGAATGAATAAGTCTGGAGAGCCGATATATAACATCAAGACTGTAGTTAATAGTATTGCACTGTATACTGAAAATTTGCTAAGAAGGTAGATTTTAGGTACTTTCACCATGAAAAATAGCTAACTATGTGGGATGATGAATATTTTAATTTGTCTGTAATAATCATTTTACTATGTATATGTATATCGAAGCATTTTGTACACCAGAAATATATACAATAAAAAAAATAAATATTCCATTGAGAGCATTTAAAAAAAAAGTGGGGGAAAGGCATCATATCATGATTTTAAAAGGCATAACTCAAAGCGAACAGGCTGAGCGCAGTGGCTCATGCCTTTAATTCCAACACTTTGGGAGACCAAAGCGGGAGGATCGCTTGAGGCCAGGAGTTCAAGACTAGCCTGGGCAACATAGCAAAACCCTGTCTCTACAAAAAAATATTTTTTTGAGACAGAGTCTCATTCTGTCACCCAGGCTGGAGTGTGGTGGTGCTATCTCGGGTCACTGCAACCTCCACCTCCTGAGTCCAAGCAATTTTCCTGCCTCAGCCTCCCGAGTAGCTGGGATTACAGGCACCTGCCACCAAGCCCCACTAATTTTTATATTTTTGGTAGAAATGGGATTTCACCATGTTGGCCAGGCTGGTCTCAAACTCCTGATCTCAAGTGAACCGCCCACCTCAGCCTCCCAAAGTGCTGGGATTACAGGCGTGAGCCACTGCTCCTGGCCCTCTGCAATAATTTTAAAAATTAGTCAGGTGTGGTGTCACATGCCTGTAGTCCCAGCTACTCAGGAGGCTGAGGCGAGAGGATCACTTGAGCCCAGAGTTCAAGTCTGCAGTGAGACGTGATTGCACCATTGCACTCCAGCCTGGGAGACAGAGTGAGAACTTGTCTCTTAAAAAATATTTTTAATTAAAACAAATTTTAAAAGAGAACAGATTAAATAAAGATAACAAGAAAGATGATGTACATAGTAAGAAAACCAGAAACATCCTAATATCTAAAAACAGAAGAAGAAATGGACATTGTCTTGGGGGGAGAAAGTTTATCCAGGTCACTCAAGAAGAAAGAGGAGACTTGAACACTCCTGAAATAACTAAACAGATTGAATCTGTACCTTATCCAATAACAAAGAACAAACTCACAGAAATGCCCCCAAATAAGTATATAAGCTTTTGGTTTTGTAAGTTTTTTTCTTTTATTCCTATTCATCACTTACAGTAAAGTTATTCATAGCCTATAAAGCTAAGATCTTCAGCTACCAAATCTGATGACTGGAGATTATCTGCTACCAAATCTGATAATTGGAGATTCAGGGAAAACTGCGTAACCAGATACTTCAAACTTCAAGAGAATCAGTCATTCGATCTCATAAACAGCATGTAAGTTCCCTAAAACAACAGAGTAAGGCATTGATGTTTAAGGAACTTCGACCCAACACTTGGGAAAAGTTGAGTTTCACGTTAAAGATGCGAAGAGTCAATGAGATGTTAAGTGGCCCAGATAAGAAATTAAGATCTTCCATCCCCTGAGTTTTCCCATGAAACCCAAAGTGAATCTAAAAAGTCCCCAAAATCTTTCTGGAGCAGATGTTCAAAGCGTCCCAGGCTGTAGTTCTGTAGTTCTCTGAGCTACAAGTTTCACCCCTCACTTGGGCTAAAATTCCCCCTTTAATGTCTCCAGGGCACTCATGGCAAACCCTCAATTCCCACCTCGCTCCCCCGTCAAAAAGCTGCTTGCTTTTTGCCTCAGAAACCTGGAAAAAGTGAAGAGCAGGTGGTTTTGGAGTGTCAGAACTGAAAACGAATGTTTAGCCTTGGAATGAAGAGGGAGCTGGTAGGCACAGGAGACTGAGATCTCAAGACGGCTCTTCTAGCACACATAGAAGGAAAGAGCTATGCCCCAGTATCCAAGGGCACTTCTAAGATGCTACTTAATCCTGTTATGTCTGGTAGTCATGGGCAGTGGACAAGAAAGAAGGACAGGAACACAATACAGCCATGGTCTTTTCCTACCCAACCCCACCCTGTGACCCCACCTGTCCACATTCAGCACAAGCTTAGTGAATGCAATTAAACTTCCATGCCCAATCCACTGGAAACTGGAAATGTGGCTTGTAAATGACCCACCTTCTTCTGCTATGATGGTGCCTATTGAAGCCAGTATTGCACTCTGTAACAACCAGCGGGGAACTATGGAAAAGGCAAGACTTGGAAGGACCAGGGACCAGAGCTTATATCCTGCATCGGGGTGGTCTCACATCTCACCATTTAGGATATGCCTCAGCAAAATTTAATTTTAATGTACCGTTACAGAAGCTTTCGTTGAAAACTCCAATCCCTGCAGACTTGCTATTGGCCCTGGAGTCATAGCATTGCCTTGTTTCTTGGCTGAGGCAGCCCTGGGCATGACTTGAAGTTCCCGTGGTCCTGGAAGTTTCTGTTGCAAGCTATCACTGCCTCTACAGACCTGGCAGCACTGTGGCAGGTACTACTGTCACTAGCAGGAATGGCCAAAGAGCATCTTGCCTCATACCTGTGCCCTGTACCTCTTTCTCTGTCATTCCAGGGCTCCCACATTGCTGTTGGGGTACAGGATGCCTCAGGACCCACTAAGCACTTAGCCTGGAAATTCTGGGTAAACTTTGAACAGTGGAAGACAGATGTCAATAGATCATTTCTTTCATCCCTTTCCCTCTTGGCAACGTGGCCTCTCTGAAGACAACCCGAGAAACTGAGATATCACCATTGACGTTGTGCAAAGTGGGCAATACATGTCCTTATATTTGCTCTCCCTCCTTTTGGGCTGACTCCTGCTACCCTGGGATGGCACTCCCCAATAACGTGTTGAGCTTTAAGCCCTGAAGCTTAAGACACTATTCTTTAAAAGTGAGTTTTGGCTGGGAGCAGTGGCTCACACCTGTAATTCCAGTGCTTTGGGAGGTCAAGGCAGGAGGATCACTTGAGGCCAGGAGTTTGAGACCAGCCTGGGCAACATAGTGAGACCCCATCTCTAAAAAAATATAAAAATTATCTGAGAATGGTGGTACACGCCTGTAGTCCCAGCTACTCAGGAGTCTGGAGCAGGAGGACCGCTTGAGACCAAGAGTTGGAGGATGCAGTGAGCTAGAATCACACCACTGCACTCCATCCTGAGTGACAGAACGGGACCCTAAAAAAAATGGGTTTTATCTTTGTCACTTTGTGCTGCCACCTTTAGAAACTGCCCTCCTAGTTTTATGGGCCATGAGCCCAAACCAACGCTGACCACTCACACAGTACTCCAGCCCACCCCTTCCCCAGTCCCACCCTCACACTAAATCCATTAGAGAACTAAGCAATAGATTATGTACAAAACAAAGACTCAGCTTCAACTTCTGCAAAAGAGCTTTCTACTTGAGCATGCCACAAACATACTTTTGTCCTGTAGCCAGAAAGGGAACACTGAAGAATCTGTTTTCAAGCAAAGTCTCGTTCAACAAAATATGAGCTAAGGGGGAAGGAGTGGCACCATGCTTCAAGGCAGATTGTCATCACAAATTAAAGCATTTTAACACTCAAATATAATAGCTTATTTTCTGACAGCTGGGTGGCTTCCTCAGATTTTATTAACAAGAAAAAAAATTAATTGTATAAAATCAGAATGTTTGAAAGTAATTTCTCTCATCACACATAAGGGTGATATAAAACAGAGATATAATAGAAAATTAAAAACTTTGCTAGTCCACTAGGTATTATGTCACATCTTATGGTCCTGAATCACTAGATTTCAAAAAAAGAAAAGCAAATGAAGTTACTATTATGGCTTTTTTTTTGGAAGACGGAATCTCGCTCTGTCACCTAGGCTGGAGTGCAGTGGTACGATCTTAGCTCACTGCAGCCTCAATCTCTCAGGCTCAAGTGATCCTCCCACCTCAGCCCCTCGAGTAGCTGGGACTACAGGTGCGAGCCACCATGCCCTACTAATTTTTGTATTTTTAGTAGAGACAGGGTTTCACCATGTTACCCAGGCTGGTCTCGAACTCCTGACATCAAGTGATCCTCCCAGCTCGGCCTCCCAGAGTGCTGTGATTACACAGGAGTGAGCCATGGTGCCTGGCCTAAAATAAAATATTTTTACATGAAATATTTTCTTTAATGATTAGAATTTTAATTAATAGACAGAAACACAGGAGGATATTATATAGCCCTAGTGGCCATTCTCTTCTATATCGAATGTTGCCACCTCATGATTAGGAACAGAGAGGTCTTGTGATGTTTGTTGGTTCTTTAATAAACCACAAGACATGAGTTTTTCTTTTTATTTTCTTTCTTTTTTTTTTTTTTTGAAGTGGGATCTCACTCTGTTGCCCAGACTAGAGTACAGTAGCTCCATCATAGCTCACTGCAGCCTCCATCTCCTGGGCTCAAGGGATCCTCCCAGCTCAGTCACCTGAGTAGCTGAGACTAGAGGCATGCCGGCCACCATGCTTGGCTAATGTTTGTATTTTTTGTAGAGACAGACAGGGTCTTGCTGTGTTGCCCAGGCTGGTCTTGAACTCCTGAGCTCAAGCAATATAATCACCTCGGGGTCTCACTATGTTGCCCAGGCTGGATATGAGTGTTTCTATGGGAACATTTATGTCTTTTTCATAAATTCGTTCTCCTTTTTCAATGATGCTAAATATACAGCACAAATATCAATACTAACATGAAATTTGAAAGGAGACGTGTGCTTTATACAAGCAAATGTGGTCAGTCATTGCTATTTATCCAACTTTTCAAACAGACTCACAAAGATAAGCATGGAAGATTACAACTACACAAGTGTGCTAAATGTGCTGCCTCATGTGAGATCCTGAATAGGTGGAAGATAGGTAGATACCCTCCATTCATTCAAAGGGACAAACAAAAACATTTACTGAGCATGGCTATCTCCCAGACACTGGACTTATCATTCTATATACATTATTTCCTCTGACTCTGTAATAGTTAGGGTAACGTTAGCTGCTCTAACAAATAAACCCCCCAAGTCTCCGTGGATCATCACCCTCTCCTCTAATTATCTACTGTAGATGTTCCTGGTTAATGCACATATTTTTTCCATACAGTGAATCCAGGACTTGGTTTTTTTTCCATCTGTGGCCTCCACCTGTATCTCCCAGGATCCTGGAGTCTTCTTCGGTTTTCTCCCAGTTGGCAGGCAAGAGAAGAAGACGTGGAGGAGGCATCCAGTCGTCTAAATGTGTTGGCTCATATGTACACAGATCACGCCTGTCCACGTGGTGAGCCTAGTTCCAGCCTCACCTGGATACAAGATGAGAACCAGCAAATGCATCACCTGGTTAGACGCCACCCAGAAACAACTGTACATTACATAAAGGGAAGTGCATGTTTTAGGGCAAAACTAGCCATCTCTGCAACAAATGCTCTCTCTTTCTCTCTCTTCCTCCTTCCTTTTCTCCCTCTCTCTCCCCCTCTCTCCCTCCCTCTCTTCCTCCCTGTATCTCTCTCCCTCCTCCTTCCTCCCTCTTCTTTTTTTCTCTCTCTCTCCCTCATTCTCTCTCCCTCTTTCTCTCTCTCAAACACATATACCTACAGCTGTGCACACACAAACAAACACTATGAAGTCGGCATATTTTCTTTTCCATTTTACTAATGACAAAATGAACCAAGAGAAGTCTTATACATTCTCTGAGGTCTCAGAGTAAATGGGTTGTGATAATAATCCCAGTCTGGGAGACTCTAAAATCCTGACTCTTTCTAATGTATCATGTGATTTATAACAATAATTTGTACAGCCCCTTTGATAGAAAAGTGCTTAGGGCTTATTGGGAACTGGTGTGTGAAGTGACATGTCCTCCCTCAGTTCATATAAATAATGTATTTCTTACCATCTTACCAATCAATTTGGATTGAATTAGTATGTATCCCAAAGGGCTTGAACAAACGACATATTTATTTATTTACTTATGAGGTTTTTTTTTTCAGATTCATTTTAGAGAACAGCAAAATATTTTTATAGCATAATTTTTAACATGGCAAAAATTATTTTACAAGATACATTGGTTTGGTTGTAATTTGAATGGAATACTTATATTCATAATGTTTTAAACAACTTTGATTCGGTTTATGGTTCACTAAAAATAAAAGCGATACTTGGAATTGGTTCTGCCTAGGTTCAGGAAATTAATGTGGTTAGTTCTGGTTTATAGTTCAATGGAGTTCTGGGTCCTGGTAAAAACAGAGTCTCATTTCAAGCAAAATAGATTGCTACATGTTTTTAAAAATATCTTTCACTGTAAAGTTGTTTCCTTGTGCTTTGAGGCAGTACATCTTTGATAAGATGAACAGCCCTGGGCCAGGTGTGGTGGCTCATGCCTGTAAGCCCAGCACTTTGGGAGACCGAGGCAGGAGAATCACTTGAGGCCAGGAGCTCGAGACAAGACTGGGCAAGATAGAGAGACCCTGTCTTACACAAAAATAAAAAAAAATATATTAGCCAAGCATGGTGGTGATCGCCTGTAGATGCGGCTATTTGAGAGGCTGAGGCAGGAGGACGGCTTGAGCCCAGGAATTCAAGGCTGCAGTGAGCTATGATGGTGCCAGTGCACTCCAGCCTGGGTGACACAGCAAGACCCTGTCTCAAAAAGAGTGGTATTTCTGAGTTGAGGTTTCCGGAGAACCTCACCTGGAAAGTAAGCATGAACATGTTCCAGCTATTTGGATCAGTATAATGAGCCAATCCAAAACTTAGTGACATAAAACAGCCATTGCATTATGCTCATGGATTCTGTAGGTCTGAAATTTAAGAAGGACACTGGAGAACAGCTTGTCTCTGTTCTACAATGTCTGGGGCCTCAGCTAGAAAGCCTCGAAGGCTGTGAGTGACATGACAGCTAGAGGCTGAAACCATTTGAAGAAATCTGGGGGTTGATACTGACTAGGACCTCAGATGAATCTGTTGGCTAGGACATCACCATGTGACCTCCCCACATGGCCTGGGTTTTCTCATTGCATGGTGGCTGCATTCCAAGAGCAAATATCTCAAGAGAACAAAGCAGAAGTGAAGGACATTTTAATGACCTACTTGAGAAATCATATGGCATCATTTCCACCATCCTCTATTGGTGGAGGTGTTACAGGAAATGGCTCCCGATCCCAATCCCAAGACCCTGAGTGAGGGTTCTTGGATCTCACACAAGAAAGAATTCAGGGTGAGTCCACAGTGCAAAGCAAAAACAAGTTTATCAAGAAAGTAGAAGAATAAAAGAACGGCGGCCAGGCACGATGGCTCATGCCTGTAATCCCAGCACTTTGGGAGGCCGAGGTGGGTGGGTGACCTGAGGTCAGAAGTTCGAGATCAGCCTGGCCAACATGGTGAAACCCCATCTCTACTAAAAACAGAAAAAAATTAGCTTGGCGTGGTGGCAGGCGCCTGTAGTCCCAACTACTCAGGAGGCTGAGGCAGGAGAATCACTTGAACCCAGGGCGGAGCTTGCAGTGAGCCAAGGTTGTGCCATTGCACTCCAGCCTGGGCGAGAGAGCAAGACTCCATCTCAAAAAAAAAAAAAAAAAAAAAAAAAAGAATGCTACTCCATAGACAGAGCAGACCTGAGGGCTGCTGGTTGCCCATTTTTATGGTTATTTCTTGATGATATGCTAAACAACGGGTGGATTTTTCATGCCTCCCTTTTTAGACCATATAGGGTAACTTCCTGACATTGTCATGGCATTTGTAAACTGTCATGGTGCTGATGGGAGTGTAGCAACAAGGATGACCAGAGGTCACTCTTATTGCCATCTTGGTTTTGTTGGGTCTTAGCCAGCTTCTTTACTGCAAACTGTTTTATCAGCAAGGTTTTTATGACCTGTATCTTGAGCTGACCTCCTATTTCATTCTGTGACTTAGAATGCCTTACCTGTCTGGGAATGCAGCCCAGTAGGTCTCAGCCTCATTTTACCCAGCTCCTATTCAAGATGGAGTTGCTCTGGTTCAGACGCCTCTGACAGAGGCAATTGCAAAGCTCTTCCTAGGCTCCAGGCTAGGAGACAGGGAACACATCATTAAATGAAAGGGTTGTCAAGGTCACATGTTGGAAGAGGCTGCGGGAGGGGAGAGATTGCTCTATCTTTGGAAAATACAGTCTACTATCAGGAATTCAAGTGATACAGTCAAGAAGGTGGCAGCTGCCTCTCCACTGTTTCTCTTAAGTTGCTGCTGTTCCCTGAATCACCGCAGGTGTGGCCATGCTTCTTCACCATTCTTCCCCACAGTGGAAGCCAGGCCAGACTATAATGCTTGATGGACTTCGAGAAAGGCTTGGAATTAACAAGAGAATGACAATGCTGACAACTTCCCTCTATAGACTAGCTGTAGCTGTTCTCAGATGCACAGACTTGGCCCCTGAAGAGTAGAACTCTCATTCCCAAGGTCCTGGAATGCCACCAGGTTGTAAGAGTCAGCCTCTCTCCCAACAGCAGCAATACCCAGGAAGGTAGCTCCTCCACTCAACATCCAGGACATAGTTCTCTGAGGCACAAGTAAAGTCTGTGGTCTCCCACTCCAATCTGTCCTTCTCACCCCAAGCTGGTTGGCAGTGGAATACATCCCTTCAAATTTAAGATCTAATCATTGGGTTCCCCCAAAAAAACATCAGAACACTTCAGTATGATATTGTCTATTTCTCAGAGCATAGAGCATTGAATACTGAGTCCACCAGGTATGGGGCTTCCAAAGAATAGTCCAGGCTAGGTTTCAGCCATTCTGTTCAGGCCCTTGGTATTCTCATCCAGCAGAAAGGTAAGAACATGTCTTCCTCTGTCTTCCAGGTTGAGCTCACAATTTCCTGTGAGCAAATGCATAGGAATACATACACCCACAGCTTCTATATAATCACAGCCAATATATAATCACACTTGACACTCAAAATTACCTATTGCAATAGGTATTCATTTTGCATACTAGGAAACAAAGGCTTAGCAGAAGTGAAGGGGCATGTTCAAGTGTCTTAAACTAGGATTAATAGCTTAGCCTCTAACTCCCAGTTTTTCTCTCCCTTGGACTACATTGGCAGTGCAGATTCAGAAATTGTAATTTTGAGTCTCACGCCCATGAGTCAATATTTCCTACTTGATATTAACCAATTCATCATTTCCTTTACAGGAGCCTTTGCCACGGGTTGTAGGTAGCTCCCCTATCTCCCTCCTCCCTCTCCAACCCTCCCTTTTGAGGCCATCAATTTATTTCCCATCATTATCGCTTTGGTTTTCAGTTTTCCCTAAGTGATAGAATACCTTGTATCCCAAAGAGAAATGCCGCTACTCTGCGAAGCCAGCCTTTGAGTCTCTTTTTAAAGAGAGTTCCTACAGTGTGGCAGATTTTAATGACCTCCATCTCTCATGCCTGCATTAGGTCACCTGAGCCACGCTGCTCAAAATGGTCTAACCACCTCATAATGCAGGCCGAGGCAGGCTCAGACTCACTGTGGGGCACCCGGCCTAATTCATTATACTACTCAAAGCCATATATCACAGGATTCTCCCACCTTTTCTCCCTTCCCTCCTACCAAAAGGAGAGCTCACATGAAATCTATTTACATGGAATGATTATTCAATTAATTTTTTCATTACATTTGCCGGAAAGCATTGCCAGGATTTCTAAAGCTGTCCTGTGTGTTTGCATTAATGATGGCAGTGGTTCATGATACTTAATTTAGCAATCGTGGCCCATTTGGAGGTCATGCCCTGCCATATGCAGACTGGAGACAGTGGAGGGGTGGCTTCCTGGTCAGGAACACGTGAGTGCCTGACACGTGTTTAGGAAATGGAGGTATTAACATCTCTGCAAGCTGTCCCCACTGCTCCATCCCCACTGTGGTAAGCCTTAACACAAGCTTGGACCCATGTCCTTTCTAGCCCTAATTCCTTTCTCTGTCTGTTTGATGCCTTCCAACCCAAGGGGGAAGCTGAAGCAGGAGGATCTCTTGAGCCCAGGAGTTCAAGGCTGCAGTGAGCTATAATCACACCACTGCACTCCAGCCTGGGGGCTGGAGTAAGACCCTGTCTCAAATAAATAACTAAAGTGTACATCTGACTTTGTGGCTCCCTTGTCTCATACACATCAGTGGTACCCAGTGGCCCAGGGAATAGAATCCAAGCTGCTGGCTTGCCTTGCATGCAATACTCTTTGTGATCCAGCCTTGACCCCCCTGGCCTCAGCTCTCACTACCTACTCTCCCAAGATGAGATCCACGTTTCAACCCAACACCACTAAACCACCACAACTTCTCAGACATACAAGCCCTCCCTGGTGCCCACACTATTCCCTCTGCCTTGAAATGTCCTTTACCTTCTTGACCACCTGGAAAATGTGCTCCCATTATCGAATACCCAGCTCAAATATCACTTCTTTGGAGATGATTGCTTACACCTCCAGAGAAGGTCTAGCAATCCTTCTCTGTGGCCTCCAAGCACATTGTACATGCTTTAATCACAGCCCTTACCTCATATTCTAATTACTTGCTTAGAGTTCTGGTCATCCTTTCTTCTTCTTTTTTTTTTTTTTCTTTTCAATAGAGACAGGGTCTCACTCTGTTACCCCAGCTGGAGTGCAACGGTGTGATCATAGCTCACTGCAGCTTGGATCTCCTGGGCTCAAGGGATCCTTCCGCTCTCAGCCTCCCAAGCAGCTGGGACTGCCACCATGCCCAGCTAATTTTAAAAAAAATTTTTTAGGGACAAGGTCTCACTATGTTATCCAGGTTAGTCTCAAACTCCTGGCCTCAAGTGATCCTCCTGCCTTAGCCTCCCAAAGCACTGGAATTACAGGCATGAACCACCATGCCCAACCGCTGGTCACTCTTTCTTGTACTCCTAATATGGGGACATTCAAATGAGTACTTTTAAAAAAATACGGATTATTTGTAATTCAACTAGACCTATGGAGAAGCCCAGGAATTGGTGTTTTTAAGTTTCCAAAGCTGTTTTCTTTTGCTACCAGCCTGGCAAAATCCATGAACCTTGAGTTTGGGAACAACCACCCCAGCATGTGGCCTGCCTCAGCCCAGACGTCTGATGATTGCTCCCTGGATGAATGGAGGAAAGTGTATCTGTTGAGCAGGTGGGGTCACAGAGGAAGGTTATGCTGATGAAGGTGAGGAGAGTAGCTGGCCTTTCCTTCCTCTGACCATTATAGGCCAATGCTGATCTAAGACAGATCCTAGTTCTACAAACCCATTTAAAAAGAAACGGATGATTGATGGGCATTTCGAGTGGATAAAGAAACTGTGATATATATATATATGATGGAATACTACTCACCCATAATAAGGAATGAATTAATGGCATTCACAGCAACCTGGATGAGATTGGAGACTATTATTCTAAGTGAAATAATTCAGGAATGGAAAACCAAACATCATATGTTCTCACTCATAAGTGGGTGCTAAGCTATGAGGATGCAAAGGCATAAGAATGACACAATGGACTTTGGGGACTCAGAGGGGAGAGTGAGAAGGGGGTGAGGGATAAAAGACTACAAATTGGGTGCAGCATATACTGCTTCGGTGATGGGTGCACCAAATCTCACAGATCATCACTGAAAAACTTACTCACGTACCCAAATACCACCTGTTCCCCAATAATCTATGGAAATAAAAAATTTTTTTAAAAAAGAAATGGGTGAGACATCAATTTGGGTCTCATTTAAGTGCACTTTGACTTCTAGGTTCCAAATACAGTGTATCCCATCACCCTCACATCTGCCCTTTCCTGTGGGTTCCTTGTCCTTAGCCCACACAGCCTCAGGATCTACTGCTGAAAGTCCAAGGATGCCTGTGGAAATCCCAGCCCCCGCTCACTTTGTCCAGGCACTGGGAGACCCTCCCAGATCCACTGGCCCTCTGGGCTGTAAACCAACATTGTAAATGTCACCTCCTGTTCTACTGTGGCTGAAGTTAAGCCGCCTAGACTGCTTCTGCTTCCTTTCTGGAGGGCCGACATTTCAGGGGGCTTGTTCATGGCTCCCGAATTGTCTTCCCCTCCTGGATTTACTTAGAGAAAGCAAGCTCCTTCTGAAGCACTGAGTAACTGATTATAAGACTTTTGCTGGTCAGGCGTTCATCATTGGTTTGGCAATATCCTCACTGGATGGATAGAAACCTTTCCCTGTGAGGACCGGCGAGTGGAGTGGGGAATTTGTCTCTCCTTGTGGCTACGGAAATGGCTGCTAAGTTCACGTTGGAAACTGTGATGCCTTTGTGAAAAGAACTGGTCCTCCCTACCATGCAGGGTTGGGGCAACCTCTGCGCATTGTTGACATAAGGTTCACAGAATTCGCTGTCTGCTGGGTGCTGTCTCCTGGCTGCCTCCCAGGTCATTGAAATGCCTGCCACCGACACCACCATAAGCTTCCTGACTTGGACACTTTACCTTCCTAGAAGTAACCAATATATTTTTAGGGACTGAGCTCTTAGCTAAGTCATCATTACCCATCATGCCCTAGGTGAGAACATTCCAGGGAAACCTAGAAAATTATAGGGAAATCAAAAAAATATGAGAAAAAGTGGAAAAAACTAACATTTGATGAGTTTCTCTTCAGTGCCTGGGATAAAACTATATCCTTCTACTAAAGGTTTACAACTACCTCCTGACAAAGGTAGTATTCTCCCCGTTTATGCATAGGGAAACTGAGGCTCCTATGGGCTGGGTTACTTGCCTGATTTTGTATGGATGTCAAGGCCATGGCTATCTGACCCCCAAAGCCTTAATCTTTTCATTATTCAATCCTTTCTCCAAGTGGGTCCTTCCAGCAGGGCCTGAAGTAAAAGTCTGAGGTTTTGTGTACCTATTGGGCATTTTAATTTGGGAAAATCATGTAAAGAAAGAGACAGTGCTTGGAGTACACATTCCCAAGGCTTCAGCAGCGTGAGACCTCAAGGTTCTAGAAGAGTGAGCTCCAGAGGGCTCAAGGCTCAAGACCCCTTCACTACTGAGCTCTGGAAGCTCAGCCCTCTCTGATCCTCTGGCGAACACACGGAGAGGCAATTGGCCAATTCATTTCTTTGGAAAGAGCCAGCTGTGAGAATTCAAAATTGAACACACATTTATTAAGAACATACACTGTGCAGGTATTGAACTATGGGACAGAAATGGGGCGAAGAAGGAGAAAATTCAAAAGAATGATTAGATGAAGATGTCTGTATTAGTCTGTTTTCATGCGCTAATAAAGACATCCCTGAGACTGGGTAACTTATAAAGAAAAAAGAGGTTTAATAGACTCACAGTTCCACGTGGCTGGGGAGGCCTCACAATCATGGTGGAAGGCAGAAGGTGAAAGGCGCTTCTCACCTGGTGGCAGACAAGAGAGAATGAAGACCAAGTGAAAGGGGTTTCCCCTTATAAAACCATCAGCTCTCGTGAGACTTATTCAATACCATGAGAACAGTATGGGGGAAACTGCCCCCATGATTCAATTATCTCCCACAGGCTCCCTCCAACAGCATGTGGGAATTATGGGAGCTACAATTCAGATGAGACTTGGGTAGGGACACAATCAAATCATATCAATGTCTTCAAGGAGACAGAGAGAGGATAGACTCACAAAGGCATAACTACAATAAGCCTGAGAGTCTCCCTGCATTCTGATAACTAGAAATGTGCTTAAAATGTGGGAGTGAGTCCACAAGGGGCAATTCATTCTGGTGGGCAAAAGGGGTGTAGGGAAAACAGGCATTTGAAGAATGAAGAGAACATTCCCCCGCTGTGGCCCCAGCCTGTGTGAGGGTAGCTGGCGGGATATGGGCCTCCGGAGTGGTCAATTCCCTCCCATCCACATAAAGGTGGCAGGTGATTATTTTATGTCCCCAGGCAGATTTATTTAACTTCTTTTTGGTAGAGACATATAAATGTGATCATAGTCCCTGCTGTAAAGTTTTGCAGGCCCTTTTAAAAACTTGGGCTCTTAATTCACTTCATTGCCTACCGGGGACAGTGGAGTCTTCCACGGATACTTCAGGGGGAGAAAGGAGGCGGGACTTTCATCAGCACCAGTCCTGTCTCCTGAGGGGCCTTCTCCTTTGCTTCCTTCCTGCTCCCCTCCCTTCCCCCTCCCCCTCCCCTCCTCTCCCCTCCCCTCCTCTCCTCTCCTCTCCCCTTCCCTCTCCTCTGGACTTTGTGAAATCTGGGTGGTAAAGTCAGCTGGCCAGCCACAAAAAGACATGGGAGTCCTTTGTGATGTGTAGGATGGTTTCGTGAAGGTCCTTCTGCTTTCTGCTGTCAGGATGCCCATCACTTTCTGCCTCAGCCTCCCAGGAATCACCACCTGTGGGCAACCATCTCAGTTCCTCTCTTGGGGATTAGCAAAGACTCCGCAGTCATCGGGTCAGTAGACCAGTTCTCTGTTTCCCAGACACAAAGCCAGGAATTCCAATGCTAGTCTTTAAGCTACTCGATGGCCAAGGTTCCTCTTCCATTATCTAACTAAACACAAGGTTAACCTATAACTTTCCTATAACTTGAGCTCACTGGTCTTCATCTGAAACTGTCAGGGGAATCTGTGAAATGTCTCCTGATGTTATGGAAAAGGCCATATGGCCTTCTGCCTGTGTCACTGAAGAAGGAAAACCAAGAGCTCTTTAATCTCCTTTGCATTGTTATTAAAATTAATATGTGGGCCGGGCACGGTGGCTCACTCCTGGAATCCCAGCACTTTGGCAGGCCAAAGCAGACGGATCACTTGAGGCCAGGAGTGTGAGACCAGCCTGGCCAACATGGTGAAACCCCATCACTACTAAAAATACAAAATTTAGCCAGGCATGGTGGCAAAGGCCTGTAATCCCAGCTACTCAGGAGGCTGAGGCAGGAGAATCACTTGAACCTGGGAGGCAGAGGTTGCAATAAGCCCAGATTGTGCCATTGCACTCCAGCCTGGGTGACAGAGTGAGACTCTGTCTCAAAAAAAAAAAAAAAAAAAAAAAAAAATTAGTATGTGATCTTTCTAGGAAATTTGAAATATTCTAGAATGTATTTAAAGAAAAAACTCACAACTTCACAATCCAGAGATAGTCACTGTTAACATGTTGGTAGATTTTCTTCACACATATACACATGATTTGCAATTTATTACTTTCTCCTGCTATTTTCATCAACTAGTCATCATAAGAAGCCCATCTAGCACAGCCATAGGCTCCTGTGAGAAATCTTGGCCCAGAATAGTCACTGATTGGCCTTTATTATCTTTGTTCTTGTATCTTATAAGTAGCAGCACAGAGAAGTCTATAGGAACAAGATGCTTGGAACTTTGGGGTTTGTGACATTGTACACATTAGATTTTAAAATGTGTAGGTTCTAAGTTAGGATTCAGTTAGGAATCTCTTGGTTGTGACAGAAAATATACTCAAAGTGCCTTAAGCAGAAGGGTTAAGGCACTTCAGGGATGTGTTGGTTCACACTACTAAAAATTCAGGGAGAAACAAATAATTAGACATGGTGGAATTCAGAGATTCACACTATGCCACTAAGACCTGGGCTTTCTCCACCTCAGCTCTGCTGCTGTGTGATTTCCAGCTCACCTTGGCTTTGTCTTCATGGTGGCAAAATGGCAGTGAGCTGCTCCAGGTTTGTCTTCATGACCTCATGGCTAGAAATCATGAAGATTTGAAGAAAATTTCAAATCAAGTTCTAGCCAAAGTCCCATATCATTGGGTTTGAAGCAGTCACCTGCTCATCTCTGAGCCAATCCCATGTCCCAGATGATATGGCTCTCTGATTGGCCAGACCTTTGACACATGCCCTTTCCTGGAGCCAATAGGAGTAGTCTCTGCCTCCAAACTTAATGGGCTAAGAAGGGAGAGGTCCTCCCCTGCAAGGAACTGGGGCACTATCACCAATGTTACAATCTTCTGAAGGAATCAGTGTTAATGACACAGTCCATTGCTGTGGTTGCTGCTACCATGTATGCAAAGGATTCCTGCTCACACCTCCAGGGGTGCTGATGCTGAGACATGAGTAGCAGGAGAGAAATACAACATGTGACTTTCTATCTTTTGATGAACGATACACTTCAAAGAAGACTTACAGAGTGATGCCTGACCCTCTTACCCTCAGCCCTAAGTTTCAAAACCCAGGTTAAATACCTTGCTAAATTCCACCTGCTTTGTGATATTGAATGAAGTCCAGCCTCTGGTCCCATCATCTAGCACAGCCATGGGCTCCTGTAAGAAGTCTTGGCCCAGAATAGTCACTGATTGGCCATTGCTTAACTCTTCCTTTGTTCTTGTATCCTGTTGGTAGCAGCAGAGAGAAATCTGCAGGAATAAAATGCTTGGGTCTTTGGGATTTGCGAGACTACACACATTAGATTTTAAAATGTATAGATTCTAAGACTTATCCAGATGTTAGTTTTCAATGTCTCGTTTGTCATTAGTTTCACTGTGTTTGCACACTTCTTGTAACATTTTTGAAAAATTTGAAAACTTTCAGTAAATGTCTTGGCACTAAAAAAGCAATGATAAAATAAAATGTATAAGTTCTAGATATGTGAGTGTTAGTGCCATGTAGAATATAGGAGGGCTCCCATCACAGCAATCAGAACAAAAGGAAAGGATGTTGGTGAACAAAAATAACCATGTGCACAGCAAGCATTTTCCCATGTCCTTAAACATTCTCTGAAAGCATGATTTTAATGGCTGCTTAATACACAATTATGAAATGCGCCATATTAACCAATCACTGTTGGATGCTTTTCTAGTTGTGTTTGTTTTCAACTGTTATAATATAATGCTATAAGGAACATCCTTACATATAAATCTTTAACTGCTTCTTTATTTTCTCAGAATAAATTCCCATCAGTGGAAGTATTTGGTGATAGCCTCAGAAAAGCATTAAATTACAGAACCACCCACTAGGTGTGTCCTGGATCTCACCTGACCCTTATCACAATGGAGAATCTGAATCTTGGCCATTCATTCAGACCGTCTTAATTTGCGCATTCCCTTGCTTTGTGAACATGAGGAAAAGAGAATACTGGGATTGAAGGGTAGTGTAAAGTAGATAACAGGCTACAAGTGATTTCTGCCATTCAGCCTTGGAAGAGTTAAAGTTAAATCTAAATAAGAAAGTGAAGTCAAAAGCTATAGTTTGTTGAGTTGTATATGGAATGAAGTCGTGACAATGTCCCTCCGGACTCCTTCTTGACGTGAAACTGCTCTGAACAGTGTGATATTGGTAGAACCTTCGGTTTTGGGCAAGTCAACTAGAAAAAATTCTTTTGTCCACCATTTAGTGTTTGTTAAAGTCAACTAAATATGTTAAATAAAATCTACTTTTTTCTATCTAATCATTCAAGCTACATAGAGACAAAATTTAATCCAGTGATTCATTCATTCAATAAATATTTCATAAGATTTTTATTTGAAAGACATTATTCTAGATACTTGAGGCTACAGAATTTGAAATGAAGAAAATGAATCTGCTTTCTTTTTTTTTTTTTTGAGATGGAGTTTTACTCTTGTTGCCCAGGTTGGAGTGCAATGGCACAATCTCAGCTCACTGCACCCTCCCCCTCCAAGTTCAAGCAATTCTCCTGCCTCAGCCTCCCAAGTAGCTGGGATTACAGGCAAGCCACCATGCCTGGCTAATTTTGTATTTTTACTGAGACGGGGTTTTTCCATGTTGGTCAGGCTGGTCTCAAACTCCCAACCTCAGGTGATCCACAAGCCTCAGCCTCCCAAAGTGCTGGGATTACAGGTGTGAGCCACCATGCCCGGCCTGAATCTACTTTCTAATAGCTAAGTGAATTATTCTACACATCAAGGAAGAAATCGGAAATATGTACATTACCCTTACTGGGATGAAATAGTTCCTAGGTAAAAATAAGACTTAGTGGAAATTAACTGATTTTATTTTATTAACTTATCCAGAGAAAGAATGTGTTAGACCAAAGGGAGATGTGATCACAGAACATAGAAAAGGGACTATGGGAGAGATTTATTTTGGCAATGCCCATCAGAGCACTCTTTTGGTATCCTAAGAAGTCCACAGAAACACATGATTTGTTTGATTTCTCTGCGGACATCAATGCATCGGACTATCACTGCCTGATAATATTAAACTTTCAAATCTGCCACCAAGTCCCCTTGCTCTGATCTCTCATAATCCATGCAACTTTCTGATAATTTGGCTTTCTATGTAGTTTCCCTAGATGGAGAAAATTTGCAGATCAGGCAAATGTGAATGTCTGCTCCTCTTGTAAGTTGTATTTCTCATCGTAAATTAGTGAATTGACATTTTGATTTATATACAAGAGATTCTTGTGAGCTGGGTTAATTTGCACCCTGAGAAATTACTCCACTTAATATGCTGAGAGAATCAAGCTTCTAAGCCCCTAAGGCTGAGGGTTAGAGTTACTAAAGTAGTACTATCCTATATAGCCACTGATGGCCAACCAACCTGCCTGATATGTGGACATTGTTCAACAAATGCTTCTTGACTTACATGGATTTGAATTGAATGGATTTGATTTAATTAAGGTTGGGTGAGAGATAAGGGCAGGCTCATCGACTTGGGAAGTCACCAGTACAGATCAGATGAATCTATATGAATAGAGGAGATTGTGCCAGAATCATGGAATTTGTCGAGGGGTGGAAAGGGGAGCTGATGGCAGTAACTTAGGGAATGCCCATTAGAAGGATCTGGAGGTGGGGCATGGTGGCTCACATCTTTAATCCCAGCACTTTGGGAGGCCAAGGTGGGAGGATCGCTTGAGCCCAGGAGTTCGAGACCAGCCTGGGCAACATAGTAATATCCCATTTCTATAAAAATTTTAAAAGTTAGCTGGGTGTGATGGCATGTGCCTGTAGTCCCCCAGCTACTTGGGAGGCTGAGATGGGAGGATCGCTTCAGCCTAGGAGGTGGAGGCTGCAGTGATATATGATCACGCCACTGCACTCCAGCCTGGGTGACAGGGTGTCTCAAAGAAAAAGTAGGGGGAATTTGGAAGAGGAAGAACAGTTACTGGGGCATGTGAAGTTGAGTAAGAGAGGAAATCTCAGTGGACTGAAGATAATATAAGGAAACACCCCAAATTCTACTGTGTTCTTCTCCATCTCTACCCCATCCACCAATTATCTACTGGCTTTAAAGGTTATTTATATAACCCTAAATTTTTAGCTCAAGCCTTGACCTTTTTCCTGGGTTCCAAACTCCTATATCCAACAGACTGTTTGCCATCTATGAGATTTCTAGGACTCCTTAACATACTTGAAACAGAACTATGGATGCTTCCCCTACAAAGGGGAGGGATTTTTTTCCTCTCCCACTCTCCTCAGCTTAGTAAATGCTGCACCAGTTCAAGTCAGAAACCAAAGCATCACCCTTGATTCTTCTATTTTCTCTACACACTCCCTCCATGCATCAAGCCCATCACTATCACCTGTGACTCTATTTCCAAAATAGGTTTCATTCATAAACTTCCCTCCATCCACACTACTCTTAGTCAAACTGTCAATATTTCCTGCATTCTAGAAGATCATCTTGACTATATCCCTGGCACCTCTATTCTTTTGTGAATGCACATTGGCTCACGGTGGTCCCCTAGAGCCCAAATACATGCAATGGTTTTCCATTGTAACTAGGACAAAACACAAAGTAAGTCCTCACGATTGCCTAAAATTTCTGCATGAACTAGTCCCAAAGAGCCCTACAATTCCATTTCCTACCGCTGATGGCTACTACCCAGCCATGCTGGCTTGCTTTCTTTTGTATGAATATGCCAAGCTCTTTCATTTCTCAGGGGCTTGGCACTTGCTATTCTTTCTGCCCTAGGGCCCTATCTCCAATCTTTGCAAGACCTTAATTGTGATTCAGATCCCACTTGCAATGGACTGCATGACTGTACCCCCTACCCCCAAATCCATATGTTGAAATCCTAACCCCAAGTGTGATGATTTTAGGAAGTGGGGCCTTTGGAAGGTAATTTAGGTCATAAGAGAAGTCCTCATGAATGGGATGAGTGCCCTTATGAAAGAGACCCCAGCCTGGGTGCGGTGGCTCATGTTTATAATCTCAGCACTTTGGGAGGCTGAGGCGGGTGGATCACTTGAGGTCAGGAGTTTGAGACCAGCCTTGCCAACATGGTGAAATCCCAACTCTACTAAAAAATACAAAAATTAGCTGAGCGTGGTGGTGCACGCTTGTAATCTGAGCTACTTAGGAAGCTGAGGTGGGAAGATCACTTGAACCTGGGAGGTAGAGATTGCAGTGAGCCAAGATAGCACCACTGCACTCCAGCCTGGGTGACAGAGCAAGACTCTGTCTCAAAAAAAAAAAAAAAAAAAGAGAGAGAGAGACCCCCCACAGAGCTCATGTGAGGATATGAGAAGCTGGTGATCTACAACCCAGAAGAGGGCCCTCACCAGAACCCAACCATGCTGGAACCCTGAGATCAGACTTTCAGCCTTCAAAACTAAGAGAAATAAAATTCTGTGGTTTATAATCCACCCAGTCTATGGTACTTTGTGACAGCAGCCTACACTAACTAAGACACCACTCAGATATCTCCTCACTACCTCTAAGGACTTGATCACATTATCCAGTCCCAACTAGAGCCACACTGTAACACATCACCTTGTTCCATTTTTTCCATGGTGCCTCTCTGTTAACTTGTTAATTGTCTTTCTTGCTCCACCTCCCCACCACACCTAATCTATGAGAGCAGGGACATTTTGTCCCCACCACTGCTTTCTCCAGAACCTGAAAGACTGCCTGGCACATAGTAGGTGCTCAGCAAACATTTATTCAATAAACAATGAATAAATGTATGGGAGGTCGATGCAGAAGGATCACTTGACTCCAGGAGTTTGAGACCAAAATGGGCAATATGGCAATACCCTGTCTCTACAAAAAAATTAAAAGTTAGCCAGGTATGGTGGTGCACACTTGTCATCCCAGCTACTCGGAAAGCCAAGGTGAGAGGATCACTTTAGCCAGTAGATAATCTGTGGACAGAGCAGAGATAGAGAAGAACATACTAAAACTTGGGGTGTTTTTACATTATCTTCAACCCACTGAGATTTCCTCTCTTACTGAACTTCAAATGTCCCAGTAACTGTTCTTCCTCTTCCAGATCCCTTTTTTTTGTTTGTTTGAGACAGGGTCTTTCTCTGTTACTCAGGCTGGAGTTGAGTGGCATAATCATAGCTCGCTGCAGCCTGGACCATAGCTGGGACTACAAGCACATGCTACCACGCCTGGCTAATTTTTAAATTTTTTGTAGAGACAGGGTCTCAGTATGTTGCCCAGGGTGGTCTTGAACTCCTGGGATCAAGCAATCCTCCTGCCTTGGCCTCCCAAAGTGTTGGGATTACAGGTGTGAGCCCAGGAGTTCAAGGCTGCAGTGAGCTATGATTGCACCACTGCACTCTAGCTGGGGCTACAGAGCAAGACCCTGTATCTTAACCAAAAAAAAAAAAAAAAATGGAGTAAGAAGGTAAAGGTAAGAAACTAAAAGGAGACTATATAAGAGAAGGAGGAGAAAATAAACCTCCTCATTTTTTGCCAGAACATACTATTCCCCACCAAGAATCCCCAGTAACAAACCTAGTTCCATTGGCAATACTTTTTATTTTGCATTCAAAGACTCAAATTCTTGATCTCTGGCTCTTCTTAACAGCCTCAGGAAACAGGCCAGAAAGGAAAACAAAATCCAACTGCCCTGTCACATACCAGAAAAATGATTTTCATGCGTTCAAACTCAATATTTATACTGGAATACAAAAATGTGATTCTGAGAGAGAAAATAAAAGTAATGAGGAGATACAATTAATTGCAATCTAGACCTGCTTTCTATTTTTTTCACCTTGAGCAGATAAGTTAACCTCTCTGACCCTTAATATTCCAGGCAGGGAAGTAGATGGACCAATACTTTCCTCTTCTTAACTCTCAAGTCTATTTTAACTCATAAAATGTGAAAAATATATAACAATGGCTTAAGGTTAGACAGTTTATAGGTTATAGAGCTTGAGAATTTTTTGATAGCTTTGGAGAAAAGAGTAAATTATTATTTTTATGGTCATAATTCAGGGTCAGTTTATCACATTATAGAGCTTTGAAAAGAATTATTCTTTAACCAGAGAAATAACATGTGTATATTACTGACTGTTATGCTAGTAATAAGATCCATGACTACAGCATCAATGAAAGGAAGAAACTAGAATGAGAGGAATGGAAAATCAATTTGTCTACTTTTCCAACCCAACATTTATATGCTGACACCAAGTGCTGATAGTTACTGAGTCAAGTATCAGATGTTTATGTAATGCCTCAAACACCGCGGGCTGCCAGGATTTCCTTCTGAAAATTCCAACTGGCTGACTTCAGTTCCAAATAGGATTTCTTTCTTCTTCTGTACATCCGTGGTATGACATTGAATATTTTCCACCTGTGTTTGGTAGGATGAGATAAATGAATTAACAGCTATATATGTTAGACATAATTTTTGTTACAATACTGTAAGAAACCTTGACTAATATTGACTTTAAAATATTGGGGCTTATTTGTCTTATCCAACAAGAATTCCAGGAGATGAGGCTGAGATGGCAAATCAATGATCCATCGGGAAGCCAGCAGTGGTGAGCTTGAGCTGCTAAATGTTTAACAACCATTCTGAAGGGACAGTAATATTTTGTTATGTTTGTCAATTTCCATAGCATACATACTTCCACCACGGTTTGATTTCCAGCTATCAACGTGACACAACTAAGTGCAGAGTTGGAAGAAACGCTCAATTGCATTCCAGTACAAAACATTTCCACTATAAATATTATACACGTAAATAATCTCATGAGCATTATAGTAAAGCAGTAAAAAAAAATGTTTGCACTATTATCTTTGTTTTAACATAACTTGTTTCATTGTAAGTTTATATAAGGCCATTTTTAATCATGGCTGTGCTGAACAACAAACATGCAAAATTCTTGAGAAGTTATTGGTCAAATCTTGCAAGCTGGTAAAAGCCAGTTCCAACACAAGCTCTTCACATCATTTTGCTCTGCCATCTTTAATGTGTGGACCTTCATCCATGTGCCTATTGCTTCATAGACACAGGATGGTTACTGCCCTTCTGAGCCTCACGTGTGCATGCAGGAAGAAGAGAAAGGAAAGGTACAAAATAGCTAATGCATCATGCCAATTAAAATATATATGTATTTCCCAAAACCCCACCTAAAGGCTTCAGTTTACAATGCATTGGCCAGAATTGAGTCATGTGTGCCTAGTTTGAAGATGGCTAGGTGGAAGAGGAAACACAAATGATGGCTGAGTTGGCCAGCCAAATGGGTCTGCCATGATAATAAAAATGTATTTATGGAACTCCAAAGTTCAAGACACCATGCTTTGCACAGTGAGGCAGAGAAGAAAATAGAGCGGTTCAAAACTCAGTGCTTGCCATCCAAGATTCTTGGAAGGTAAGGCTAGGCGGAGTGGCTCCCACCTGTAATCCTAACACTTTGGGAGGCCAAGGCGGGAGGATCACTTTAGCCTAGAAATTCAAGATCAGCCTAGGAAATATAGCAAGACTTCTTCCCTACAAAAAAATTTAAAAATTAGTCAGGTGCCGTGGCACATGCCTATGGTCTCATCTTTTCAATAGGCTGAGGTGGGAGTCCAGGAATTTGAAGCTGCAGTGGGCTATGATCATGCCACCGTACTCCAGCCTGGGCAACAAAGCCAGACCCTGTCTCTTAAACAAACAAACAAACAAACAAAGATTCTTGGAAGATAAGACAGAGAAATACAACCAACAATTCCAGTTTAATTTTCCTTTAACAACACACTAAGAGCCAAGTGTTGGTCCAGAAGCTAAGTATCTCTATTGTTGGTAGAGGCAGACATCACTCTTGTCTGGGGGATCCCTTCCATCAGAAGGGGTTATCCTCACAGAAAGAAAAGTCAAGTCAAACAAGTAACTGCCAATGAGTTTATAAATTCTGCTTAATTTAAATCATAAATTACTGTATATGGGTACAGCCTTTGGGCACTCCCCTATTTCAGTTATTTTAGCTAATTGCATGGGAGGTTTAAATTTGTGTTGAAACATGTGGGCTAAAATTAAATTGCTCTATCAGCATTGACCTACCTGCTTTTTCTGGGTAACAGATAACTGTCATTTTTCTAAGCTTAGTTCAATTCTTTTCAATGCCCTCTGGAAAAACTTTACTGGTATCAAATGCTTTTTTTTTTTTTAAATGTTCTATTTTAAAAATTCTTTCTATGCAAGAAAGAATACCACCATGATGGTTAAAAGCATCATGTTACCATTTCCAAAGATAAGCATAATACTAGTCGGTATGTTATGGCTGTATCTCTGGAACTTTCTATCACCATCAACATTGAATTAAATTATGCCCATATTTCTTTAAATTTTCTGAATCTCCTCCTGCACCTGGGCAGAGTGGGGACCCTCACTCGTCGTGTGAATAACTTCACCAAGATGAACAAGAAGAATGGTTGCTGTAAGTTGCTGAGCTACATAAGCCTTTGGGGCTGTTGAATCAGCCATCAATTTTGCCTGATGTAAAAGGTTATTCTCTTACTGCCTTTCAGTTTTGCCCTTTCAGCTCTGTACAGGCCACCACTGAATTTTTGCCTTAAAAAAAATTTAGCATCGTGGCTTGTCTGGCACAATGATAGGTCTGGAAAGTTCAGAGAAATTCTTGATACAAGGTCCTTCAGGACCTATGATAGACAACAGTTTCCTCTCCTCCCTGGAAACCTAATAACCTTTCTTTTTCCACAACCACCCCATCTTTCTCTCCATACGACCCAGTTTGCCCCATATAAAAATGATATGTTAATCAGCTATTGCTGCATAATAAACTTCCCCAAAACATACTGCCTCACTGCAGCAAGCATTTCTTTTGCTAGCTCCCAGGTCTGCGGACTTCGTGAGACGTCCCTGCTCTAGGCTGTGGGTCAGCTTAACCAGGCTGCAGACTGCAGGTTGAATTCAAGTCTTTTCTTCACCCATTTGTATTGCTAAAAAGTGTCGACGAAAAGAGTCAAAGTCTGTAAAATATTTGGAGATGTATTCTGAGCCAAATATGAGTGACCATGGCCTGTCACACAGCCCTCTCTGGAGATCCTGAGAACATGGGCTCAAGGTGGTCAGGGTGTAGCTTGGTTTTACACATTTTAGGGAGACATGAGACATCAGTCAAATACATTTAAGAAATACATCAGTTTGGTCCAAAAAGGTGGGACAACTCAAAGTGGGGGAGGGGAGGGGGGAGGGGGAGGAGAGGGGGAGGGGAAGGGAAGAGGGGAAGGGAAGAGGGGAAAGGGGGGGGAAGGGGGAGAAGGGGGAGGGGGAGGAGGGGGAGGGGGAGGGGAGGAGGGGGAGGGGAAGGGAAGAGGGGGAGGGGAAGGGAAGAGGGGGAGGGGGAAGGGGATGGGGAGGGGGGAAGGGGAGGGGGAGGGGGGAAGGGGAGGGGGACTTCCAGGCTATAGGCAAATGTAAACATTTTCTGGATGACAATGGGTTCAGTTTGTCTAAAGACCTGGGATCAATAGAAAGGAAATGTTCTAGGTGAGATAAAAGATTGTGGAGACCAAGGTCCTTTTGAAGTCTCACAGTGGCTGCCCTTAGAGACAATAGATGACAAATGTTTCCTATTCAGATCATTAAAAGATGCTAGACTCTCAGTTAATCTCTTCAGGATTGGGAGGGCCTGGAAGAAAAAGATCTAGCTATGTCAGAGATTCTTTACAGATGCAAATTTGCGCCCACAAAAGACAGCTTTGCAGGGCCATTTCAAAATATGCCAAAGAAACATGTTTTTGGGTAAAATATTTTGATTGTCTTCTTTATCATGTAGTGTTATGCCAGAGTCAGACTGGAAAGTAAGTCGTGATATATAGCATTAAATAAAACCCATCTGATGAGAATTTAGGGTTTGTAAGGCATGACTCCCCAGACCCTTTAGATAGGAATTTGGGCAAGATTAAAAAAAAAAAATAGCTTAGTCCTCAAAAGCAATATCTAGCATTGGGTAATTTACAAAAAAAATAATAATAATAATTAAAAATTTTTTTAAAAGTTTATTTGTCTCATGATTCTGATGTCTGGAAGTTAGGTATTGGGCATCTATATTTGTGATGGTCACAGAATGCTTTCCCTCATGGGGGAAGGTGATAGGGACCTGGTGTGTGCAGAGATCACCTGGTAAGAGAGAAAGCAAGACAGAGAGGCAGGAGGTGGCAAGCTCTTTGTAACAACCAGCTCTCCGTGAACTAACAGAGGCAGAGCTCTCTTACCTCCTCTCACCAGGGAGGACATCCATCTATTCATCAGGGATCCACCCCCATGACCCAAATACTTCCCATCAGGCACCATTGCCAACATTCGGGATCAAATTTCAACAACAGGCTTGGAGGGGACAAATACGCAAATGATAGCAGGTTCCCTCCATGTGTCTCTGCCTCTGTTTGGAGTAGCACCTACCCCGGCGTGGTCTTTTCATGGCGGACATCCAGGATACAAAAGGACAAGCAGGAACACGCAAAGCCCCTTGAGGACTCACACCTGCCACAAGCACTCACCTCCCACTGGCCAAATGCAGCATCAATGGGGAGGGAAATATACACCCCTCAGGCCATTGGAAAGTGCTTAAAATCACATGGCAAAGGATATGGATGAGTAATTCTAACTCAGGAAGAACTGGAAGAATTGCAAGCCAGGACTCCATCTTCCACAGATAACCCTTGCCTTTTGGAATCATCTGTTTTCTCACAAGCAGTTTGCACATCATGGTTTTGTAAAGAAGCTTTACACAGTGGCTCACGCCTGTAAACCTAGAACTACGGGAGGCCGAGGCAGGTGGATCACTTGAGCCCAAGTGTTTGAGACCAGCCTGGGCAACATAGCGAGACCTCATCTCTACCCCAGAAAAGTACAAAAATTAGCTGGGCATGGTGGTGTGCATCTGTAGTCCCAGTTACTCCGGAGGCTGAGGTGGGAGGATGGCTTGAGCCCGGGAGGTGGAGGCTGCAGTGAGTCAAGTTGGCACCACTGCACCACTGCACCACTCCAGCCTGGGAAACAGAACAAGACCCCTGTCTCCAAAAAAAGCTTCTCCAGTACCTGATTTTGTTCTTTCCTCCATAAGCCTACAAGAAATGCCTGTGAAATGCCCCGCTATTCAGCCTGAAGGCTAAGATGTAGGGGCCTCCTCTAAAAAAAAATCCTGGGCTTGGTAGCGGGTGCCTGTAATCCCAGCTACTCGAGCGTCTGAGGCAGGAGAATCGCTTGAACCCAGGAGGCAGAGGTTGCAGTAAGCTGAGATCGTGCCACTGCACTCCAGCCTGGGTGACAGAGCAAGACTCTATCTCAAAAAAGAAAAAAAAATAAGAAAAGTGTGGTAATGGAAACAACTTACACCAACATACTTGGTACAGTTGGTTGATAACACAAAGAAATATATGATTAAGAGCCAGAATGAGGACGGAAAGGTAAGATGTTGATGGGCATGAACAGAGCATTTTCATTTTCTTTTTCTTTTTCTTTTTTTTTTTTTTTGAGACAGAGTCTCGCTCTGTCGCCCAGGCTGGAGTGCAGTGGCGCGATCTCAGCTCACTGCAAGCTCCGCCTCCCGGGTTCACGCCATACTCCTGCCTCAGCCTCCCAAGTAGCTGGGACTACAGGCGCCCGCCACCACGCCCAGCCAATTTTTTGTATTTTTAGTAGACGTGGGGTTTCACCGTGTTAGCCAGGATGGTCTCAATCTCCTGACCTCGTGATCCGCCCGCCTTGGCCTCCCAAAGTGCTGGGATTCCAGGCGTGAGCCACCGTGCCCAGCCAGAACAGAGCATTATCAAAAGGAGAAGCACATCTCAAGATAGAAAAGTCTCACATGGGAATGACATAACCTCCGACGTATGTCATCCTTTTGCCAAAAAAAAAAAAATGTGAAAAATGAATAATTATGTTTAACCTGTCAGCAGGCTGGTTATATTTTGGCCCTGTTTCTATAATCCTAATTTTTGACTAATGAGCTTTCCACTATTTGATTTTTTAATAATAATAATAAGGCCTAGCATAGTGGCTCACACCTATAATCCCAGCACTTTGGGAGGCCCAGGTGGGAGGATTGCTTAAGCCCAGGAGTTGAAGACCAGACTGGGCAACATAGCCAGACCTTGTCTCTACTCAATATCAAAAAAATTAGCAGGGTGACACAGCAAGACCATGTCTCAAACAAAAAAAAAATTAGCCAGGCATAGTGGAGCATGCCTGTGGTCCCTGCTACTCAGGAGGCTGAATTGGGAGGATCACTTGAACCCAGAAGACTGAGGCCGCAATGAACTGTGATAGCACCACTGCACTCCAGCTTGGGCAACGGAGCATGACCCTGTCTCAAAAATAATAATAATAATAAATGCAGAATATCACAAATGGCGGTATTCTTCAGAATTCTTTTGTAATGCAAACATTTATAGCCCCAATTGATTCATTTTATAGATTCAGATTTCCTTCCTTAAAACCAGAAATGCCTTTCTACCGAGGCTTTTATTCATATGTAAAGAAATAACACCTAAGAAAACAGTGACTGAAAGATTTCATTCCAGGCTGCCTGGCAGGAAGAGACCTTGGTCACTCAGTTCTGTGGTTCCCTGGCAGTGGTGGTGCATGAAGAAATTGCCTTATGTCTTTTATCTGTTTCAACTGCAGAATGAAAGCAGAGACATCTGAGTTCTGTACGGGTTTGGATTCAGTTCCAGAGTTTGCTTCCTGGACTCAGAAACTGGCCATTGGTCTGAATTAGACTCTGAGAGCTGGCAGGTCACTGAGCCTTCCTTCATTTTATGGATGATGAAAAGGAAAATTGGGAGTTCAATAAAACTGGGACTAAAATCCAGGTCTCCTGATTTTCCAAGTGAAAGCAAGATTCTGCCAGTCACCTGCTGGGTGCCTCTTAGACTCCTAGAGCATTTGCTATAAGCCATGTCCTCTCCAGCCTCTGTAAGACTGACCCCCCAGAACAGCCTTGACTTCAGATGGAAGAACTTGATTCAAATCACAGCTTCCACGTATTAGCTGGTTGTCCTTGGGCAAACTGCACGCTCTCTCTTTGCTTCCATTCGCTCCTCTGCAAAATGGGGCTGATGATGTCTAATGTACAGTGGAGGCAGTGGAATAATGTATTGTACAGTGCCTGACATGTAGGAGCAGTGACAAACAGCCATAACGATGGTGACAATGAGGAAAAATGAGCATGGTGGACTTAGACACCTGTCCAGAGATAGACCTGCACAGAGAACTCGGAGAAGGGATGTGGCATGAACTTGTCTGAGACCCACGCGGGGCATCTGTAGTTTTTCTGCCCTGGGATAGCAGAAGCAATAGTTTCCCCGTCCTAGGTGTTATCATGAATTTAATGAGCTACTGTTCGTTCAGTGCACCTTTGGGGTGGGATAGAGGAAAGTAGTAATGGGTCTTGAGATTCTGAGATTTCCCTGAGGATAGGGAGATATTAGTTTGGTGCAAAACTAATTGCAGTTTTTGCTATACTTTTAATGGCATTATTATTATTATTATTATTATATATTTTTTTGAGACAGAGTCTCACTCCATCACCCAGGCTAGAATGCAACGGCACGATCTCGGCTCACTGCAACCTCCGCCCCCCGGGTTCAAGCGATTCTCCTGCCTCAGCCTCCCGAGTAGCTAGGATTACAAGCGTGCACCACTATGCCTGGCTAATTTTTGTATTTTTAGTAGAGATGGGTTTTCGCCATGTTGGCCAGGCTGATCTCGAACTCCTGACCTCAAGTGATCCACCCACCTCAGCCTCCCCAAGTGCTGGGATTACAGGCTTGAGCCACCATGCCCAGCCAAATGGCATTACTTTTAATGGCAAAAACCACAATTAGTTTTGCACCACCCTAATAGATTTCCCAAAAGGAAAATGGAGATGCAGCCCATGGAGATTGGAAGAATGAGACAGTTGATGGGGGGGAAAAAGAACCTGAAGGTAGAGAACAGCAGGAAAAAAAATAATGCGCCACAAGGGACCCCTGTGGAGAGTCTATCTTCCTGGGGGCCTTCCTGGTGAGCTATGGAGAAATTATCCTTGACAGTTTTAAGTTTTTCCCTCCAATGTTGCAAGTCCCCGCATCCACAGCTTAATCCAAACTTGAGTGGTAGTATCATGGAGGACAAAGTATCAGGAGAACAATGAAAAGCGGGACCTGCCTGCACTGTTCCGGAGGTAAAAGTTGAAATATACAAACTCAAACTTCGCCACTCCCAAGGGCAAACATGCATTGTCAGTGATAGCACCACTGAGGTCTAGAAGGAAGACAGATCTGTTTTCCTGTCTTGTCTCACGATTTGAGAGGTGTTCTTCTCTTGCACGGTGAAGACCATCCTCTTCATTATGACAGTGACACAGAGCCCTCGTAGGTCCTAGCCTTCATCCTCTCTTTCCAAATGGCCCTTGTGTGGCCCATTGGAACTAAGAGAGGGGGCCATTGCTCGGCCATATACCTCCCAATGACCACATAAAGACCAGAGAGAAGCCCAGAATTACTGCCTGTTGGGATACCACAACTCTCTCTTAAGGATAAGTTACTATAAGTCTCAGTTTCTCCATCTGCAAAAGGGAAAGAATAGGTCCTACCTTATACAGGTATCACATCACTTCAATGAGCAGCTCCAGTTTTATTAAGGCATCCTCTGCAGCGCTTGGCACATGGTAAAGGCTCACATTGTTAGTTTCTCTCCTCCACCTCTTAATAACTCTCACTAAAGTGGCACATGGTAAAGGCTCACATTGTTAGTTTCTCTCCTCCACCTCTTAATAACTCTCACTAAAGTCAACTCTACCATTTTATCTGTGAAAAAATCAGTGCTTCCAACAGCACTGTGGCAGGACCTTAAAGTTGGGGACCCCAAGGAAAGCTTTGCACAAGAGGACATATTGAGCCTCTTCAGAAAGGCTACTCTGCCAGGAAATTGTTGCTAGGAATATGATCTAGCATTATTTCCAGGAAGAAAAAGTAACTCATTGGAAAACATGATTAGACATTTTTCAAATTTCCCCCTCCCCTTCCAAGCTGGGTTCATTTCTACCAAGGCGCAAGAGGCTGGTTAAAATACACTAAAATAGACTTCAAGGGAAAGAAGTTCCAATATGTCAATCTGAGGGTTGTGAGTAGACAGAGAAGGTGCAGTTCACCACTGGGGCTTGGTGATGAAGGGATGGGGAGGGCCTTAGGTGTCTCATGGGGAGGACGTCTTGTGCACCAACTTGAACCTTGGGTGTTCTTTTTTTTTTTTTTTTTTTTAGAGGCAAGGTCTGTCTCTATCACCCAGGCTGGAGTGCAGTGGTGCAATCATAGCTCACTGCAGCCTCCAACTCCTGGGCTCAAGTGATCCTCCTGTCTCAGCCCCCTGAGTAGCTTGAACTACAGATGTTCACCACCATACCTGGCTGATTTTTTTTTTTTTTAAGACATGGGGGTCTTGTTATATTGCCCAGGCTGGTCTTGATCTCCTAGGCTCAAGCGATCCTCCCACCTCAGCCTCCCAAAGTGTTGGGATTACAGGCATGAGCCACTGTGCCCAGCAACTCAAGTGTTCTTTATAAAAACCATTGGCAGTGACCTTGGTCTCTTCAACTTCAGTGATTCCTGACCAGACGCCAGCATGTCAGGAACTCAGTACAATGACCTCACTTCCAGGCCACCCAGTGCTGCCAAGGTGGACAGGAGGCTCCAGATTCCTAGGGATTTAGCCTTCAGGTATCTCCTTTCTGGAATGACTACTGCCGGGTTCCTCCGTGGAACTCACCATGTCGTCCCCCCATCGTCCTTCCCTGTATGTCTCTGCAGATTGTGAAAACACCAGCTGGTCCACCTCGGCTGCTAAGCCTAGGAGAGGAAAAAGCAAAGGAGTTATGGACATAGCTTTGAGGGTTTTTTTTTTTTATCATCTAACGGTTCAATATTTAGAGCAATATTGATTCGATTTATCTAGTGTTGTAATGTTCCATTGGTTGCTAGGCAACAGAGTTCTTTCTGCTGTGTACTCTGGGTGGCTCATGGGAGTTTGACTACCAAAGAGATTACTTTGTGTATGTGAGACTAAATGGACCATAGGTGCCATACATAAGTGCGGGGGGGATACTGTTTTACTGGGCAGTGTTAAGACCAGGTTTCCTATCACATCTTGGTAATTGCAATTCAGCCTCCAGAACAACACAGCCATTCATATTCACATTCCCCTACAAGATACCCTCTGAGAACAATTTAACACAAAGTTGTGCTGATGCATAAAACCCTATGTTGTGTGCTTACCATTCCATCCTCATAAACTTCAAACCTGCACTGGGGCAAGGATGGATTTATTCCTCCCGCTTTCCATCCCCCACAAGTCCACCGATAACCAAAAATAGCAACGTGGATTACAAAAGGGCACATTCTGGTTTGTGCTTCAATCCTAGTACGGCAGCATCTTTCTTCATTTCCCTTATCCCAACTTCTCCCCTGCTCACCCCAAAATTGCCTTCCCTGTCTTGGTTTTTCTTTTTGGGGGGCTCTTTTGTAAGTCCTTGACACCGATGCTTCCTAT